>NC_000008.11:28951011-29254041 GCF_000001405.40 Homo sapiens | reverse complement strand
GTGACAGTATGTTTCTGGACTCCCAATTCCATTCCATCAATGTATATATGTCTTTCCTTATGTAAGTACCACACTGTCTTGATTACTCTACCTTTGTATTAAGTTTCGAAACTGGGAGTCAAGTCCTCTGACTTTGTTTTTCTTTTTCAAGATTGTTTTGGCTATTCTAGTTCTGCCTTAAGCGGGTTTTTTTTTTTTTTTTTTTTTTTTTTTGAGACAGTCTCACTCTTCTCACCCAGGCTGGAGTGTAATGTCGTAATCTTGGCTCACTGCAGCCTCTGCCTCCCAGATTCAAGCAGTTCTCCTTTCTCAGCCTCCTGAGTTTCTGGGATTACAGGTGCCTGCCACCCTGCCTGGCTAATTTTTGTATTTTTGGTAGAGATAGGGTTTCACCATGTTGGCCAGGTGCCTTATGAGTTTTTTAAATACCTGTTTCTTAGTCTTCTGAGGTTGATTGGTTTCTTTTTTAAACTGTTTATTTGTTTAGAGATGGAGTCTCATTCTGTTGCCCAGGCTGAAGTGCAGTGGTGTGATCATAGCTCACTATGACCTTGACCTCCTGGGCTCAAGATGTCTTCCCACCTCAGCCTCCCAAAGTGCTAGGATTACAGGCATGAGCCACTGCACCCAGCTGATTCATTTCTTGAGTATGAACATTTTATGTTTTTGGTCACATAGGATTATTTTATTTGTTTTCAGATATGGGGTCTTGCTCTGTTGCCCAGGCTGGAGTGTAGTAGCACAATCATAGCTCATCACAGCCTGTAACTCATGGGCTCAAATGATCCTTCCATCTCAGCCTCCTGAGAAGCTGGGCTACAGGTGCATGCCACTACACCTGGCTAATTATTTTTTTTAAATTTGTTTTAGGGACAGGTTCTTGCTGTGTTGCTCAGGCTAGTCTTGAACTCCTGGCCTCAAGTGATCCCCCTGCTTCAGACTCCCAAGTAGCTGGGGGATTATTTTAATTATTTTCACACTATCACATCTCCTCTCCTAACCTGGCATCTCATTCTTGTGTTAGCCATGTTAGAGCTCAGTTGTATTTTAATCTTTTATTTATTTAATACATTTTCATGTTTACTAGTAACAATATAAAAGTAGTGATTAGGTTATTTTATATATCTCTTTTTAGAAAATAAAGACCAATTTGCTTTTTACTTATATGGTATCACATAATTTTTTTTCTCCCAGGGTCAGCAGATCTCAATAAAAAAGGGGGTCCCAAGTAACTTATAAATAGAACAAAGTAGTATAGGTAGTGTTTCCTGCTATGCCATTAAATATTATATTCCAATTGGGAAAACAAGTCCTTCCTACATAAATATCATTGATGAATATTTTATGTATGAACATGTGTAGACATGGAAAAGTATTGGGTATGTGACACTAATTGGTTGAAAATAGGATCACATGTGGCATGCAAAGTTTGCGGTTGAATAAGTAAATCTTACAAATAGCTTATTATCTATCTTTAAAAAATGAACCCAAATGAATTTAAGAGTAAATTATAGTTAGATATTTAGGAACATGACTGGTAGATAAAGGGAGGTACACCTATGTTTCTGCATAATAGATTTGGTTTGGAAATTATTATTAATTTTCTGGAGAATTAGAAAATGAGAATTAGAAAAGCAGATTATTTTGTTCAAACTGAGAATGATGCATTTCCCCAGATGGAACATGAGTTATGTAAAGGGAGTCTCCCAGGCCCTGCCCGTGTTTTACTATGATGTCACTGGGTGCTAGCCATAGCTGATGTGTACAGCGAAGAAAGACTTGTTTTAAATTATTGTTCACTTTTACAAGGTGACTAATATGCTGGCTGAATAAACTGAGTTGTCAGCTGTTGATATTTTAATATTCATTGTGGGGAATTTGCCCTGGAAAGGAATCTTGTTTGGGAAATAATACGGAATCTTTAATGTTGGTGGAATAAATTAATTTCTTCCTTTTTTTCCTTCCTCCCCTTCCTTCCCGCTTCCCCCTTCTCCCATCCCCCTTCCCTTTTTCCTTTTTCCTTTTTTTTCCTTTCTTTCCTTTCCTGGCTCATGGGTATGTCAAAGCATTTGTGGTTCTGAGTACTGTAAAGCTTGATTACTCATGAAATAAACTTACAGTACTACTTTAAGATCACTCTGGTTTTTAATTGCTTCTTATACATAGTACTAATTAAATTATCTTGTTATTTTAGGCTTCACTATGAATAAACTGTTGTCCATGTGTTACTTATAATAGTATTGAGTGCTATATTTTAAATTGTGAAATACAATATATTTACCATTTTAGCCTTTGAAGTGCACAGTTCAGTAGCATTGAGTACATTTCACATTGTTGTATCACCATCACCACCATCTATTCGCAGAATGTTTTTCATCTTGCAAAACTGAAACTCCATCTCCATTAAATAACAACTCCTCTTTCTCATTTTCCCCCAACCCCTCATAACCCCCATTCTACATTGTGTCTCTATGAATTTGACTACCCTAGGTACCTCATATAAATGGAATCATAGACCTTTTGTGACTTGCTTATTTCACTTAGCATGATATCTTCAAGGTTCATGATATGATGCGTCAGAATTTCCTTCCTTTTTAAGGCTGAATACTTTTCCAGTGTATGTATATACGTTTTGTTTCTCCATTCGTCAGTGGGTGCTTGGGTTGCCTCTGCATTTTAGCTGCTGCTGTGAACACGGGTACACTTTAGTGCTGTTTTTACAAAGGCAGTGCATAGCAGCTAGGCTTTTTTTAATTTAGTATTTTAAGCCAAGAGAAAGGTGTTGATCTTTTGGATTTTTGATAGGTGTTTTTTGTTTGTTTTTCCAGGCTAAATTTAAGGCTTAAATTTGTAACTGCTATTTAATCATTGTTTTGCCTTTTTTTTTCTTCCAGACAGGGTCTCCCCTCGTTGCCCAGGCTGGAGTGCAGAGGTGTGATCTCGGCTCACTGCAACCTCTGCCTCCCGGGTTCAAGTGATTCTTCCGCCTTGGCCTCCCGAGTAGCTGGGATTACAGGCTCCCACCTCCACGCCCGGCTAATTTTTGTATTTTTTGTAGAGATGGGGTTTCACCATGTTGTCTACGCCACTGCTTTGCTTTCTAAGTGCTATATACAGCAAGAAGTTTTCAGTGGCGAGTGTGTCATATTTAAAATCTTGTAGCAACACAATTTAATTCAACTAGTAACATTTGATGGTACACTAGCTATAGCATTTTATATCGAAATGTGTTTCATTTTAAAATGCTTTTCATATATCTGACCCTTAAGCTTGCTTCAGATCTCACTGCCTTTATTTGATTGGGCATGTGTCCTAGATGTTCTGCCCGTATACATATTCTCAACAGTCCTTTGAAAAGCCTTCTCTTACTATCCTTCAATCGACAGGGTTGGGGTGGGAATTTTATTTGACAAAAAAGATTGAAATAGTGAAGATGGTTGTTTACATATTAAAGGCCATCTTTGATGGGTGTTAGATGTAAGGGACATTTTTAAGTTGCCGTCTCTAGGACAAAATGAGTTTAGGTTAGGTGTATTAGTTATTAGGTGATTTTTTTGTATTATTTTGGATTTTCTAGGGATTGGTCCCTTAATCATACCATTTAATTCTTCCAAGTTATTGGTTTTATCTGATGATATGCATGGTGTAGGGGGTGGCAGAGGGAGAAGCTGTTAAGAGCATATGAGAGAAACGTGAATACTGAAGGACAGTATTTGGCTGCCTTCTTAATTGAAGATAATTTGAAATGAAGGAACTGCACTATTGTGGGGGAAATGTTTGATGAACCACCCATTTTTTTCAGGCCTGCGTTCTAGATGTATTCTGTATGAGAACGGCACTTAGAGTTCTTCTGTGCAGACGAAATGTTCTTGCAAGAAACTAATGACCAACTTTGTGGTGGGTGGTGAGTCACAGTAGATTTCCGGAGAGTTGATAATGTGCTTGTGTATGATACAGATTTGACTGTAAGGAGCCAGCTGATACAATATGGTCAGATTCCATTAAGCAGTGGTTTTAAGAAACTCTCATGGACCTCTGGGCCTGAGGAAGTGAAGAGGTAAAATTGCATGTTTGAAAACTTGTTGCAGTGTGGCTGAGACTTTCTTGCAGCATTTCTGTGATAGTCTAGAGCAGATTTAAAGACAAAACATCAGAAATAGACTTTAATGCCAGTTGACCATGGTAGAACAGATTTGCCTTTTTTGGGTTTGTGTTTCCACATTTAGGTAAAACATAGCTCTAAAGTTTTCCTTTTGATTCTCTTTGCTCTTTGCTTGAAAAATGTGTTGGCTAAAGGAGAGACCACTAACTACTTAGTACTTTTTGAATACGTATTTGAGAATAAATGTAAAATAACTGATGTGAGAAAAGTTAAGTTTTGGCCAGCACAGGGAAGGAAGTTTTTGTTTTGTTTTGCTTTTTTGCATTTGGCTTAATTATGTGAGTTAAAGTGAAAAAAACAATTACCTTTCTTGAGAGTGGACACACTCTTAAGTTATAATGAATATGACATTGACATTTGGCCAAGGTTCTTTAGGAAGTACAGCATAACTCTGACATGGTATTGTTCCTTTCCTTAGAGCTTATCTTTTTTTTTTTTTTTTTTTTTTTAAAGACGGAGTCTTGCTCTGTCGCCCAGGCTGGAGTGCAGTGGCGTGATCTTGGCTCACTGCAACCTCCACCTCCTGGTTTCAAGTGATTCTCGTGCCTCAGCCTCTCGAGTAGCTGGGACTACAGGCACATGCCACCACGCCTAGCTAATTTTTTTGTATATTTAGTAGAGACGGGGTTTCACCATGTTGGCCAGGCTGGTCTCAGACTCCTGATCTCAAGTGATCCACCCTTCTCGGCCTCCCAAAGTGATGGGATTACAGGCATGAGCCACTGTGCCCGGCAGAGCTTATCTTTTAGTAGCGGAGATAAGGGAAACAAACAGTTTCATACTTTGGTTCAGAAAAATATAAGAATATAAGAATATGAGAGGATAAACAAGCCATGGTCTTTACTTTTTTAAAACAGCTGTATTGAGACATCATTCATGCCCCATACAATTCAACCAATTCAGTGTTTTTAGTTTGCTCACTGTTGTACAGCCATCAGCACAATCAATTTTAGAACATTTTCATCAGCCCTGAAAGAAAACTGTACCTGTTAGCAGTCACTCCTTGGCCCTAGACAACACTAATTTATTTTGTCTCTACAAATTTCCCTATTCTGGATATTTCAAGTAAGTGGAATCATACAATGTATGGTTTTTGATGACTGGCTTTTTTCACTTAGCATTAGCTTCATACACAGTGTAGCTTGTATCAGTTCTTGATATAGTTTGGCTGTGTCCCCACCCAAATCCCATCTCGAATTGTAGCTGCCATAATTCCCTCGTGTTGTGGGAGGGACCCAGTGGGAGACAAATGAATCATGGGGTCAGTTTCTTCCATACTGTTCTCATGGTAATGAATAAGTCTCACGAGATCTGCTGGTTTTATAAGGGGAAACCCTGTTCGCTTGGCTGTCCTTCTCTTCTCTGCTGCCATGTGAGATGTGCCTTTCGCCTTCTGCCATGTTTGTGAGGCCTCCCTAGTCACGTGAAACTGTGAGTCCATTAAACATCTTTCTCTTGTAAATTGCCCAGTCTCGAGTATATCTTTATCGCAGTGTGAAAATGGACTAATACAGTTCTTCATTCGTTTTTTTGCTCAGTAGTGTTCTGCGCTAGGGATATGCCACATTTACCCATTGGTCAGTTGATGGACATTTGGGTTGTGTCCACTTTTTGGCTGTTATGAGTATCCAAATAATGGTACTGTGAACATTTGTGTACAAGTTTTGTGTTCTCATGGGTATGTATCTAGGAGTGGAATTGCTGGGTCAGATGGTAACGCTGTTTAACTTTTTGAGGAGCTGCTGGACTATTATCTGAAGTGACTGCACCATTTTACATTCTCACCAGTAATGTATGAGGGTTCTAATTACTCCACACCCTTGCCAACCCTTGTGATGATCTGTCTTTTTGATTATAGTTATCCCAGTGGATGCGAGATGGTATTTCATTGTGGTTTTGATTTGCATTCCAATGTTGAATGATATGGAACATCTTTTCTTGTGCTTATTGGCCATTTTTATATCTGTTTTGGAGAGACGTATATTCAGATCCTTTGCCTATTTAAAAATTTGATTATTTGTCTTTTTTTTTTTTTTTTTTTTTTTTGAGACAGGGTCTTACTCTCACACCTAGGCTGGAGTGCAGTATTGCCATCACAGCTCACTGCAGCCTTGATCTCCCTGCCTCAAGCCATCCTCCTATCTCAACCTTCTGAGTAGCTGGGACCATAGGCTCCCACCACCATGCCTGGCTATTTTTAAAAACTTTTTTTCTTTGTAGAGACAGAGTCTCTGTGTTGCCCAGGCTGGTCTCAAACTCCTGTGCTCAAGCAGTCCTCCCAATTTGGTCTCTCAAAGTCTTGGGATTACAGGCGTGAGCCATTGCACCTGGCCTATTTGTCTTTTTATTATTGAGTTGTAAGGGTTCTTTATATATTGTGATGCAAGTTCCTTATTAGATACATGATTTGCAAATACTTTTTCATTCCCTTTTTCACTGTCGATGGTGTGCTTTTTGAATCACACAAATTTTTAATTAAAAAAAATTTTTGTTTTTAGAGACAGATCTCTTTTGCCCAGGCTGTAGTGCAGTGGCACACTCATAGCTCACTGTAACCCTGAACTCCTGGGCTCAAAGGATCCTCCCACCTCAGCCTCCCCAGTAGTTGGAACTATAGGTATGTACCACCATACCTGGCTACTTTTTTGTTGTTTTTTTTAGACGTGGGGGTCTCACTATGTTGCTCAGGCTGGTCTTGAACTCCTGGCCTTAAATGATCCCCCCATCTCAGCCTTCCAAAGTTCTGGGATTACGGGCATGAGCCACCATGCCCAGCCCCAGAGTTTTTAATTTTGATGAGGTCCAGTTTATCTTGTTGTTGTTGTCTGTGTTTTGGGTGTTCATTACCTAATCCAAAGCCATGTGGATATACACTTTTGTATTCTTCTAAGAACTTAATAGTTTTAGTTTTTACATTTAGCCCTTTGATCTGTTTGGAGTTTTGAATGTGATGTGAGGTAGGGATCCAACTTCATTCTTTTGCCTGTGGATATCCAGTGTCTCACCATTTGTTGAAAAGACTATTCTTTCTCCATTGGGTTGTTTTGGCATCGTTGTCAAAATCAATGGACCATAAATGTGACAGTATATATTTCTGGGGACTCAATTCTATTCCATCGATTTATATATGTCTTTCCTTATGTAAGTACTGCACTGACTTGATTACTGTGGCTTTGTAGTAAGTTTTGAAATTGGAGGGTGAGTGCCCTCCTTTTCTTTTTCAAGATTGTTTTGTCTATTCTGAATTTTTTGCATTTCTGTATGTATTGTCAGACCTTGTTGGTTTTTATAAAAAAGCTAGTTGAGATTTTAATAGGATTTCCTTGAATCTTGTAGATCAATTGGGGAATATTGTCATCTTAACAGTATTGTCTTTCAATTCATGAACATGCAGTGTCTTCCTGTTTGAGTCTTTAATTTCTTTAAAAAGTTTTTTTTTTTTTAACTGATATATCACAGTTGTACCTATTTTGTGTTTTTCTTTCTTTTCTTCTTTTCCCCCGAGACAGAGTTTTGCTCTTGTCTCCCAGGCTGGAGTGCAGTGGCACGATCTCAGCTCACTGCAACCTCTGCCTCCTGGGTTCAAGCGATTCTCCTGCCTCAGCCTCCCTAGTAGTTGGCATTACAGGTGCCCACCACCATGTCTGGCTGATTTTTGTATTTTTAGTAGAGACAGGGTTTCATGTTGGCCAGGCTGGTCTCGAACTCCTGACCTCAAGTAATCCACCCGCCTCGGCCTCCCAAAGTGCTGGGATTACAGACGTGAGCCACCGCACCCGGCCATGTGATATTTTGATACATGTATACAATGTGTAATGATCAAATCAGAGTAATTGGGATATCCCCCACACGTCTTTAATTTCTTTCAACGGTGTTTCGGAATTTTCAGTGATAAGTCTTGCATTTCTTTTACATTTATTCCTAAGTATTTTGATATTTTTGACGCTATTATAAATGAAATTGTTTTCTTAATTTCACTTTCAGATTTTTCATTGCTGGTATACAGAAACACAACTGATTTTTATATATTCTTGTATTCTGCGTAACATGTTTATTCTCAGATTTTTAGCGGTTTCCTTAGGATTTTCTCTTAGGATTTACTTCTTCCTTTCCAATCTGGATGCCTGTTGTTTATTTTTCTTGCCTAACTGCCCTGACTAGAATTCCTAGTACAGTGGTGAGTAGAAATTGGATAGCAGACATCCTTGTCTCATTCCTGATGTAGGGTGGGAAGCTGCCCAGTCCTTCACCATTAAGTGTGATGTTAGCTGTGGGTTTTTGTTGGTGCTCCTTATCAAGTGGAGGAAGTTTTTTTTATTCCTACTTCATTGAGTGTTTGCATTATGAAAGAGTATTGAATTTTTGTCTTTTCTGAATTTTGCCTTTTCTGAAATAAATTACTTTTTAAAATGACTGTTTTTCTTGTTTTTTTATCCACAGAGACTGACTTGCATACCAAATGTGTGGTGGATGTGGATGCAAACAAGGTTATTCTTAATCCTGTAAATACGAATCTTTCCAAAGGAGATGCCCGGTGAGTTAAGAAACAGTGCTGTGCTCAATGGATGTTTAAGTAACTGGAAGCAACTGTGGCTGCTGAATTAAGTTGCATTGAATAGATATCGAATGCCTACCCTGTAGAGACATATTGCTGTCTTCTGTGAGCCTGTACTCAAGTTGAAGAGATGAAGTCTATAATATGGGATGACAGTGTGCCTGAATGAGTATTAGAGGTAGTAATTGTATTAGAAGCACACAGAAGAGACTGAGTGTTATGTTGAGAAGCAATTGAAGAAGGCTTCTTGAAGGAGGTGCAGCTGGCTGGAGGATTAGCTAGGATGTAAGTCGGTTCCTTAGCATGAGTGGCTTTTACTTCTGCCAGTTCAAATGCTGTCAGAGCCCATTTCAAGTGCTATCTTCATGAAGGTATGCCTGCAGCCCGCAGTGATGTCTTTCCTCTAAATACCTGTCAGTTATAATCTGTCCTACCTAATTTAATGATTATAGATTGTTTTGGATTGTAACTTCCAGCTGTACAGTGGATTTTAATGTCTTTGGGGGAAAGAGACTCGAGGGCTGAGGATGAATATTTGAGTATCATTTCTAGATATGTATGGTAGTATGAACAAAAGGAAAGGGAAGAACATGAATTTGGGGCAGGAAAAGATTATTTTGGGTTTTCTTAGTAAATGGAGGACTGTAAATAAGCTGGGATAAGATTACAGAAGACCTGGAAAGCAGATGAGGAAGTTTGGCCTGTATTTTTGTCAGGAAGATTTTGTTTTTGGCAGTTTTTGAGTATTATGATTGAGGATCAAGGTGGATTAGGAAAAGTTGTTGATTGGCAATGTAGAGAATGGGTCAGAGTGGGGATAGGCTGACCTTTTCTGGAGATCAGCTGTATCAGAGATGTTTTTGTATTGGCCCTGAAAGTGGAGAGGTGAAAGACATTTGGCATGAGGCTTTGTGCAAAGTAGGATTCATAAATCCTTCTAGAACCAGCGCTGTATTTGGCACTCTGCAGATATTCTTTTGAGTTGAGTTTAATTGAGTTGAAAAGAGCACTGGGCTGGGCGCAGTGGCTGACGCCTGTAATCCCAGCACTTTGGGAGGCCAAGGTGGGCAGATCATGAGGTCAGGAGATCGAGACCATCCTGGCTAACACAGTGAAACCCCGTCTCTACTAAAAATACAAAAAATTAGCCGGGCGTGATGGCGGGCGCCTGTAGTCCCAGCTACTTGGGAGGCTGAGGCAGGAGAATGGCGTGAACCTGGGAGGCAGAGGTTGCAGTGAGCCGAGATCACACCACTGCACTCCAGCCTGGGCGACAGAGCGAGACTCCGTCTCAAAAAAAAAGAAAAGAAAAGAGCCCTGGATTTGGAGAAAATCTGAAATCGAATCCTTCATTATGTTATCATAGTGAGTTATTTTTAATTTTTTTGAACCTGTCTTACGTGTCTCACAAAAGTTTTTTCCCACAAAGATCAAATAAATTAGTGACTTTTAAAAGATCTTGCAAAGTGTTCTGTACATGGGCAGGTTTATTGTTATTAACATAGAGACACATACAGCAAAATGTATAGCTTGATGAATTTTCATAGTGAATACATTCCTTATAATATAAGTGGCACCCAGATAAGAAACAGAACGTTGCTAGCATGGCAAGAGACTACATCAGGAGAAGTAGTTTTTCTTTTTTTTCTTTTCTTTCTTTTTTTTTTTTGAGGCAGAGTCTCACTCTGTCGCCCAGGCTGAAGTGCAGGGGTGCCATCTCGGCTCACTCCAGCCTCCGCTTCCTGGGCTCAAGCAATTCTCATGCCTCAGCCTCCCAAGTAGCTGGGATTACAGGTGTGCACCACCATGCCTGGCTAATTTTTGTATTTTAGTAGAGACAGAGTTTTGCCATGTTGGCCAGCCTGGTCTCAAACTCCTGACCTCAAGTGATCTGCCTGCGTCGGCCTCCCAAAGTGCTGGGATTACGGGTGTGAGCCACCACACTGGGCCAGTTATTACATTTTTTTTTTTTTTTTGAGACTGGGTCTTGCTGTGTTGCCCAGGCTGAAGTGAAATGGTGGCGATCTTGGCTCACTGCAACCTCCGCCCCACCAGGTTCAACCAATTCTCCTGACTCAGCCTCCCTAGTAGCTGGGATTGCAGGCATCCACCATCACTCCCAGCTAATTTTTGTATTTTTAGTAGAGAAGGGGTTTCACCATGTTGGCCAGGCTGGTCTCGAACTCCTGACCTCAAGTGATCCGCCTGCCTTTGCCTCCCAAAATGCTGAGATTACAGGCGTGAGCCACCACACCCGACCGGTTACTACATTTTTAAGCCAAAATGTATTCAATTCAATGCTTGAGTATAGATGTCTACCAAGAAATCACCTAGTTCTAGAGAAATTTCAGCTTTGCAAGGTCATAAACTTTATTTTACTCAGTTTGCTTAATGTTGAGTGGAGTCTTGGGGACTAACATGCCATCTCTTAAGGAGACAGGCAGGACCTCTGATTTTATGTTTACAGTGAATAAAATATTAATCTCAGCAATCCATTCTTCTCCTTCTTGGTATCAACTAATTGGAAAACCAGGTCAAAACATTGCTGTGAACATAGGATAAGAACGAAAGGACGTTTTTGGCAAATATGGAAAAGATAAATGACGAACTCTTCCTATTCCACACCACTGCTCGGAGCACTCTCCTGACTGAAATACTTGAATCCACCAGATCAGTCTAGTTCTTCTGTGTATTATCCTGGATACACATGGATACATTTTATCACTTATTTGCTCATGCAGAGCTGCACT
This sequence comes from Homo sapiens, assembly GCF_000001405.40. Lineage (NCBI taxonomy): Eukaryota > Metazoa > Chordata > Mammalia > Primates > Hominidae > Homo > Homo sapiens. The sequence continues at coordinate 29,242,574 of NC_000008.11, read as the reverse complement.
TCTTATACTACTAGAACAATTAATATCTTTTTGGAATTATCTTCTTCCCCTCAATTAGTTTTCTAGATCGGTTCTTGGGATTTTCCAAATCTTTGTCAGCAGTATATTTCTAAATTGCTTCCCTTTAAATGACTAAATCTTTAGGCCTTATTTTATTTGAATTATATCTTAAAACTTATTAAACTTTTATCCTGTAGTAAATTTTCGTTGTTGTTGTTTGGAAGCCATGGTGAGATTGTAATAAAACATTAATGCCTGTCACCATGGTAGGCAAAGTAGTTTCTTTTTTGTTTGTTTGGGGTTTTTTGTTGTTGTTGTTGTTTGTTTTTGAGATAGGGTCTCCCTCTGTTGCCCAGGCTGGAGTGTGGTGGCACGATACAAATAGTTTCTTAAGCTAAGTTTTATCTTCTATTTTTGCTTCTTTCTCTCCTCTACCCACCAAACAGGCCTTTCTTGCTAACTCTGGCTAAAAAGTTAATTGGTATACTTAAAACATTGCCTTAAAAGGGATTAAGGTGCATTTTCCCATGGAGAGTGGGAGCCTCCACTGTATGAATCATTTGTGTTATAAAAGTTGAGGCATAGGTGAGTTTGGAAAATGGAGTGCATTTTCCCATAGGAACTGTCAGTTTCAAGTGGAAAGTTTAAGCTAGTGACTAGTTTAATCCACAACTCGAACATACTTTTTTTCTTTTTTGCCTCATATCTTTTTTAAAAAAAATATTTTGTCTCAATCTTCGCATTTCACTGCAATAATATTAAATAGCTGTGTACTCAAGGGCCGAGACTGAATAAAATGAATAATCATTCTTTCTGCTTTATGGAGGACATTCTTATGTGGAAAAGGCTTTTTTTTTTTTTTTTTTTTCCCTCCCTTGCTGCGGGTGCGTGGTGATGAAAAGCACAGAGACTGCTTCGCTGTGATGTCTTTGTGCCCAGGGCACCAGCAGTTTCCCCTCCATCATGTTCGTGCCACCAGCACAAATGTCAACACAGTGAGAAAGGCAGATGCCTTAGTATTGTTATGAAAATAATCCCAACCTCCAGACTCTCTGAAAAGCTCTGGGGAATCCCCCAAGAGTCCTCAGACCCCAATTTGAGGGGTTTAATCCAGTTTATAAGCTTCTAAGAACCAAATAGATGTCCCTGGTTTATTTTTTAAAAGATTTATTGAGATATAATAGTAAGACAATACAATCCACCCCTTTAAAGTGAACCATTCAGTGGTTTTTATTACACTTACTGAATTGTGCAACCTGCACCACTATCTGCTTGTACATCATTTTTATCACCATGTTAATTAATCCACTTTCTGTCTCTGTAGATGTGAGATTTGCCTGTTCTGGACATTTCCTATAAATGAAATCATACATGATGTGGTCTTCTGTGATTGGCTTCTTAGCATCAGGTTCTTGAGGTTTATCCACTTCGTAGCATTTATCAATACTTCATTCCTTTTTATGATGAAATAATAGTCTGTTGTATCACATTTTGTTTATCCATTCATCAGTTGATGGGCATTTGGATTGTTTCTACTCTTTTGGCTTCATGGATAATGCAGTTTGTGTACAAGTCTTTGTGTGGACGTCCGTTTTCATTTCTCTTAGATTCATTTCTAGTTATGGAACGCTTCTGGGTCATATGATAACTGTATTCTGAACATTTTGAGGAATTGCCAAACTGGTTTCCAAAGCTGCCGCACCGTTTTACATTCCCACCAGCAATGCGTGAGAGTTCCAGTTTTTAAAAACTCTCATCTACTGTAAAGAAAATGGAGGTAACTCTGGCTAATTAAAGAGTGCATATCCTGCCTCAAGGCATTCAGATTACAATGAAAAAGCAAAACCAAACATAGTGCTGTCCAAGCCAAACACTCCTGGCCAGATTCAGCCCTTGGCTACTGATTTAGAACCCCGCGTTCTGGTAAACTAGATTCTGGTATACTTCTCTATTGAGCAGTACTTACTTATTTTAAAACAAGGTTTTGAAAAATTTGAGCAAAATTAAAAAACATAATATACAAAAAGTTCTAAAGAATGAAACACTTTTATGTACCTATCAGTTTAACAAATCCTTTCCAATGCAGTTTAAACCTATGTGAACTGCCTTCTGTTCACATAGGAACCCTTTCTCTCTCCACCACAGTTAACCACTTTCTTGAATTTGATCTTCTTCTTTCCCTTGTATTTCTTCACATTTTCACTTTATGGAGGACATTCTTACGTGAAAGCGGCTTTTTTTTTTTTTCCCTGCTGCGGGTGCATGGTGATGAAGCGTACAATGACTGCTGCTTTTTTTAAGCATATCTGTAAGTTGTTTGCCCAGTATTATGTGTACATGAATGCCTTTTTCTAGTGAAAGGCCAGAAGGGTGACTCGAAAAAGTTTCACTATTCTTATAAAATATAATGCATGATTTTTAAAGACCAAAAAAAAAATGTTAAAAGGAGCTGAAAATAATATCACCCACTTAGCTTGGGGGAGAAAGCTCAAACTTGGTATTTTATCAAATTTCCTGTTCTTTCTTTTTTTTTTTTTCCTCTTTTGTGTTTCTTTTTTTTTTCTTTTAGATTCCAGGGGTACACATACAGGTTTGTTACAAGGGTGTATTGCGGCCAGGCGCAGTGGCTCATGCCTGTAATCCCAGCAGTTTGAGAGGCCAAGGCACGCAGATCACTTGAGGTCAGGAGTTCGAAACCAGCCTGGCCCACATGGTGAAACCCCGTCTCTACTAAAAATACAAAAATTAGCCAGGCATGGTGGCGGGCACCTGTAATGCCAGCTACTCAAGAGGCTGAGGCACGAGAATTGCTTGAACCTGGAAGGCGGAGGTTGCAGTTAGCCAAGATCGTGCCACCGCACTCCAACTTGGGCGATAGAGTAAGACTTAGTCTCAAAACAAAACAAGCAAACAAACAAAAAAAACAAGGGTATATTGTGTAATGTTGAGGTTTGGGCTTTTGTTGATCCTGCCATCCAGACAGTGAACATAGTACCCACTGGGAGTTCTTCAGCTCTTGCCTCCTCCTCCTTCCGTTCCCCCTTTTGGAGTCCCCAGTGTCTCTTGTTCCCATCTTTGTGTCCATGTGTACCCAATGTTTAACTCCCACTTACAAGTGAGAACATACAATGTTAGGTTTTCTGTTTCTCTTTTGTCCTTTTAAACAAAATCAGAACATAGGCTTTCCCCTCTTGTCTTATTTGCAATGAATTTCAAGGAAGTGTGCAGTGAAAATTGTCGTAGTATACTTCCAGCTCTTTTAGAGACGGAAACAGGGAGCTATACCTCCTCAGAGGTGCTGCTTTAAACATCAGAACCAAAACCTGACAGGAAAGAACACCTCCGTGTAAGTTGCACTTTTCAGTTCCTTGGTCAAGTGTGAGTCCATTTTCTTCCTTAGCCCTCTGTCTTCTATTACGTGTGTATGGTTTGGGGGGCTGGGCGGGTATGCACATTAACACAGTGCTAAAGACATCAGCCTAGAGTTTATCCTGTCTTTCTTTCTTTTCTGTTTTGTTTTGTATGTTTGTTTGTTTTGAGACAGGGTCTCATTCTGTTGCCCAGGCTGGCGTATAGTGGTGTGATCACTGCTCACTGCAGCCTCCACCTCCCAGGCTCAAGTGATCCTCCCATCTCAGCCTCCTGAGTAGCTGGGACTACAGGCATGTACCACCATGCCTGGCTAATTTTCATTCTTTTTTTGTCCTCTCCACCCCTAAGTGTAAGGTTTTGAGACCAGAACGTTTGGAGGTTGAAAGCATTTGGAGGTTTGGGTGTCAAGATCTTCATTAACCTGAACACTGATTTTTTTGGTGTTCTGTGAGTTGACTTATTCTTTAGAACAGGTGGGGAAGATGCTCTAACATGGATGAAAGTAGCCACAGATGGCACAAATAGGCAGAGACTGTTCTTGTTTTACAGTAAAATATGATGCTGCCCTCTCCATCCCCCATGTGTCATGTTTAACCTAATGAACAATAGACAGCGTAAAGGTTACAGCTGCCAGTCTAATGGGAAGACTGAGATGTTGATCACATCATCTTTTTTAGTAAGGCCATTAAAAATCTTTTTGTTCCTTCTGATAGTTTTACTAGACATCAATTTAGTCAGTATCATTAGGTAATTAATGAGTACCTAATATGAACAAAACACACCCAACCCTTCTTTGGAGCTTCAGTGTACTCTGACCCTGGTGGATGTACAGATTGGAGCCCTTAAAGTATGTGCAGAATTGAGTGAGTTTGACCCATGTCCATACACTTCTCTTGCAAATTATATTGCATAATGCTACTGAGGGGAGGGCCTTATGGCATACATGAAGTCATTTTCAGACTAATTCCTTGTTAGTGGAAGGCATCATTAGGTCATATTAGATAATGACTTTTTAGATTTCTCTACTGCTATATGGATGCTAATTTAAATAGCGATTTTAATTGAAGGAAGTCATGCAAAATGTAATTATGGTACCCACAATAGACCTGTTTGTTCTCTCTGCTGTGAAATGACTTGAGTGGGGCTAATATTTCTCCTCAAATAGAGTCTGCTCCTCTGGAGAACAGTACGTGGTATGTTTTAATTTCATAATGGGGCTCTTCCTCAGGGAGCCCGTCCTGCTAATTTTATTAGAGTACAGTGGGGAGAGCGTGGTTCTGTGTACTCAGAAGTTGTATATGATTCCTCAGCCTCTCCCTTTAAAAAGAATACTGTGATCATTTACTACTTTTGAATATACTTGTGAAGATGAATCAGGGAGACTCTTAAAAGCTAAAAAGATAAGAAAATATGTGTGGTTGAATGCATATCATTGCATAATTAATGGAAGCAGGTAGTCAAATTGCAGCAAATACAAATTTTGCAAAGTTTTACCAGCAGAGTCTAGCTGGTTGCCAAAATAAACTGGTAGCCAATAGACTGCTACTATAGAATTTGATATTTTAGCATTATCATTGAATATAAATATTATTTTGCTCATGCTTTTACTACTTTTGGTGCAGCAATAAGAAGGAATAAACTTTTTAAAAAATACAAGAAAAGAGTCTTTCTTTAGCTCTGTGCTTGAATTACTACCTGGATACTAACATTTGATATGTGGACTCAGGGTTTGTGTATATGGTTAGTTGCCAGCTCTAGATTAAGTTAGTTATGGATAATAGGAATTACGTGTTTTGAATTTCCCTAGAATTCTGGACTCAGCATAAAGTGGTCAGATTGCATATAATATATTAAATAAAATATCTAATTATGAACACAGTTTAGGCAACTACCAGGTCCTACTATTGCATTTTTTTTTTGGCTTATTTTGCTTAGTTTTTTTGACAGTACTTTTTTAGCGCTCTTTGTCTCAATCTGTAGGATAGAAATTGTTACTAATATAAATCAGATGCTGTATAAGAATCTAGATTTCTGTTTTAAAGATGGAGGGAGCAGTATTCCTTGAGGAAATGTGACATGAGAAACCCATTCAGCCACAAAAGTTGTTGTATCATAACATGTTTATAATTTTTTCTGATGCATTCAATATTCGAACATCAACAGTGTGCCAAGTATCAAGCTGAGAGTTAGGTTAATCTTTACCAATCCTTAGTTCCATTAAATTTATGGTGTTATTAATTTTTTTACATGATGTATCTATAAGCATACTAGTAAAAAAAAGCAAAACAAAAAACTGGAAAGCAGAAAAAGTTATTCTGTTGTGCATCTTGTTAGATTTTGCACACTCAAATTTGAAATGATTTGATTGTTTAATTTTGAGAATTGTACATTTTCTTGTGAGAAAGTTTTCTTTTACAAAGAAAAGCGTTTAGAACTCTGGAGTCCTCAAACTTCTTCCACAGAGTTCTTTTAAAAAGCACAGGTATTTTATAGATGGTAAATTTCACCTTTGCTTTACTTCTATCAAACGTAATTTATATATACTTTTAATTAAGTAAAAACTTATATAGGATGGGTCATAATTATTAAGAGTAGTGACTATCTTTATGTTTTGACCTGTATATACAAGTCAGTAATCCTTTTGTTCCACTTTTAGGAAAATTGAAATAGAATTTATGTAAAGATCATCGAATATGTAAAAGTTTTATTTGCAATTTAATTTTTAAAAACTTTTGTTATGGAGAATTTAAAAGATATGCCAATTTAGGCAGAATAGTATAATAGTATAATGAACCTCCATGCTCTTGTCACTCACCCCTGAAAACCATTAATTTGTGGCTGATACTGTCCTAGCTACATCTTCATCCCTGTCTTCTTCCCCATATTATTTTGAAGGAGATCTGATTTTACCCACAGATGTTTTAATGTATCTTTTATTATTTGTAAACATAACCTCAATACCATTTATCATATCTAAACAATTTAAAATAGGTGTGAGGAGGAGGAAAAAAATATAGTGAGGTGGTGGCATCAAATTTTCAGTGTTTAAATGCCCAATTATCTCATCAAGTCTTTTTTTCCCCGAAGTTTGTTTTGAATAGGATTGAGATGTGGTCTGCACTTTGAGGTTGGGTGGTATGGTTTTTAATTTATTGGCTCCTCAGTTGTTGAAGAAGCCGGATCATTTGTTCTGTCCTGTGGATGAATTAATAAGTGAATTTATTACAGGAACTAGGTTATCCTTATTTAGTCAAACACCAAACCTTGTTTATTTTCCTTGTAAATATTTTCATTCTAGCATTCCTTTTCATTCTTCTGACATTACCCTAGGGAAGGACCTCATTGCCTTGTGTTTAGATGACAACGTAGCTTTCTAACCAGTTTCTGGAACTCACCGTCACCAGACCGATCTTCAAGCCTGCTCCTGCTTCCTGTAATCTCTTTCAAATCTAGAGCATTTATGATTTCTACTCATTGAGAAATGCCACTACGTAGGTGGCATCTTTTATATGTTTATCCCACATTGTTTTCTAATATTTGTACTGCTTTGCTTTTATCTATGTATTTTGAAAACTCCCTTCCCTTCAGGCTGTGGCTGCTAGAAAGTGGGGGCCACTGTGGCTTCTTCCTGGGTCTTTGGTGGTCTGCACTAGATGCCTCTTGATTGATTGCAGTGGTTCTGTTAGTGCTCGTTCTCAAAGGCCTCCTGCTCTGATGTTACCCTCAAATAGTAGTTTGAAGGGTGATTTGCAAGTCTGGAGTTGGAATTTCTGAAGGGTACTTCTCAAGACAACAGAACCTGATGAGCTATCTTCTTCCACCCCACTCTGTGGAGTTCAGTATTCTAGCAATGGCTGTCCTTGTCCACTAGATAGATAGATTATCTTGCTTGGACGGTGCAGATGGACGACATTTGCATTACTGTAACCTTTCTAGACTCCCAAAGCACCACAGCCTTTGTTTTGCTTTTGTCACTTTGACGACAATCTTTTGTGTCAATGCTGTTTCATTGGTTGTATTTTATTTTTATTTTTTAAGCCATTATAGAGCTAGGTTATATTTTAAGTTTGATGTTTCTTTGTGATCTAATATTAGGATTATACGGTAGAATAAATTTCCATTGGGAAGAATTTCCTGAAGATTAAACAATTCTGTTTATAATGTGTAGATTAGAGATTGCATACTCAGGCACCATAGTCCATATTTTACCCAGAGATATGTTTTGTTTGGCCTGAAGTTGGAACATTTAAAAATCAGGTTTTGTATAAAGATTCAGATTCATTGTGTTTCTTAAATAATCTGAATCTGGCAACACTGGGTTTTCTGCCCTCTTCCGGCTCCCAGCTGTTCCATTCCGTCATTTTTATGATTTGCCAGGCCCCTGTAGGCCTTTTCCTTTTCAACCTTGGTGTAGATTCTTACTGGCTTCAGTCACAAAAGATGTCCTTTCCTGACCTTGGCCCTGGGTTTTGAAGCTCACATTACTTTTTCTTTCCTCTAGTTTTTTTTTTTTTTTTCCTTTGGTGGTAAAATGCTCACAAGAAAATTAATCATTTAACCATTTTTATGTGTATACAGTTCAGTGGTGTTAAATACATTCATAATGTTGTGTAACCATAGCACTATTCATCTTCAGAACTCTTCTTAAAAACTGGAACTCTGTGCTCATTACATACGAGATCCCCATTCCTCCCACCCCTAGGCCTGGGCAACCACCATTTTACTGTATATATGATTTTGACTACTCTAGGGACCTCATGTAAATGGAATCATACAGTATTTATTTTTTGTGTCTGGCTTATTTCACTTAGCATGTCCTCGAGGTTCATCCATGTTATAGCACATGTTAGAATTTCCTTCCTTTTTAAGGTCGAGTAATACTTCATTGTATGGATAAACCACATTTTGCCCATCCATTCATCGGCCGACGGACACTTGGGTTGCTTCTACCTTTTTCCTCTTGTGAGTAATGCTGCTGTGAACATGGGTGTGCAAGTACCTCTTCAAGACCCTGCTTTCAGTTATTTTGGGTATAGACCCAGGAGTGGAATTGTTGGACCTCACATTACTTTTCAAGACCATCAATCTCTGCACTCTGAATCTGTCATGTTCTCAGTTTTTTCTTTAGCTTATTAAGAAGTGTAGCCATGTGAATTCCCTAATTGTTGACATGACTTTGTTTATAAATTACCAAATATTCTTGATGTAGTGTTCAAATTAATACATTATTTTGCAAAAATGTAAAGTGCTAACTCTTAACTGTCTATTTTTCTTTAAAAATGTTTATATTAACATATAATGACTCTTGTTTTTAAATGAATTAAAATACACACACACACATGTACTTCAGAGACAAAGTCTCACTCTGTCACCTACACTGGAGTGCAGTGATGTGATCATAGCTCATTATAGTCTTGAACTCCTGGGCTCAAGCAGTCCTCCTACCTTGGCCTCCCAGAGTTCTAGGACTGTAGGTGTGAGCCACTGTGCCTGGCTCTAAAATATTTTTAAAATTTCTCAGCTTCTAATTCAAAAAATATCTATCAGCTATAACCCATATAAACAAAAGCTGTTATTGCCCTCACTAATATTTAAGAGTGTAAAGGGGTTTTGATACCAAAAAATTTGAGAATCTCTGATCTAGATAATGTGCTAGCACAGGTTAATTAAAATTGTTTGAGGTACTCACCGCAATTTTAGAACATTATAACATTTTTCCCCATATAAGCAATGTCACGTAAATGTGTAAGTCATCCCTGGGTTGCTACAGATGCTTATTTACCTGTGGTATTTCTGAAGTGCCTACCATTATTAACTAAAACATTTTGAGCAAGTAGTTCTATAAGTTCAGCGTTCCAGCTTAGAATGCCAAGAAATGTAACTATTCCCTCTCCTTTTGGGGTTAGGGTGGCAAGGATTCCCTGGTTCTAAACCTCTCTGATTGTTCTCTTGCTATTGATAGGGTTTGTGGATAAACAGTGGGAACAGGATTTGAAGAACCAAGATGGAATTTTGGTGTCATATGGGATTTTTTAGAAAGCTTTTTTCAGATGGAGTCTCACTCTGTCACCCGGGCTAGAGTGCAGTGGCATGATCTCTGCTCACTGCAACCTCCACCTCTCGGGTTCAAGTGATTCTCCTGCCTCAGCCTCCTGAGTAGCAGGGATCAAAGGCACATGCCACCATGCTCGGCTAATTTTTGTATTTTTAGTAGAGATAGGGTTTTGTCAGGTTGGCCAGGCTGGTCTCGAACTCCTGACCTCAAGTTATCCACCCCCTTGGCCTCCGAAAGTGCTGGGATTACAGGCGTGAGCCACCACCCCCAGCTGAAAGCTTTCAAATGAGTTTCAGGTGCTGGAGGGGTGAGAGAGTGGGCAGTGGTATGGGTGCTATGGAGTCTCTGTGTCTACCAGGATATTAAGAGGACAGAAGAGGCAGAAACAAGTATCTATGATGGATCCTGGAAAAAGCAAGAAGCCTTTGACAAATCACTGTTGTGCTTACCGTGAACAAGTTGGAATTATTTAATTTTGAATTTGTCAGAAAGTTTACAGTAATGTAATAAATTTAAAAATATTCCTAAGTAAAAAAAAGAAAACTGTAAAATTTCTAATGTCAGCAGAATGTGGTCACTGTGAGGGAGAAAAGGATGGCAAGACTAACTTTATTTTTGTTTTTACTTGGAAGTATAAATTCAAATTTCGGGATCTCTGAGTTTTTATGTAGCTGGAATCTTTCTTTATAAGTATATATATATATATTTATTTTTTAATTTTTTTTATTTTTTATTGTTTTAGAGACAGGGTCTTGCTGTGGTTGCCCAGGCTGGTCTTGAACTCCTGGCCTCAAGTGATCCTCCCATCTTGGTTTCCCAAAGTGCCAAGCCTATATATATTTTATTTTTAAATTTTTATTTATTTTTAATTAATTAATTTATTTTTAGTCAGAGTCTCACTCTGTTGCCCAGGCTGGAGTGGAATGTAGTAGTGCAATCATGGCTTACTGCAGCCTCAACCTTTCCAGGTTCAAGGGATCCTCCCACCTCAGCCACCCAAGTAGCTGGGACTACAGGTGTGCACCACCATACCCTGCTAATTTTTGTGTGTTTTTTGTAGAGATGGGGCTTCACCATGTTGCCCAGGCTAGTCTCACACTCCTGGGCTCACGTGATTAGCTTTCCTCAGCCTCCCAAGTGTTGAGATTGTAGGCATGACCAGCTGCACCCAGATATTTCTAATTTCTTTTAAATTATTTTTTCATGATCCAGGGACAGACTGGAATATGTAGCTGGAATCTTACAGGTTCTTTATAATTCTTAAAAAAAAATTTGGAAGTGGAATTTGTAATGCATAAGAAGTTTTGATTGGAGTTCTTTGTTTTGTTTACATATACACATATATGTACATTTCCATTAAAGCAAGCCTTTTTCCTTTTTTTTTTAGAGGATATAAACAGCTACAAAATTACTGTGTTTTAAAAAATAAATTTTACCTGTGAAATGCAAACTGTCATAAGAATCGGTACATGGTAACTGCTGTTCTTATCATTGCTCTTTATTATTTTGTTAATTACATATTCCTTTCCAGAGAAGATTGGCTGACTTGGTGTTTTAGTCACATGTAAGGAGCACGGAAGCTTCCTTGCTCAATTTCATTCTCATCCAGTGTTACCACAACAGAAACCTGTGTGTAACCAAAACGCTTGGCCTGTTCAGTGATTACCCCTCCTTAGTCACTCGGCCAGTCATGGCCACACTTGCCACCTGCCCTCTTCTTTGGGGGATTGGGTATAATATGACACAGTGGGAGGAGCCAGACGTTTCATACACATTTGGTATGATTTCGTGTTAGTCATTTTAATATAGTTATATAAGTAGTATAGGAAAACCCTACTGTGGGAAAATCCCTTCTCTGAATGTAAGATTTATCAGGCCGAACCCGTATGGTAGCCTTCATCTATTTACATCATGAAGGATGCTTAAAAGTAGGATGGGGGACAGAGACTGGTTAAGAGTAAGTCACACGTCCGGGCGTGGTGGTTCATGCCTGCAGTCCCAGCACTTTGGGAGGCTGAGGCAGGCAAATCACTTGAGCCCAGGAGTTCAAGAACAGCCTTGGCAACATGGTGAAACCCTGTCTCTACAAAAATAAAAAAATCACCTGGGCATGGTGGTGCATGCCTGTAGTCCCAGCTACTTGGGAGGCTGAGACAAGAGGATCACCTGAGTCTGGGGAGGTTGAGGCTGCAGTGAGCCGTGATGGTGTGATTGCACTACTGCAGCCTGAGTGACAATGTGAGACCCTGTCTCAAAAACAAAAACAAAAAACAAAATATTAGGTCACACTCTGGCATTGGACCAAGACTTTATGCCTTGCCATTTCCAGAAGCTTTACTTAGGGTTTCAGATTCTGCTTTCATCATTCTGCCCCATATCAGACCCCTTGCAGGTGCTGATTCAGGTCTTCTTGGCCTCACCTCTCCTTGGAGCCTTTGATCACTTTTCAACCCTGGCTGTTGCCAGCTCAGTCTGGGCTCACGCCAGCTTCACGTGCTCATAATCTGACACTTCCTCATGCTCACTCCCTTCCCTCCTTGCCTGGGATACACTCCCACAGAAGCCTTGGTCTTTGCTTTCTGAGGAATCCACACTAAGACGTCCTCTCGCATGCCCTTGTCTGTGTCCTCAGGGATTCTCTTGCTGTGTGTTGAGCTGGCTGTCCGTTGACCTGGCCTTTTTGGGCCTGTCTGGTCCCTTTGCCCCCCAGAACTTGGTATGGATAGTAAGGAACTGAACTTAAATATTAGGAAGAGGATAGGCCAATTTATAGATTGGGTTAATTTTTAAATTGATCAACCCCGTAAGCAGTAGCAAAGCTGCAGAACAGAGGTGCTGCGAGGGAGTTTAATGATTACCACTGTGTCTGGGGATGGGAAAGGCAAGAGTTGGTTGAAGAGAAGCATGACTCAGACTTGGGTGTGAGTGCTGGGCCTACTGTTTACCAGCTGTGTAAATCTGGAAGTTTATATCACCTCCCTGAGCCTCTGTTTCCTTTTCTATGAAGTGGAGGTGATAACACTGTGATATGGATCATGCAAGATTACCGTGGGCATGAGTGAGTTATTTATGTAAAATGTCTGGTACATGGTACCTACTTAGTAGGTGGTAGCTGCTATTTTGCCTTGATTTATTTATTCTTGTCAACTCTCTTAAACAAATTTTATTTATTAAAACATCATATTTTAAGTAATATTCTTTTCAAATAACACTGGCATATATGGTAGGTACTCAATAAATATTAACTGGGTTAGACATGTAGTCAATTATAATACCAGGTTTCTAATAACAAATGATGCCCTTTTGCTTTTAATTGACAATAATCATAGCTGTTTAAGCTGTAGATCTAAGTGTAGTTTCTTGATGCCCCAGATAGCAACTGTAAGATGTTTATTTAAGGGATTGTGGGTTTCCTCTGAAGAGCATCAATTTGCATAATATTGCTCAGAGTTGGTTTCTTGAACTATCATTATCATAAGAAAAGGAACTCCGTGGTCAAGGTCTTTGAATGCTTAGAAGGTGTCAGTAATGCAGACACAGCCAGCACAGCATTCTTGGAAATACAAGAAGTGAATAGAGACTTTAGTTTGTGGATCTTCTCATTGATGACAACCAGCATTTATTTATAGGCATTAGTATTGTTTATATTGTGTTAGATCCTTTGCAAGAGTATAAGTTCTCATGACATCTTACAACAAACGATATAGGCATCACATTGTTATCTCAACATTTTCAGAAGGGAAATGAGACTCAAAGGTGTTACAAGGCTTCCCAGGGTCACATGATCAGAAAGTGGCAGAACAGGGATCTGAACTCAGATCTGCCTAAGCTCGTCTCTCCAAAACTAGATGAGCTCACAGCTTCTCATTGCCTTCTAAGATTTTACAGAAGAGTTTCTTCTCTAAACATTTGGAAAAATGTAACTGGTTAATTCAGATTAGATCAGAACTAAAGACATTCAGCAGTTATTGATTGACATCTGATACACATCACTCCAGAAGGGTGTCCTGATAAGGGAAAGATAAATATGACATGCTTTTTTTTTTTTTTTTTTTTTTTAAAGCTGACATTCTGGAGTTAGGAAAAACCCACATACAGCTAAGTGTGTATCATATTCATTAATTCATTCAACAACCATAGAGTGCCCTCTGTGTGTTTATCAGGATGTTGACCCTAAGAAAACACTGATAAACAAAAGAGAATTTGGTTCCAGCCTTCATGGTCCTTATTAGTCTTGTGGGAGTGTTATGAACTGATCTAAGCCGTTTTGGTCATTTGTAACAAGATATTAACAACCTTCTATGTTTAGAGTTAGGTGAGAGCCTGAGGCCTTCTCCTGCCCAATCACACCACCAGGAGATGTGTTACAATGAAACTTTGACTGGGTTCTGCTGCATCTTTATTAGCAAGCAGCCACAGCATTGGTCATGCCACCTGTTCCTGTAAGCTCAGTGAAGCCACAGCTCTCAGACAAGCACCTTCCCCAGAAGTTTCCCTTGAGACAGATGTAGCAGGATTCAGGTACTCTTTTGATCAAAATTATGCAATAGAATCTGAATTCAAGTCTGGATAGAGCCCTAGCTAATGACAGGGAACAGGATGCTAGGTTTGTTAGTCTTATACTTTGCTGTCCTAAGAATGGAGGAACCTGTATCTCATATATATATATATATATTTTTTTAAGATGGAGTCTGGCTCTGTCACCCAGGCTGGAGTGCAGTGGCGCGATCTTGGCTCACTGGAAGCTCCGCATCCTGGGTTCACGCTATTCTCTTGCCTCAGCCTCCTGAGTAGCTGGGATTACAGGCGCCCGCCACCATGTCCGGCTAATTTCTCTATTTTTTTTGGTAGAGACAGGGTTTCACCGTGTTAGCCAGGATGGTCTCGACCTCCTGACCTTGTGATCCACCTGCCTCGGACTCCCAAAGTGCTGAGATTACAGGCGTGAGCCACTGAGCCCGGCCCATATTTTTAGTCATTATTTTAGTCACACTTTCAACACTATGCACTTTACCAGTGAAAAATTATTTCTAACATTTCTTTTGCTAATTAACAAGCCCTCCAGTTCATGCCCAATGATGTACTTTGAAAGGAAAAAAAAAAACCAAATTATAAAAAAAATTTCCAGTGTTGATCAGGAAAGAAAGGTAGCTGAAGGCGCTAAACACAGCTTCTAGAGCAGACTTAAAAAAAATTTTTTTTAAAGTCTTGCTCTATTGCTCAGGCTAGAATGCAGTGGCACTATCATGGCTCATCATGTACTTGAACTCCTGGGTTCAAGTGATCCTCCCACCTCAGCCTCCTGAGTAGCTGGGGCTACAGGCGTGCACCACCATGCCCAGCTAATTTTTCAAGTTTTTTGTAGATTTTTGGGTCCTTCTATGTTGTCCAGGCTGGTCTTGAATTCCTGGCCTCAAGTGATCCTGCCACCTTTGCCTCCCAAAGCCCTGGGATTACAGGCGTGAGCCGCTGCTGCCAGCCTGGAGCAGAAATTCGCAACCTTTTGTTGGTCATGAACCCTTTGACAGTCTGATAAATCATGTGGACTCCTTCTCAGAATAATCTTTCAAAAACATAAAATACATAGGATTATCAAGGAAACCAGATACGTATTGAAATATACCTAGGTCAGGAGTTCAAGACCAGCCTGTCCAACATGGTGAAACCCCATCTCTACTAAAAATACAAAAATTAGCCGGGTGTGGTGGTGGGCACCTGTAATCCCAAGTACTTGGGTGGCTGAGGCAGGAAAATCACTTGAACCCAGGAGGCAGAGGTTGCAGTGAGCTGAGATCATGACATTGCACTCCAGTCTGGGCAACAAGTGCAAAACTCCATCTCAAAAAATAAAAAATAAAGTGTAAACCACTGTAGCAGTTAGTATAAAATGCTTTTTATTAATAAGTGGCAGAAAATATTAAATATTTCATAACTTGAGATGAGGATTGACTATAATTGAAATAAGTATTTTATGTTGTGATTTAATAAAAATAGGTTAACTACCTTATTGAATCCTTATTGAATAAGGTACATCAAAAGCCTGAAAGAAATGGTATAAAAATGTATCTGTGCATATAGCTGATGCATCCTAAAAGAGTAATTGGTCATCCTTCTTTAGCTATTTCAAAGTACTTTGCCTTCCAATTAATGGCCTGTCTTAGGGGTGAGTATTAACCCATTTATGCCTGAGGTTGCAATTTTTGCAGTCAGACCTTGGTGATGACCTTGAGCAGAATATAAATAAATTAAGAACAGATGAAAATAATTGCTTCCATTTTCCAACTTGGAAATCTACACTTTAGCTACAATTAACAACGAAACTTAAACAGAAGCTATTTGCTAAGAAATTATATCTTAAATCAGACCATTAGTCTGTCAAAATGAAAGTGAAAATTTAAAATATGGAAGTGAAACATGGGATGCAGAGAAGAACACATGTCAGAGACCACGCGGGTGTAAATTTTAACATTTAGTCTTGACTGTTCTTAAGATCTTCACTGCTTTCTGGTAAGTTAAATCATTCTGACCAGCAATCTTGGAGAACTTAGATAAAGAGACACCTCTCCTGGGCCTGGGAAAGTGATGGAATTGCTCCAAGGGTTGGATGGGTGAGTGTCTGGGGAGCGGACACCCATGGGCTTTCCGGGCCACCTACTCACAGGCTCCTAAACAATGACCTTCAAGTGAAGGGCTCCCATGCTACAAATACAAGGCCAGAAGCTGAATCTGAACCCGCCCAGTAAAAAGCTTTTGGACCAGGAACCAGCTGACTGTTAATGCAGGTGGTGAGTTAGGTATGTTTTTATAAAACTCCCATTTAGCTCCAGTCATCTAAAATTCCATCTATAATGTGAAGAGCTACAGACCCTAGTTACTTTCATGCCAGACAGTCATGTAAGTTCAAATTACTTTTATGGTCTCTTGAATCTGTTTATTAGAGAATTTACTGTGCTGCCAGGACCTTCTCTCTTTTCCTGGAACCAGGAAGTTGGGAATTACTCAGGTGTTACATTTTACATCAAAGATGAATCAATCCGTCTCTAGATCCTGCATGTATTCAATGCAGAAGGTAGGTTAGGTATGTTTTCATAAAACCTCCATTTAACTCCAGTCATCTGAAATTCCATCTATAATGTGAAGAGCTACAGACCCTAGTTACTTATATGCCAGGCAGTCATGCTCTTGACCTTAAACGTTCCCTCTCACTTCACCCTTGAGTTCTTGCAAACTACTAGCAAATGGGCCAGATTGTCAGTGTTTCCTTTGCTGCTATCTGGTGCAAGCATCTGACAACTGTGAGCTTAGTCACCATGTACTGAACATTTGGAAACTGTATTACTGGTGTTCCTATCTAGTCAGGGGACTAAGGTGGTGCTTAGTGTAAACATTAGCTGGTGATTACAATAAAATCCTGCCCAGACGAACATTCTTTAGTTGGAGAGAGACGCTGGTAACACAGGAATCGATCCAGCCAGACACAGGAAGGTTTAAAACTGCTGGTAAAAATCTCTGCTTAGAAACACTGAACTTTTATTCCCTATTTTGTGGATACTGTCTAGTCTAAAAACAAATGTTTAGATTTCCAGGCTGGAAAGTTTTTTTCACCTGTTCCTGATGCTTGGCAGGCAGGGCACACCTCCACTGTATCTTCGCCAGCATCATTTCAACAGCCTTTGACCTGATCTCCTATCTCCAGTCACGCTCCCACCTAAGCATCAGCGCAATCTTGCATTGAGTAGTTTTGAGTCCAGAGGAGCCAGACAGACCTAGTTTTGACTCAGGATGTTACTTAATCTCTCTATGCCTATTTCTCCATCTGTAAAATGCAAATAATAGGGTTGTTATGAGGACTAAATGCGTTAATATGCATAAAATGCTCATAACTGTGGCTGGACTAGTCTGTCCTTCACATGCGGAAAAAGCTTCTGTGCCTTCCCGTCCTCCACATGTGGCCCTGCCTTTCTGCCTTCCCACACTGTCGTGCTATTCTCTATCTGAAACAGCTTCAACTCCAAACCACAGACAACAAAGACCTTGTGACATATCTTTCCGTGATGTCTTTTTCAACCTTAAATAAGGAATAACAGTAATGACAACTTTCATTCCTTCTCTCCACTTTTTTCCTTGCAGCTGTAACACATATCACTGTACTCATGTTTGCCAGATCCTCTTACAGTGTCTTTAAAATACTTCAGCATAACTGCATTGCACTTCATGGCTTACCCCTTTGGAACTCCTCATAAGTCCTCACTGTTTGTATTCATTTGTACAGAAGTCTCATCATCCCTATTAAATTATACCCAAAAAAGTGATATAGATGCAGGCATTAGTTTTAATCCACACATAGGAATAACTAATTAACATTTGATATCCTAATTACGCGTACACACTCCAGGGTGGATGAGGTAGCATATGAACACCTCTAATCAAGGATGCATGCTCTAGAATAGGGATTCTTAACGTGGATAGAATGAATGGGGGGGGGTTCTATAAACACGGATGGGGAAAAGGTTACACTTTTATTTCTCAGTAACTTACAAATGAAATTTAGCGATTCCTTCAATTATTAACATAGGTAATGAATTATAGTATTAGCAGTACCTGTGACTTTGTCACCAATACAAATCACAGCTGTTTTCGTATCACATTCTCATTGTTACAAATATCTTTAGATGTTTACATTCAACACAACTTTGAAGTTGAAGCAATTATTCCCAATGCTAGACCTTGTTAGTTAATAATAAATAAGCCACCATGCCCGGCCAGTGATTTACACTTCTATATACTCTCTTCTTTTATTAAATACTTAGGGAAAAAGCCCAGTATTGATGTTTAAGAAAACTGAGGCCGGGCGCGGTGGCTCACGCCTGTAATTCCAGCACTTTGGGAGGCCGAGGCAGGTGGATCACGAGGTCAGGAGATCGAGACCATCCTGGCTAACACGGTGAAACCCCATCTCTACTAAAAAAAATACACACACACACAAAAATTAGCCGGGCGTGGTGGCGGGTGCCTGTAGTCCCAGCTACTCGGGAGGCGGAGAATGGCGTGAACCCAGGAGGTGGAGCTTGCAGTGAGCCAAGATGGCACCACTGCACTCCAGCCTGGGCAACAGAGAGAGACTCTGTCTCAAAAAAAAAGAAAAAAAAAATTGGTAGGCTGGGCGCCGTGGCTCACGCCTGTAATCCCAACACTTTGGGAGGCTGAGGCGGGCGGATCACAAGGTCAGGAGATCGAGACCATCCTGGCTAACACAGTGAAACCCCGTCTCTACTAAAAATACAAAAAATTAGCCAGGCGTGGTGGCAGGTGCCTGTAGTCCCAGCTACTCGGAAGGCTGAGGCAGGAGAATCACTTGAACCCGGGAGGTGGAGGTTGCAGTGAGCCGAGATCAAGCCACTGGACTCCAGCCTGTCTCAAAGAAAATTGATAGAATTCCTTTTCATTCTTATTTATTTTCAAAAATACAATATACCAGAGTTGGATTACTTAATAACATACATTAACCAGAGGAATACACTATCTTTATCATCTGGCTTGTTTTATTAATAGCTGCTAATTTTAGTTACGTGTTAAATTTTATTGCAGATTAATTACTAAGAAATAGCATATTGATCTATCTTTTATCCATTTAAATTGTTAGATATACATAATTCAAATTCGCCCTTGGTTACTTTTAGTAATCTTACAGGATGTATTTTATAATCTAGTTCTCTGTGAAGTGGCTTTTAAAACTTTTGTTTGAATTTTAAAATGAGGCCAAGTTGTCTTGTACAGAAAATGTTTGATTTAGATTTTTTTGTTTTTTTTTTTTTTGAGACAGGGTCTCTCTCACTCAGGCTGGAGTGCAGTGGTGTGATCGGGGCTCACTGTAGCCTTGACCTCCTGAGCTCAAGCAATCCTCCCGCCTCAGCCCCCAAAGCAGCTGGGACTTGAGCGCCACCATGCCTGGCTAAGTTTTTTTTTTTGTTTTTTTTTTTTTTGTATTTTTTTGTAGAGAGGAGGTTTTGCCATGTTGTCCAGGCTGGTCTCAAACTCCTGAGCTCAAGCGATCCTTGTGCCTCAGCCTCCCAAAGTGCTGGCATTATAGGCGTGAGCCATAGCTCCCAGCCATATAGATTTATATGTATATATATAAAATCAATTTTTGATCATAAAGCTGCTTTCTAGATTATATGTCAAATTGTTAGATCACATAACAAATTGTCCCATAAATTGAATCAGCTAAATCTGCAGCTCTAATATTTTGAGGAAAACACATCATGTCACATAATATTACTTTGTCAAAGGTATAATGAAGTTAACAGTGTTTTGTCTTCTCAACCCCTTCTGTGTATAACAGGTTAAGCAAAGTGCCACTAAGTGAAACAGTAGCAGGTGTAATTAACTTGAAAAGTTATGGCGAAGTCTTTGGCATGTACCCAAGAAATTGAGAAAAAGAGTGACTTTTATGATCTGAATCACAACTCTTTTTGTAAGCCATATAGTTTTCCATTATTTGCTTTCAGGAAATCTAATTCATTCTTTAGCTGAAAGATGATTAAAAATAATATTTGACCAGCCTGAGCAATATAGTGACACCCTGTCTCTACAAAAAAAAAAAAAAAAAAAAAAAAAAAAAAAAAAAAAAAAGTCAGGTGTGGGACTTGAGCTCAGGAGTTTAATGTTAAAATGGGCTATGATTTTACTACTACACTTTAGCCTGGGCGACAGATTGAGACCCATTTCCAAAATAAAGAAAACAAAATAATGTTTGATGTTAAAGTACTATTTGTTTTGTTTTGTTTTTTTGAGACGGGGTCTTGCTGTCACCCAGCTGGAGTGCAGTGCCGTGCCATGCCATGAACACAGCTCACTGCAACCTTGACCTCCTGGGCTCAAGCAATCTCTTGCTTCGGCCTCTTGAGTAGCTGGAGCTACAGGCACACAACACCATGACCAGCTAATTCTTTTTTTCTTTTTTTGTAGAGATGGGGTCTCACATTGTTGCCCAGGCTGGTCATGAACTCCTGGGCTCAAGCGACCTTCCTACCTCAGCCTCCCAAAGTACTGGGATTGTAGTCGGGAGCCACTGTGCCTGGCATATATAGGTATTTTTATAGAAAACAGTGATAGAGTGGTTAATTAATAAGAATTTATATTAGAACAAAATTCTTTGGGGAATGTGGAATAGAAATATGAATTCATGGAAAAAAGTAAAGATAGAAAACTACCGACTATTCAAGAAGAGGTTTTTCATTTTATAAAGTATCGATAGTGAATATAAAAACTAAAAATATTATGAAATACCCAAATACCAAATTTTATGGTATTTTGATACCAATGGATATGTTGAAAGGAATTTTGTTTAAAAAACAATATTTTGGGCATTATCCTTTGCAACTATTCAAACTTAATTTTGAAAAATCTTGTACATTGACTTAAAAATGTGTGAGCAGTTACAAGGCTTCACAAAATTCTTTTGGGGCACACGAGCAATAATACTTCAATTACTCTAGGTGATACATGTGTACCTTGGATAATTAAGATTCATATTAAAATCATATTGGATACATATTCATTGACTCCTTGAAGAAGATTAAGTTCATATGTGCAATCCTTTTTACCTCTTCTCCTATTTCATTTTTATATTAGTTTCAGTGCTTTTCTGTGCTGCTTTTTCTTTCCTTTTTTTTTTTTTTTAAATACAGGGTCTCACTCTGTTGCCCAAGCTGGAGTGCAGTGGCACGATCACAGCTCACTGCAGGTCGGGTGCGGTGGCTCATGCCTGTAATCCCAGCATTTTGGGAGGCCGAAGCGGGCAGATCACTTGAGGTCAGCAGTTCGAGACCAGCCTGCCCAACATGGCAAAACCCCGCCTCCACTAAAAACACAAAAATTAGCTTGGTGTGGTGGCACATGCCTGTAATCCCAGCTACTTGGGAGGCTGAGGCAGGAGAATTGCTTGAACCTGGGGGGTGGAGGTTGCAGTGAGCTGAGATCATACCACTGCACTCCAGCCTGGGTGACAGAGTGAGACTCCATCTCAAAAAAAAAAAAAAAAAAAAAAAGAACACAGCTCACTGCAGCCTCAGCTTCCCTGGGCTCAGGTGATCCTCCCACAGCAGCCTCTTGAGTAGGTGACACTACAGGTGCATGCCACCGCACCCAGTTAATGTATGTACATATTTAAATTTTAACATATAAAAATATATTTATTTATAGAGATGGGGTTTTGCTGTGTTGCCCAGGCTGGTCTTGAACTCCTGGGTTCAAGCGATCCACTTGTCTTGGCCTCCCAAAGTACTGAGATTTTCTGGGATGTTTTTACATAACGTATTGATACTCATATTTCTTGTTAAATCAACCTTAAACGTTATCTCTCTACTCTTTTCTTACCAACATTATGAGACCCCGTGTTTCTCCTTCCTGCGCTCTTTTACAAGCCACCTTTCTTTATGCATAAGTTGACATTGGTGTGTATGTTTGTATGTATCTTTTTCTGTCAGTGCTAGACCAAAGGGTGTCTTAGGCTTCCTCGTCCTTCTCTGTGGGCTTATTATCAAAACCCATGGGCTGTTTCATGGAGACTGTCCTAATATAGACTTTTTTTTTTAAATAAAGAAATTTTATTTACTTAGAAACATTCAGAATGTCAACAAACCAGCTGTCGCCTTCCCCTCCTTGCCAGTTACTGAGTAGTGTTCAGTTAACAGAACAACAGTTATTTTATATAAGCTGCATCAGAGACAACTGAAGATGAAAAAGCAACAACCATCCCCATATGTAACTAGCTGTCCTGAGCACTGGCAAGACCTGCTTTAAATTTCCATGCCAGTTTACAGCCCCGTAGAGTACCAGGCAAGGCTAGTGACCACTGGGAATACCATCAGGACAGGGCTCTCTGAAGACACATTGGGTAGTACATTAACTATACAAAAGAAGATACTGCACAGTTTAAAAACAAGTCTCACGTAGCCTTACATTTCAGTTTTTTTCTTTAAAGGAGTGAGTTGTGTACAGGGGGGTTAAATTTTTATAGACAAAAATGTATTAGAACCAACTTATTCATCATCATCACTTTCATTTCATTTTTTATTTTTTGAGAGAGGGTCATCACTCTGTTGCCCAGGCTGGAGTGCAGTGGCATGATCTCGGCTCACTGCAAGCTCTACTTCCTGTGCTCATGTGATCCTTCCACCTCAGCCTCCCAGGTAGCTGGGATCATAGGCATGCACCACCACACCCGGCTAATGTTTTGTATTTTTAGTAGAGATGGGGTTTCACCATGTTCCCCAGGCTGGTCTTGAATTCCTGGGTTCAAGCGATCTGCCTGCCTTGGCCTCCCACAGTGTTGGGATTACAGGCGTGAGCCACCGAGGCTTGCCTTATTTATTTATTTATTTATTTATTTATTTATTTTGGAAACAGGGTGTCACCCAGGCTGGAGTGCAGTGACACAATCTTGGCTCACTGAAGCCTCTGCCTCCCCGACTCAGGTGATTTTCTCACCGCAGCCTCCCGAGTTGCTGGGACTATAGGCACCATGCTTGGCTAACTTTTTTTGTATTTTTTGTAGAGATGGGGTTTCACCATGTTGCCAAGGCTAGTCTTGAACTCCTGGGCTCAAGCGATTCAACTGTCTCAGTTCCCAAAGTACTGGGATTACAGGCATGAGGCACCGTGCCTGACCCATCATCTTCATTTTCTTTTCTACTCCTCCTTTTCGTCTTCATCTTTCTCTTCTTCTTCCTCTTCCTTTTCTTGCTTTTTTGCAGCCTTGATGACTGCCTTTTTCACCCCATCAGGCTTTTCTTGAGTTCATATGCAGTAATAGACTTTTTGTGTTTTCTTTCAGCTTAGCAGCCCTCTGGTCTTGGGTCTGCCTGGCATCGGCAGCAGCGTTATTATTCCACATCTTGCCCAGTTCTTTCCAACATCGCCAGTGCATTGGCTGGGTTGTTCTCCTTTAATTTTTGGTCAGTGCTCAGGACAGAGCAAGAAAAAGGCCAAAGGAGGCTCCTTCTCTGGTGCGTTGGGATCCTGGAACTTCTTTTTTGTGTTCCATGTAGTAGGGACGGAGCTTGTCATTTCTTTTTCTGCCTTTGCCATGTCTGCAGATTTTCTTCTCTTTGCAGACATGACCTTCCAACTCCTGAGCACTTCTTAGGAAGCTCTGAGGAGCTGACTGAAGCCTCTGGCTGCCGCCACTTGTGTTTGCACAGAGGTTGCATATGAGGATGTTTTACCTTCCCTTTGCCCACGCTTTGTTATTTTTTCTCAGCAAGGAGCGATTTGCCCAGCACCTGTCAGGCTCTCCCTTGGCTGTAGTGCTGTCTCTTGAGTGCAGGGCACTGTGATGGCTCATAGCATAAAGTTGAAATAAATTATCTTTCCCTAAATCCCATCAGTTGCATCAGAGTATACCACGTTTTTGTTTGCTTTATATAATCCATGACTCTCTTAACAGCTTTTTGTTTTTTCTGCAGTTTTATTTGTGTTTTCTGGTTCTGTCTTTAGCATATTCTTAAATTTTTGTTTGCAAATTCTTAGCCGTGCCATTCTATTAATTTCCTCCAAAGCTCTGTATCTTAGAATCTTCTGCCTTCTGGTTGTTCTCTAGACCTGCTGTTATAGAGCTGTTGCCTGGGATTTGGTGAGGAATACTTTTAAACTAACATCTTCTGTCTCTTTTTAATTTTTAGCTCATGGTTTCTTAAGGAAATGCATAGTTTAAGGTCTCATGTCTAACAGTACAGCAAGGACAAGATGTTGACAGAGAACAGACGTAGGAAAAGTGGCGTCTGGACATTTGAGGTGCGGCTTATGAGGAAAGCTATTTTTTTAGACAGGTTGTAGTCATGGTTAACCTAATTCCTAGGCTCTGATTTCAATAAACATTCACTGAATGCCTACAATTTGGCAGGCACTGGGCTAAATTTAGGTGCTGAGGATTTCCATTGCAGGAGCTGGTGTGGAGGCAGCAGGATCACCTGTAAGTGGCTGATGACATGTAATAGATGTTAAAGGTGTTCAGGAACCTTGTATTTTCATCCTTAATTACTGTAATTCTCTTATCCCATCCAATAAGCACAGTGTAACGGTGCTTATATGTCCCTAGACACGTAGAGTATTTCACATGTAGGAAACAGGTTTAAGATGTTCAAAGGGGAATCAGTTGACACCCATACTAAGTAGAGAGCAGAGGTGGTTTTAGGAAAAGCACCAAACTCTCACACTGAATATTAGTGAGTGATAGAGCTGATTAATATGGAAAATTATAATGAACCATCTTGTGGGGGGGTGTCCTGATAGCCCCCCACACTGGAAAAAACCATGACATTGCAAATTAATTTCTAGTTGGTGGAGTATGGTGGGGGAGGTTTTGAACTGGGCACCTTAGTGCTTTGTCTTCTGGACCTGCTGTTATTCTGGAGTTTTCTCCAAACTAGTTCACCAAAAAGTAACATAAGACATTTGCATCATCTTGCTGCTGTAGCTAAAAGATGTTCTCTCTTACTTTTGAAAGAAATTCTTTCTCTTTGTTCAGCTCCCCTTTCTTCCCCCTCCTAGTTTTGAACTGAGATTATCACAAGGATCAGTGAGATAGAAGAAATAAATAATAAAGACACTAACACTGAATGCTTATTATGTGCCAGGCACTGTTCTAATCTTCATAGCAATCCCATGAAATAGGCTCTCTTGTTGGCTACATTTTATAGAGCAGGAAACTGAAGCCTGGAGAAGTTAGATTAGTTGCCCAAGGTCACATAGTAAGTGGTGGGGCTGGGATTCACAACCAGGCAATTCAGTTCCTGAGCCCAGTCTTCGCCACTGTGTTTTCCTCTGTCTCATTTCACCTTAGTTACGGATAAAGCTGTAAGAGAAAATGGCTTTCTGTCTGTTGGCCAAGTAGGCTTGCTGACCCCTCACCCTTGAGTGACACACTTAGCAGGCACAGGCAGGCCGGACAGTTGCAGGCCTCCTCTACAGGGTGGGGGAGCACAGCCTGTGTGTACTCATTTCCTTCTCTTGAGTACCACTAATTTGATAGTTCACGTATCCTCTACTAAGAGGTAGAGTGAGACAGCTTAGGGACATCAGAAGTACTACTTTCGGTTCTTCCACATGGAAACATGAGGAACGAGGAATAAGTATTCTTTCCCTAACACTTACAGTGCACTTAAGACAAAGTTTTTTTTTTTTTTGGACTGAATATACGTCGATGGACACAGGCCCAGATATGGAGAAAGGGCAGGTTTCCTCTAGGCAAGATTTGCACGGGGAACCTGAAGCTCACATAGCTTCAGCCCTGCGCCACAGCTTAGCCTTAGTCACATAGGTTTCCCTAGGTCATAGCCCAGTCTCAGGCTGCCCACTTTATTTGAAGGCAAGGGAAAAACAACAGTCCAAATAAGATAATTTGAAACAAGCATCTTTTCATTTAGTTTTCTGCTACAAAGTTGTCTTTAATTTCTTCTCCTGTATCATTTGCCATGGGTGGGAGGGCAAAATATTAAAGTAGAAAGAACATAGTTGTATTTTTTTTTTAATTAAAAAAATCTTTTTTGAGACAGAGTCTCACTTTGTCACCCAGGTTGGAGTACAGTGGCAGGATCTCGGCTCACTGCAACCTTTTACTCCCAGGTTCAAATGATTCTCCTGCCTCAGCCTCCCAAGTAGCTGGGACTACAGGCACCCGCCACCATGCCCAGCTAAATATTTTGTGTTTTTAGTAGAGGTGGGGTTTCACCATGTTGGCCAGGCTGGTTTTGAACTCCTGACCTCAAGTGATCTGCCTGCCTTGGCCTCCCAAAGTGCTAGGATTACAGGCATCAGCCACTGCGCCCGGCCTAGTACGTGGCTTTAGAATGAGAGACCTAGGTTTGAATCTAGCTTTGTTACTGAACAAATTATTTAACCTGTTTGTGATATGCCTTCCTTATTACTCTACAAAGTGGAGAGGATAAGACCTACCTTGTAGGGTTGGTGTATTAAAGTGTACCAGGTATTTGACGTTTAGCAGTTTAAAAAAGGTAGCCTCTATTATTATTATTAAAGCAATTAAAAATAGAGACTTAAAAAATAATTTAACAACTTTAAACGAGCAGGTGAACAGTTTTTTCAGGCAAATCTCCCTTCATCTCCGCTGGGAAAGAGGTGATCAGTATTGGGTGTATTGTCTGTTTATCTACATACACACCCATGTATGAAGATGAATACACAAAACAAATTTTCAGATATACCTCCTATAGGCAATACTAGTTACCTGTATGTGTGTGCAATTTAGTTTTAAAATTACAATTCATATCCTCATTTACTTTTTTCCACCAAGATTATAAATTTGCTTTCAAAGCTTTTAATACTTTAAAACTTTTTGTCGTTGTCCTTCAAGCATTCAAAGATTCCCGTTGCTTTCTTCAAAACATCTTTAGCTTAGTTGACAAATACCATAAACTTGGAAGGCATACTCTTATTAAAAAGGGTCTCACCTTGTCGTCCCTGCTGGAGTGCAGTGGTGCCATCACGGCTGACTGCAGCCTCGACCTACTAGGTTCATACAATCCTCCTGCCTCAGCCTCCTGAGTAGCTGGGACAACAGACGCATGCCATCGTGCCTGGCTAATTAAAAAAGAATTTTTGGTAAAGACAGGGTCTCCCTACGTTGCTCAAGCTGGTCCTTGAATTCTTGAGCTCAAGCGATCCTCCCTCCTCAGCCTCCTAAAGTGCTGGCATTATAGTTGTGAGCCACCACACCTGGTCGGCATACTGTTCTATAGAGTTGGTTCGATCGATCCTGGGACATGAAATAATGAAAGAATTATTTTTTCTTCTCTAAGACAGTTCCTATTGCCTCCCTCCCTACTCCAGGTGTTGCCCCAAATTTGCCATATTTTGCTTGTTTGTTAGGTAGGTTGGAAAAGTCTTTTCTGCCCTCTATCTTCCCTCCCCTTCCCCACATACCACTCACTCTACTTGGAGGCTAGAACATGTTTCCTCCAGGATGTTAGCCTAACTCAGAAGACAGGGCTTCATGAGGACGGGAAAGAGCAGGGAAACAAACATAATGCAACTCATGCAGGGAGCGTGGAGCCACCGGAGCAACAGGTCCTGGAGAGAAAATGCAGTCCTGATGATGTCACAGCCCTGAACAGTTTTGATTTTGTCTCTCCAGCAGAGTATTATTTAGAGGTAAATATTCCTTCTGCCTTGGTTTGGATCACCACTCTATCACAGTCATGCGCCCCATAATGATATTTTAGTCAACAATGGACTGCTCATATGAAGGTGGTCCCATCAAATTATGAAGGAGCTGAAAAATTCCTGTCACTTAGTGGCATCACAGCCATTGGTAAAGTTGTAGTGCTATGCATTACTGATGCATTTATGGTGAGGCTGGTGAAAGCAAACTACTTCACTGCCAGTTATATAAAAGTCTAGCACATACAATTATGCATGGTATATAATACTTGATAATCATCATAAATGACTATGTTACTGGTTTCTGTATTTACTACAGTAGACTTTTTATCATTATTTTAGTGTATATGCCTACTACCCATTTTTAAAAAGGTTAATTGTAAAACAGCCTCAGGCAGGTCTTTCAGGAGTTACTACAAAAGAAGGCACTGTTATCACAGGAGATGACAGCTCCATGCCTGTTACTGCCCCTGAAGACCTTCCAGTGGGACAAGACGTGGAGGTGGAAGACGGTGATACTGATGATCCTGACCCTGTGTGGGCCTAGGCTAATGTGTGTGTTTTAGGTTTTTAAGTCTAATTTTTTAAAAAAGTTCTAAAAATATAAAACTTCTAGAATAAGGATATAAAGAAAGAAGATATTTTTGTGTAGCTGTATAGTGTTTGTGTTTTAACCTGACTGTTATTACAAGAATCAAAAAGTTAAAAAAGTTTATAAAGTAAAAACTTTACAGTAAGCTAAGGTTGGTTAGTTTACTGAAGAAGGAAACATTTTTGAAAATAAATTTAGCGTAGCCTAAGTGCACAGTGTTAATGAAGTCTACAGTAGTGTATGGTCATGACCTAGGCCTTCACGTTCACTCACCACTCACCCACTGACTCACCTGATGCAATGGCCAGTCCTGCAAACTGCATTGATGGTAAATGCCCTAGACAGCTGTACCATTTTTAAAATCTTTTGTATCGTATTTTTACTGTACCTTTTGTATTTTATTTTATTTTATTTATTTTTTTGAGATGGAGTCTTGCTCTGTCTCCCAGACTGGAGTGCTGTGGCTCAATCTCGGCTCACTGCAACCTCCGCCTGCCGCATTCAAACTGTTTTCCTGCCTCAGTCTCCCGAGTACCTGGGATTACAGGAGCCTGCCACCACACCTGGCTATTTTTTTTTTTGTATTTTTAGTAGAGACAGCGTTTCACCATGTCGGCCAGGCTCGTTTCGAACTCCTGACCTCAGGTGATCCACCCGCCTCAGCCTCCCAAAGTACTAGAATTACAGGCGTGAGCCACTGTGCCTGGCCCCTTTTCTATGTTTAGATACACAAATGCCTACTATTGTGTTACAGTTGCCTCCAGGAAATGCCATACAGGTTTGTAGTCTAGGAGCAATAGCCTATACCATACAGCCTGTGTGCATAGTAGGCCGCACCATCTGTGTTTGTATAAATACATTCTATGGTGCTTGCACAGGTTAAAATTGCCCGTAATGCATTTCCTGAACATATTCCTTAAGCAATGCATGCCTGTATTTAATTGTGGACCTTGGGCAAGTTATTTAATCTTTAAGCCTCACTTCCCTCATTTATAAAATGTGGATGATAATAGGATTGATGCTGTAGGGTTATTGTGAGAATTAGAGAAAATAATATGTGAAATGCACTTAGAATAGCTTTTGGATCCAGTAAGAGCACAAGCATTTATTGAATCTAGATTTGAATTCAAGTCTGCCTAGCTCCTAAGCCATGTTCTTTCCATCACACCCCACGATGCACAGCAGCGTGAAGTATGTTATGTAGGTAGTGACCCTACTTTACTACTGAAGTTGCAGAGAGGTTGAATGAGGTTAAGTGACTACTTAGGATCCTAAAGCCCATGTTCAAGGCAGACCATAAACTGAATGAGGGCTGCTTACTCTTAGTGCAGAGTACTACTTCTTATAGTGTCATGTCATGAAGACAGTTTAATATCTTGAATTATCTAATTACCTCTTGTCTCATCAACTAGACTGTTAGCTGCTTGGGACTATTACATCCATGTGCCATCTGATTATACATGCTTAAATAGTTAGAAACTTGAGACTTAAAGGAATAACGATTACTTTAGCATAGTGCCTCAGGTACGTGTGTTATCTAGTATGAACATTAGTAATCAAATACAATTTCCCAAAATAAATTAACACATTAATTTGGGCATCTGGACCACAAAACAAGTATTAAATGTGAAGTTTACAAATATTTACTTACCACATGACCCAGCTGTTCTACTTTTAGGTACCCAAGGGAAATAATAACGAATGTCTACACAAAGACTATGAAGGAGCTTGAATGTGGTTAAAGAGGTCAAAGGACTGAATAGATATGGAACAGAAAAATCAGTGTGATGGGCTAAGGAAGTAGTTTGGACTTGGATAGGAATTAATCTTTATAATAGTCTAATGTGGAGAGAAACTCCATTGAGAAAATTTTTCTCTTCTTTAAAGTCTAAACACGTCTTTAGAAGATTCTCAGCATCATTGGTTGTTAGAGAAATACAAGTTTAAAACTGCAGTGAGAGGCCCCTGTGCTCCCACTTGAATGTCTGTAATCAAAACGACAGACGATGCTGCACTGGGTGTTGGTGAAGATGGGGAGCAACCGTGACTCTCATGTCTTGCTGACGGGAATGTAAAGTGGTATATACACTTTGGAAAACATTTTTACCGTTTCCTAAAAAGTTAAATATACTTTTGGGTATAAACATACTTACCATGTGACCCAACAGCTTTAGTCTTAGGTATCTATTCAGGATAAATAAAAATAAATGTGTACACAAAGACTTATTCTTGAATGTTCCAAGGAGCAGTATTTATAATAGCTTCACGCTAGAAACAGCCCAAATGCCTATCAACTGGTAAATGGATAAACAAAATACTATGCACAATAAAAAAGGAATAAAGTACTGATAACATGCTGGGTGTGCATGAATGAATCTTAAAAACATGCTAAGTGATAGACACCAGGTAGAAAAGCTACATATTTTATAGTATCATTTATATGAAATGTCCAGAAAAAAGACAGTAGGTCAGTGGTTGCCTGGGCCTAGAGGAAATATACTAAGAAAAAAATGTATATGTAAATAATGCTAAGTGTATGACAGAACAAAGCAATTAGAAATTAGCAATTGTAGCAATTAGCAATTCTGGGCTCTATACCAAATGCCACCTGGTGTTTAAGGAGATCTTTCCTCTGTGGCTGGTTGTAACTCATGCCTCCAAGCCCCGTGCAAGCTCTGGGAATTGTCCAGCTTACACATGCTTCCTCAGTACTAGTTGTTTCCTGGTGATTTTTCTGGCTGCTTGGAGTCTCACCTCCTGCATGTGAAGTTTACTCAGCCAAAGACAAAGACTGAAGGGCCCCTGAGCAGATTCCTGGAGTTCTCCCTCTGCATTGCTTCCTTCTCCCTGGCCAGCAGACTCTAGCTGCCTCAGCTTCTCAGGTCTCTCATCCCTGGCAACTCAGTTCTGGCCACCAGGCTCTGGCCTGGGCCAGGAAAGTATCTATAGGCAGAAAACCTGGGCAGTCGAAGGGCTCACTTCCCTTGTTCTCCTCTCAGGGATCCTCATTTTACTCTGCCTGTTGTCCATCGTCTGAACACATTTGCTTCAGGTCTTTTGCCCAGTTTTCTTGCTGTTTATGGCAGGAGAGCTAGAACCAGTTGTTCTATCATGGCTGGGGCTTCACATCTATGGTAAATGCCTTGTCTGATGCCCATGGCAAACAATGCATGGAAACAAGTGCCCTCTCCGAGGTTCTTACCAGCAAATGGTGCTTTCGTGCAGACGAGAGGAAGGTGACCCCTCTGGCCAGACCAATTAGAAGAAGGCACCACTTCTGAGCTGTCTCAGTCTTACGGAAAGCACATGGTGCCTTTTTCTTTGCACCCCTCCTAGGCCGTGGCCCTTTTCTGCCGGGCCATTGTGGCAGGGGCTGCTCTTTAGCCCCCACTCCCTCTGGGTCAGGTGCCTCCATGAAGGACACAAACCATACAACTGCAGGCCCTGGCCAGGTGGTCTCATTTTACCAGGTACCTCTTTTCCTGCAGCAGTGTTTAGCATGTCAGTTGCTGAAGGGAAAACAAATTAATCCTGTTATCCTCTAACCCATTTGTGTTCTTTGTGCTCTACTTGTGGCTCATATTGATGAAAACTCTCTGAAACATTCTTCTTTGGTATTTCTCATTCACAGGAGGGGTTAAATAAATTTGGCTAAAAGTTAAAGGAAAAGGACCAGGGAAAAGGTCATTCATGTTATTTTATTTTGAATCACCATGGAAATAAAAAGTCTCAGGATCCCATCTTAATATCTTACAACCGAATATTTCCTTGTTGGTTCTCATATTGAAACAAATGTCATCTGCCATACACTTTTTGTTTCTATCAAACTAAACGAAAAATGGAGCCCTGTAAACTCTTGGAAAGAAGATGCTTTCTTGGGCTCATTATTTGGGGGCAATAAGGCTGGAAGGAGACGTAGGGTGTGTTTGGTTGTGATCTCATCTGAGAAAGGATCTGAACACATTTCTGCTGGTGTGCCTGGACAATCAGTTCTTCCATCTTCAAGTCATTTCTAGAAATGGTGAAGTCTGTAGCCCTCTCTCTGGTGAGTAGATCTGTAGGGCTGTCTGTGTGCTCTGGAATGGTATCTGGAATTCAAGTGTTCTGGGCAGTTTACACAAAGGTATACTGAATGTCAATCCTGTGAACTTTTACAACTCATTTTAGATATTTTTAGATTCTATCCCCTTCCATCCATTACCCTCTGTCTTTAATTATATTTCCCATTTCTTCCCTGATCCATGGTAGTCTGACTACTCTTCCTACTACTTTCCTGCTCTCATGTGGTGGATCAAGGATCCTTTTTTTTTTTCTCTCTCTGAGACAGGGTCTGGCTCTCTTGCCTAAGCTGGAGTGCAGTGATGCAATCATGGCTTACTGCAGCCTTGACCAACTGGTCTCAAGTGATCCTCCTGCTTCAGTCTCCTGAGTAGCTGAGAATACAGACGTGTGCATCACCACACCCAGCTATTTTTTTTTTTTTTTTTTTTGTGGAGAGGTAGGGTCTCACTGCCCAGACTGGTCTTGAACTCCAGGGCTCAAGTGATCTTCCCAACTCAGCCTCCCATAGTGTTGGGATTACAGACATGAGCCGCCACATTCAGCCAATGATCCTTTAAGTGATCACCCTCTATCTTTCTGTGCCCTAGATGCTAGTTCAGAGTGTACTTGATGCTCACCTTTTAGTTGTATGTCCAAAGCTTGTGCCAGTTCTCATTGGTTAGTTGTGAGGCAACGGAAGCACCTTAAGGGACTGTCACACAGATATGCTTAGTCACACCCTGCCTGGAGAGGGGAGTCAGGAATCGTCACACAAAATTACAGGAGATGAACTCAAGGAGTAATTAAAGCAGCTCTTAGAATTGGTCTTTGGGAGCTAGAGACCCAGGCCTGCTGTGCTAACCTCCCCTTTCACTGGCCTTTGTGACATTGGACTCAGGCCACTGTAGGATGGTGGGAGGAGCTTGTTCTTTGGATTTCTGAGGCTTAGGTAGTTTGGATGGCTGTGTGAGCTGCAGAGAGTAAATGAGATATGGCTGAGTCCACATCAGAATGGAGAGACAGATGTAGGGAGCCTTCTCGCCCTCCATGAGCCTGTTCTTTCTGTAGCCTGGGTACGACTGCCCATGGCGCCTTCTCTATCCAAACTCTCACCTCCCAGTGGTGCCTCTCATCTGGTTTTCCTCCTTCTCTGGCAGTTCCTTTTTTCAGTGTCTTTTAAAGTTACCTTATTGTAGAAACGTAAACTTGCAAGTTAATGTTACTATTCTGTTGGTGTCTTGCATTTACATTTGATCCTCAGTGGCTCTACTTCTTACCTAAGGTGTTAGATGATCAGCCTATGGAAATAAACTAAGACCATGCAAATGCGAACAAACAGACTGTTAACCAGAGTGCACTCCAGCAAGGGAGTTGGCCACCATCACTTGGGTTTGGCAGATGCACAGAGGCAGGCAGGGGCACGTGAAACTTTATAGTGGAGAAAAGGAAACCTTCGAGGGTTTTCTGAGACGAGGCTGTGGCCTGGGGGAGCTGGAAGCAGGCTAATAGAAGTGGATGTCTTAGGTGCTTGTTGTGGGGAGCATACTTGACTTTCTCTTGCTGATTCTGAATGGCAAGCAGGGGCAAAAAATAAGGAAGCTAAGAGTCACTGACCAAGGTCCCACCCTCATGGGCCAATGACCAAGGTTGTGAATTAGAGCTCTGGTTGTACGTGGTCTGCCCGTTGTCTATTTGAATATTCAGTCTCTCCCAAGCCAACGCTGACCTAGAACATGGAGCCCCATAGCTCTTCATAAATTGTCTCTAGCACACTGTTTCTTAACCTTTTTTGGGTTATAGACTCTGGACTATTTTAAGAATCTGAAAGCTATAACTCCTCTGCCTAGAAAAAACCAAAAAAACAGTAGCATGGATTCACAGACCCACTGAGGCCCAACCATGGACCACAGATTTCATTTTATTTATACAGATTTAACAATTTTATCTTTTTTGTGACTATGATGCAGCATTAATCCGTATGGAGTATATAGACTGCTACCTCTTTCTTACACCTTAGAAGTAATTGCCAATAAATTAATATGCACATATGTTTAAATAGCACTACTTTTATCCTATACCAAGTAGGTGATATGGTAGGTGAGTCAATATGTGATACTGATGAGAAACCTCATTAAGCACCAAAAAGGATACTTTTTTGGTCATTTCAACCAATTTTTATTTAAAGCTTTTTAAGTTCTTATTTCCCTGCCATCAGAATAAATTAATGGAATATCATGGCTTAGCATCCTTTTCATGATGAACTGCAAATACATGATTTTCTAATGTTGAGATATCTGACTTAACTGGATTGTCAGCTCCTTGAGGGCAAGGACTTGTGCCTGTTCTGCAGCCTCTCAGGAAATATCGAAATGAACACTTCAGGGCTCTCCTCACATGGTGCCTGCCCCAGACTGTCTGCCGTGCTTTCCTCATTCACGTTTCTCTCTTCATTTTTTTGAGCGGTAACTATTGGCTTCTATAATAGTAGCCATCATTTCAAACTCCCCCAAAACTCTGATTATTGGAAGCAGATGAGCCAACCCCTTCTGGTCTGTGACCTTAAATTAAGTGTATACCTGGTCTCTTCTATAGAGAAAAGCATGGCTTCTGTTTTTCTCCATCTCTGAAAGCATTTTTTTTTTTTGCTTTTGATTCAAGTATATTCTGAATAGTTGATAAATGGAATTCCAATCTTTGGATAAAAAGGTGTATTAATGAGTCTGTTGAAACTTTTTTTTTTGGATGAGTATCAGGACACTGGGAGAACTATAGCAGGCATGGGGACAGCATAAATCAGGACTGGACAGTTTAGACAAGCTCGTCATTTCATGTCACGTCCAATAAGCATTGAGTGCCCACCAGATGATGTCAGGCACCCGGAAAGAAACGCCTTCTGTGTCCTCAGGGAGCTCGCAGTCACAGAGAGGGCAATATAGCTTTGATACTTCCTTAGAAAAGAAGACCCAAGGGAATTGGAAGTCCCTGGTAGGGGACAGAGAAGGTCACTTTTGTTTTGAAGGAGAAGTAGGCTATCACCAGGGCAAACAATGGGAAAGGCACCCTGGTAACCGAAAGGATAGAAGTGACTGAGCCTGAAGGACTTGCTGAGCTTTTAGAGTAATGCAGTGGAGGCATAAGCACGGGCGTAGGAGATTGAGGCTGGAGAGTTGGGGAGTGGTGGTGCTGTGGAGAGCCTTGCTTGCTTGCTTAAGGAGTTAGAATTTCATCTGCGAGGGAGTTGGGAGCCATTGAGGGGTTTGAGGCCAAATTATGACCACCAGATCAGTGTGTGGTTTAGATGTGTGCTTGGGTGAGAGCACAGCTAGGAAGTTGCGTGGTAAACCAGGAGGGCATGAAGCAGGGTGGCGTTGTGCCCCATCAGCCACATGGCCCACTCCCTTGCTTCCACTTGGTCACCATCAAACGTCCTTTCAGCAAGGCTTCTCTTGACCACCATGTTTAAAATTTCCACCCCACTTCCACTTCCGCAAACCCCATCCACCTTCCCTGCTTTATTTATTTCCTTAGCACCTATTATATGACATATTTACTCATTCATTCATTCACTCATTCATTCTATTTTTAATAATTTAAGCTCTTGCAGGGCAAGGTTTTTGTCCCGTTTTTCCAGGCTGTCTCTCCAGGGCTTAGATTAGTGCTTGGCACGGCAGACTGTAAATATTTGCTGAATGAATGACTATCAGAAGGAAAAAGGGAGGTTGGGGTTGTGAGACATTTCAAGGTGAAAACCATATCTTAGGACAGGGATAAACAAAGCCATCTTCAGTTAAGCTGTTTTTTCCCTTGTGAGTAGTGAAATAGGTAGTCGTGAAACTTTTGGAAATTGAATTTTCACTCAAGGAAGTTAAGGAAATCTTCGCTAAGCAGTCAATTTTGGGAGTAATTATAGTGAATTTCAGTTTCTCTCAACCTGCTGGCTGACTTAACCCCAAGACATTGCATCATGAGACAGAATCACAATAATGATGGCATCTAACATTTATCAAGCATGCGTCAGCATACGTGTGCCATGCACTTCAAGTATGCCTTTTGTTTTTCTTTTCAATTTTTTCATAGAGACAAGGTCTCACTATGTTGGCCAGGCTGGTCTGGAACTCCTGGGCTCAAGCGATCCTCCCGCCTTGGCCTCCGAAAGTGCTGGGATTACAGACATAAGCCACCATGCCCCTATCCCCAGCCTCTTTTTTTGTGGGGGGAATTAGTTAATTTCATTTTTTTTTTAAAAGGTGGGGTCTTGCTCTGTTATCCCGACTAGAGTTCAGTGGCACAATCATAGCTCACTGCAAGTGCAAGCTCATCAGTTCAAGTGATCCTCCCAGTTCAGCCTCCCAAGTATTGAGGACCACAAGTGCATGCCACTATTCCCTACTGAGTTTTGTATTTTTTTTTTTTTGGTAGAAATGGAGTTTTGCTATGTTATGCAGGCTGGTCTTGAACTCCTGGGATCAAGTGATCCTCCCGCCTCAGCCTCCCAGAGTGTTGGGATTACAGGTGTGAGCCACCACGCCTGGCCTCTTTTTAATTTGAAGTACCAAGCTTTCCAACTTAGATCTAAACTCTAGACCTACCACTGGTTATAGTGAAGACAAAGGCTTTAGGTTTAATTTGATTTCATAGCTATTAATTCTAATGACATTACTGCTGCGAGGGACATTTGAATTTGGGATTCCTTGTTTAGCCTAGCTGGGATTAGGTTTTGGAATCTTAAAGCAGATTGTATTATGTAATGGGGTGTGTAGAATCTGTAATATAGCCCTGACACGATTGTGATGGCTCTGTCTGTTAGATTCTTAGGACTTGGATTTGGAAGTGTTCTCCTTATTTTCCTATGAATTTGTGAGTCGGTGTTTTTCTTCAAGTCTGAAGAAAAGAAAACTCTTTTCTGTTTTCTCTTAATAGGAGGAATTTGAAACTGCAGGGGCCTAGTAGGAGGTGGTAGTTGTTCAGATCTACCTGTTGCTGCTGTGTGGGAACTTAAGCCTAGCATTTCCAAGTCTTCTGAATTTTCAAGAGAATTTGAAAATCCAGATTTTCTAATGTGATGTCTTCTAATTTTCTACTTTTGATCAATACAGTGAGGCCTGAACAAAATGCTTGTGGACCTTTTTTTTAAAAAAACTTTTTTGGTGACAGGGTCTTGCTCTGTCACCCAGGCTGAGTGCAGTGGTGTGATCATAGCTCACTACAGCCTCCATCTCCTGGGCTGAAGCGATCCTCCTGCCTTTGCCTCCCAACATACTGAGATTACAGGTGTGAGCCACTGTGCCCAGTCGGGCCTGTAGACCTTGAGTGTGTGGCCTCTGGTTCGGAGATATAGGTGTAGAAAAGGTGAAGGGCTGGGGGGAAATTAGTTAATTTCATATTCAGTGAACATTTTCCCCAGATCAATCTAATCAAGCAGAAATTCAGTCATATTAATCTGATCAAGAAACACGATGGAAAATAGGGATTAAATTGAAAACCACAAATACTGAGAGAAATAAAAATTAGAAGCTTTCTTTGCTTGTAGTCTAAGAATATCTTAATCCGCCTTTTTTTTTTTTGGTCTGTGGCCGAAGGCCAGATGTCTGGCCCAGGGCCTCAGCTCAGTAATGTATTCTAATCTCTGTATATAGAATACCTTGAAGTTATTTGAATTTGCCATGATTAAAATGAGTGTGTATTACCCTGTGAATGTGGGATATGAAATATACTTCATCAAAAACCCTCCACAAATGAGTCAGTATTCTTTGGCCAGATTTAAACTTTCTTTTTATTTTTCTTTAAAATTTTTATAGAGATGGGGGTCTTGCAGTGTTGGTCCTGAACTGCTGGACTCAAGCAATCCTCCCACCTCAGCCTCCTGAATAGCTGGACTGCAGGCCCACACCACTGTACCTGGCTAGATTTAAGCTTTCTTATAGTGAAAGTGGACGATGAAATGAAACTCATTCTGCCGGTGTGTTTCACAGATGAGAAAAGACAAGTGATTTGCAAGTGATTGAGTTAATACTGAGTGTATTCTTTGAATTATGCTATCCCAGTATATGACAGTTTGAAATTATGGAATTTATATATCAGAGTCTTCATATTTCTAAAGTCCTATGATTATGAAATATACTAGTTGTGGTTCAGTGGCCATATTGCTTGGATGTCCCTCTGTTCTCAACCAGTTGTTGTTTGTGTGGGTGGAAGATTCGAATAGAATGGGGTTGTCAAACTTTTTTCTACATTTAAATAAGTTTTCTCCAAGGACTGCAAATTACCAGTATCTACCAACTGTCCTGAGTGGGATTGGACACAGGAGATGTCTAACTGCTCTTTTCAAACAACCTTCCTTTTCTAGGTCTCCTCCTACCTTCTGGGGTAATTGGCACCAGTTTCAGTCTTTTCTTGTATTCTGTGGATGCATTTTCTATCTTTTTTTTTTTTTTTTTTTTTTGAGACGGAACTCCCTCTGTCACCCAGGCTGGAGTGCAGTGGTGTGATCTCGGCTCACCACAACCTCCGCCTCCCGGCTTCAAGCAATTTTCCTGCCTTAGCCTCCTGAGTAGCTGGGATTACAGGCATGCACCACAATGCCCGGCTAATTTATTTTGTATTTTTAGTAGAGACAGGGTTTCACCATATTGGCCAGGCTGGTCTCGAACTCCTGACCTTGTGATCCGCCTGCCTCAGCCTCCCAAAGTGCTGGGATTACAGGCGTGAGCCACCGCACCTGGCGCATTTTCTGTCTTAATGTCGTGTGTTTCAGTTGTAAATATCTCCAAGTTTCATTGAACATGGAAACATTGTTTTCTTTATTGTTTTGGACATGATTTTAGAGACAGAGGATGGTGGTGGAAGTGGTTTTATTTTCCCCATAATACTTCTTCGAGAGTAACATAGGCTGTTTAAGAAAGATAGTGTCTAGGGAACTCATGATTAAACTGAGAAATTTAATCATGAGTTTAATAAATGAATAAGTGAAGTTTAATAAATGAATAGGAGTTAGCCTGTAGAGTCCAAGACAGAAATAGTCATGTATGAAAGCCCTGAGACTGAAAGATTGGTACCTGGGTCAGTCCCACATGGGTGAAAGGAAGACCAGTAAAAGATGTAGTTGGAGATAGAGAAAGGGGCCAGATCACCTGAACAGCTTAAGAAATATTTGCAGAATAAGCAAAAAGCCTTGTGTTGGACATTCCCGTAAAGGAAGAACACTTTGTCCTTCAGAAGCTTATGGTCTAGCCGAGATGACATGTAAAAGTTTATTCTATCATGAGACAAACCGAGTGGTCCTACATAAGCAGTAGAAACAGTTTCGGCTTTATGTAGGAATTGGGGAAGGAAATCACTTTTGTATAGGGTTCAAGTGGATGGATGCTTGAGGGAGATAAAGTGTGATCTGAGCCTTTCTCTTGTAGGTGGGCCTTAAGCAAGCAGAATTGCTAGGGGGAATGGTGTTACCTAAGTTAGGTATATGGAGGACAGGGGAGTGACGTAGCTGAGTTGGGGGAGATGACGCCTGAGCCTCCAGTGGTCCACAGGTGGCACTGATAGGGATGTTGGAGGCTCACTGCTCCTTTTCTTATTGTCAGTGAAAAGAGTTGAACAGTGAATCTAAGGCAGCTTCACATTCCTTGTGCCAGTTCCCAGCAGATGCTTTCTGCTCTCCGCTTAGACATTCCACTGCTAGGGGAACTGGCTGTCTCTTGAAACAGTGTTAATTATTCTTATACTAAAGAAATAACCCACTTCCTATAATCCCAGCACTTTGGGAGGCTGAGGTAGGCAGATCACCTGAGGTCTGGAGTTCGAGACAGCCTGGCCAACATGGTGAAACGCTGCCTCTACTAAAAGTACAAAAATTAGCTGGGCATGGTGGTGGGTGCCTGTAGTCCCAGCTACTTGGGAGGCTGAGGCAGAAGAATCGCTTGAACCCAGAAGGCAGAGATTACAGTGAGCCAAGATCTTGCCACTGCACTCTAGCCTGGGCAACAGAGCAAGACTCTGTCTCAAAACAACAATAAAATAAAGAGATATCCCACTTGCGGCAACCTTCCCCAGTATATCTTACTGAATGCAGCCCTGGAAGTGACCTAAAACAAGTTAGCTTCCCTGCCAGGTATGAGTCCCCTCAGCTTTGAGGCTGGGCAGCCTGTCTTCCTCTCATCTTACCC
The DNA here is from genome assembly GCF_000001405.40 of Homo sapiens. Taxonomy (NCBI): domain Eukaryota; kingdom Metazoa; phylum Chordata; class Mammalia; order Primates; family Hominidae; genus Homo; species Homo sapiens. The sequence continues at coordinate 29,202,172 of NC_000008.11, read as the reverse complement.
GCTCCAGCTACAGGGATTTCCCCTTCTTTCACTGGTAGAGTTTTCAAATCCCCCCGCCTCCTGAATGCTATTATTCTCCAGTCATACTCTACTTTATCAATGTTGCTATTAGAATTTATCCTTCAAAAGTGGATGGAAAATTCTAGATATTGAGGACACAACGAACAGGGCTTTTTGTGATATTTGTACTTCTTACAGAGAGTTGACTGGAGTAAGCAAATGTTGAGAAGCTTCTGTTGTGAGTGTAGTCACTTTCTAAATTTCAAGTCAGCTCGGCTTCATTCCATGTATGGAAAGTACAGTGGGGGAGGAGTGACAAAGAAAAAAATCATACTCATCACACAGATTGTTGTTTGGTTGCTGGTAGTGCCAGCCAAGTTCAAAAAAGCAACAATATCATGACGTAGTATGGCTGTATTAGAATAAGCTCTTTGTGATGTATACATCCGTTATACAGCGGGTTGGGGTGGGGTCTTGTTGAACCAGAGATTCCAAATATTTCAGTTGTGAAGATTTCAGCAACTCAGACCTTTAGAATTAAAAGAGATGATGGGATTTGGATTCAGTATTTGATTTTGGTAGTTGACAACAGTAAATGATCTATAACTTTCCTTTCTACTGATATTATTTTGTGTTTTACACATATGTGATACTGTGTGGTTTACTTTTGGACCCAATATCAATTTTTTTTGTGTCATGGACAGAAGTATTACAACATTTTCAGAGGTGATGAGTTTATAAAATTTCTTCTTCGTATTTTGGCATTCTAGAGATTACAGATATAATTTGATTTCTTTGTATGATGTGATTTGTTATTCAAATGAGAAGTGAGCATGAGCCCACAAGCCAGATCAGTAAAAAGGAGGAAGAGGTTAGTTTATTCATAGATAACTGTCTTTATCCCAGATATGCAGCCATATTGTTTGTTGTTTCCCAAGCTGCCTGCTTCCAAAAAAGCACATTCATCCATGGTCATCCACCTGGGCTGGGGAGGTCTCCAGTAACTAAACAGTCACTATTTGGGAGATAGTAATTGTTGCAGGCAAGAATTATAAGTGGGTGCTAAAATTTGCAGGTGAAAGTATGACGATGAGAAACAGAGTGTTTACATAGTTTAAAAGTTTATCCCCCACATGATTCTTATTTGTTACGAAGGTAAAAATAGTAATTTTACTGTGGGAAACCTCATAGATCCAGCCTTGACCAAGTGATCAGAATTAACATGATCAGTAATGGCACATGCACCTCATATGACTCTTGGTAGAATGCACCAAGGAGGGCGCAATGTGACTTCAGTGGTGGGCTTGCCAAAATGCACAATCTGGATTTAGTCAGGAGGAAGCATTAGGCAAACCCAGATTGAGGGACATTCTACAAAATAAATGGCCAGTCCTCTTCAAGTGTCAAGGTCATGACAGACAAAGTGCCCCAGGTTGGAGGAGACATGACAAGTATATGTAACACAAGGTCTTGGACCAAAAAAAGGACATTAGTGGGGGTAATTGGCAAAATTTGGAGGAGGTTGTCTATAGGTTATTTAATAAACTGTGTTGATGGTTAATTTCTTGGTTTTGGTCATTGTAGCTGTGGTGATATAAGAAATATTTGGTGGTTAACATTTGAGGAAGCTTGGAGAAGGGTGTACAGGATTTTTTTGTACTATTTTTGGAGCTTTTTGTAAGCCTGAAAGTATTTCAAAATAAAGTTAAGCAACAACAACAACAAAAATAATTCAACTCAGCTGAGAAATTACAGCTTTAGTGCTTGTACTTGAGACATTTCTCTGGATTGGTCAGCAGCTGCTTTTGCTTCCTGAATCTCCACAGTGATCTGGATAGTTGAGGTTTCTAATTAAGGGATCTTGGGATGAGTGAGACATGGCTGTATTGAATTGCAGCTACACTTTGACAAGGTGTTGTTTAATTAATTAATTTATTTATTTTTGTACAGGGTTGTAATTACATCTTTGGGTGTCCCATGCCTTTGCAGGTTATTTGAGCTTTACTGTCATAGCCATCAGAATCCCTAGCTGCAAACTTAGCTCTGTAATTAATTTACTGGTTTGTTTCTGTTTTTATTATGATGATGTGAATTCAGGTTAGTCCCATGGATTCTTCTGCTATGTGTCATATGTTATTGAATTTCATACTTGTTGTTTGTCTTAGGAAGAGTTGATGTTTTTGGTATAAAAACATTTTATTTAAACTTGAAATATCATACTAAATATATATTTTTCCCCTCAGAAAAGACACTTTGGAGTTTCTATAAATAAAATGAATAGTAAATGTACTATAAAATAGAGTAAATGTACTCTAGCATAAGCACCAAGTGCTAACCTTTTATTAGGTAATCATTAGAATGGGAGAAATTAGTACATTGGGAAATGTTAGCAGGAGCAGTGGTTAATGTGTGATTCGTAGATTGTTAAGTCGAGAGTGTTTTGATCAGTGTGGGCAAGAACGTGGACCTTGGGAGTCAGAAGACCTAGTTTTGAATCCCAGATACATACTGCTTATTACAGGTTGAGTATTCCTTATCCAAAATGCTTGGGAAGTGTTTTGGATTTGGATTTCTTTCTTTTTTTTTTTTTTTTTTTTTGGATTTTGGAATATTTGCATAAGGGCAATGAGCATTTCCTTTGAACATGACCTTTTGAGCATCATGTTGGCGCTCAAAATGTTTCAGATTTTGGACCATTTCAGAAAGATTTTGGATTTTCAGATCAGGGATGTTCACATCACAACCTGAAGTATGTTCACTTCACAACCTGAAGTATGTGCTAGACGGGTTGACTTTTCTGAGCCTTACTTTTTGCATCTGTAAAACTGGAATCCTAATAGTATCTTGCAAAGTTATCATGAGAATGGAGTCATGTAGCATGCAGTGCACCTGGTCTAAAGTGAGGCCTTTCATCCATGTTGAATTCTCTTCTTACCTCCCTGTAGGTTTATAACAAAGCCACCTGCAATTGATGAGAAACTGCTTTGCTTATAAAGACAATAAAAAGATGATAGCATGTCAGTAACCTCTCCAGATTTCAGAAGTCTTTTTTTTTTAATTTTCGAAAACATTTTTCTATTTTTTAAAAAATTTTATTTTTTTATTTTAATAGCTTTTGGGTACAAGTGGTTTTTGGTTACACGGATGAGTTATACAATGGGGACTTCTGAGATTTTAGTGTACCCGTCACCTAAGTAGTGTACATTGTACCCAATATGTAATCTTTTTATCCTTCACCCCTCCTGCTCCCCCTCTTCTGAGTCTCCAAAGTCCGTTATATCACTCTGTATGCCTCTGCATGCTCATAGCTTAATTCCCACTTATTGGTAAGAACATGCAATATTTGGTTTTTCATTCCTGAGTTACTTCATTTAGAATAGTGGCCTCCAGCTCCATCTAAGGTGCTGCAAATTGGGAACTGTGTTACAATAAACATACATATGCATGTGTCTTTTTCACATAATGACTTATTTTCCTTTGGGTGCATACCCATAGTGGGGTTGCTGGATCAAATGGTTGATCTACTTTTAAAGTTCCTTAAGAAATCTCTGCCTGGGTGCCGTGGCTGATGCCTGCAATCCCAGCACTTTGGGAGGCCGAGGCGGGCGGATCACTTGAGATCAAGAGTTCAAGACCAGCCTGGCCAACATGGTGAAACCCCATCTCTACTAAAAATACAAAAAATTAGCCGGGCGTGGTGGTGTGCCCCTGTAATCCCAGCTACTCAGGAGGTTGAGCCTGGAGAATCGCTTGAACCCAGGAGGCGGAGGTTGCAGTGAGCCAAGATCACGCCACTGTACTCCAGCCTGGGCCACAAGAGTGAAAACTCTGTCTCAAAAAAAAACAAAAAACAAAAAACAAAACATGCATACTATTTTCCATAGAGGTTGTACTAATTTATATTTCTGCCAGCAGTGTATAAGTGTTTCAGAAGTCTTTTTGTCAGGAAATTCTTCTACATCTCTTATTCCAGAGAAATTATTTTCTTTTATGTATTAGCCATGTTGGATATTACTCCAAAATCTCTTAAACAGGTATCACTCATTTGCTAGACTTTCTGTGGTGTTTTAATGTTCTTGTCAGAAATCACTTGATACAAATAAGTATTAAATTTCTTTTAGAAGAAAATCTCAGGAGACAAAGCAACAAAGAGATGGTCGAAGACAATTGGAAGCAAACATTTTCATGTACAGTTTCCTTTCAGGTTTCAGGCCCTGAAAGTTGAGTTTTGATCCTCTGAGAAGGGCCAATTATTATTGTTCCTATTTTATTCCAGTTTCAAAAGTACTTTCCTTTATTCTTAAATTGTTTGATTTCAGTATTGCCCTGTTATTATGTAAGTGAACATCATCGTTTTTAGGAAGTTTAGAAAAGCTTGTCCAACCGGACTTAGTTTGTTGTGTTGTTGTTCTGTTTTGTTTTAGGCTTTAAGCAGCCTGAAGCCATGGTCTTTAGTTTCTATCTCTAGTGATAAGCAGAAAAGAAGGATGAGGAAGGGGCTTTACTGGCCCAGCCAGAAACAGAAACCGTGAACCCATGACTGTTTTCTGTGTTTTGGACACCCGGATTGTTAAAGAGGCATGTTTGCAACTTACCCTCAAATGGTTCAGGAAAAAAAAACATATATGTGTATGTGTGTATTTATTCATATAAATCCTTGGGGGAAAGGGAAGGAGAAGGAGAAAAGCAGTCATGGCAGTGTTAACAATTAGTAAATTGGCAGGAAAGGTCTATGGGCATTCTTTGTACTTTTTACCACTTTTCTCTAAGTTTGAAACTATCTCAGGATTACATTGACTGTATATATTGAGTTTTTTTTTTTTTTTTTTTTTTTTTGAGACGGAGTCTCGCTCTGTCGCCCAGGCTGGAGTGCAGTGGCGGGATCTCGGCTCACTGCAAGCTCCGCCTCCCGGGTTCACGCCATTCTCCTGCCTCAGCCTCCCAAGTAGCTGGGACTACAGGCGCCCGCCACTACGCCCGGCTAATTTTTTGTATTTTTAGTAGAGACGGGGTTTCACCGTTTTAGCCGGGATGGTCTCGATTTCCTGACCTCGTGATCCGCCCGCCTCGGCCTCCCAAAGTGCTGGGATTACAGGCGTGAGCCACCGCGCCCGGCCATATTGAGTTATTTTCTTGTCCCCTGATGAGATGTCAGTAAGTGGCAGTTTCAGTGGGAGGAAGGTGGGAGGTTAGAAGTGCTTATGTGTGCGGAGAGGAATAAGTAGTGAGTAATTCAGTAAGTACAGGTTGAGCATCCCACATAGAAAATCCAAAATGCTCCAGAATTTGGAACTTTTTGAGTACCCACGTAACACTCAAACAAAATGCTCTTTGGAGCATTTTGGAATTTGGATTTTCGGATTTGGGATGTGCAACTGTTAAGCATAATGCAAGTATTCCCACATCCAGAAAAAATACGAAACCCAAAACACTTCAAGCGTTTTGGATGAGGGATACTCAGCTGGGTTAATTCACTGGCAAGAAATTAGTGGTTTCTTTAATTTAGCCTTTTTTCCTTAGCCAGAATAGAATTCATTGTTTTGTAGAGGAGCCTGTACAGATAAGAGAGTAATCTGTTGCTTTTTCAAAGCAGAGAAAACTACTTGGAACTGAAACCAGATGATAAAAAAGTAAAAGATTAAAAAATATATATTTATAAGACATACACAAAGATAAAAGCAAAATCTATAAGGCAGAAATATTAGGACTGTTGAAATTATTATCTGTGCTCAGTCCTCCTTCTACCAGAGAGATACAAGTTGTCTGTGATTAGCAGCCTGTCTTACTAGCTAATAGACATTCATTTATCCTTCAAATTACTATGTGGCTTCAAAGGTATTATTTTATATTCTTACTGTGAATTTACATAATGTTTATTATTTTACCCTTCAAAAAAAGTCTTCTAAACTAAATTTTTTTTTTTTTTTTAACTTTTCTTTCACGTCAATGATGACATCTGTTTTGGGAGCTCAGGGGCCAGCCGAAGGTAAGAGATTTGGTTTGTTATGTGATGCTTGTAAAGATCTTATATGCATGTTGTTGAACTCTTAGAAGTTTTCTTCTCAAAAAGGAAAATATTTTCTATCATTTTGTACAAGTAATGCAAGCTGTCAGCCTACTCACAAATCTGAAGCCATTTATTGGCATGGGAAGGGCCGGAGGTTTATGGAAAAGCTGTATTTGCACTTTGACCACTTCTGGCTGGTCTCCTAGCAGCTACAACACAGATTCCTTTTGTGCCATAGATTGGCTCAAGACTGGTAGTTCCAAACTGTGGTCAAAGCCGACTCATCCTCTCTGCTCCCAAGACAGCTAGGGATGCATTCCCAGCCAACAGAAACCTGCGCGGCCTCAAGCCGCCTCCATAGATTGGCTCTAGACTGGTAGTTCCAAACTGCGGTCAAAACCGACTCATCCTCCCCACTCCCGAGACAGCTGGGGGTGCATTCCTGGCCAACAGAAGCCTGCACAGCCACAGCCGCCTCAAGGGAACATGCTTTCACCTCTGTCTCTTAGGGAATGTGGAGCCCTGCTTGAAGTGGGCACAAAGTCTGTTTCTTAACTGACCATGAAGTTACTTGGAACTTCCAGGAAATTTAGATTTCTGTCTCCATTCTTGGGGTTTTGTTTTTCCTTTACAGTCCGTGGCTGAATTGTAATTCAGTTCGCTATTATTATTGCTAAAATGTGTATTATAGACATGGCTGTTTGGGACTCTGACTTTTTAAGATCATTTATTTATTAAATTTTTTTTCCCTAACCACAGGGACTGAATGACAAACAGAAAGTCACCCTGTCAGTATAAAACATCATTGTGAAAAAGCCGAATAGGGCACTGGTTTCTTTATATATGTAAACTTTCTCTCATCTTTTCTACTGAAAAGGTGCTGGATTATTTTCGTTTTCTTATTTTTATGTATATTTTTTGAGATGGAGTCTAGCTCTTGCTCAGGCTGGAGTGCGGTGGCGTGATCTTGGCTCACTGCAATCTTTGCCTCCTGGGTTCAAGCAATTCTCCTGCCTCAGCCTCCTAAGTAGCTGGGATTACAGGCACCCACCACCACACCAAGCTGGGTTTTGTATTTTTGGTAGAGACGGGGTTTCACCATGTTGGCCAGGCTGGTCTTTAACTCCTGTCCTCAAATGATGCACCCACCTCGGCCTCCCAAAGTGCTGGGATTACAGGCGTGAGCGACCGTGCCCAGCTTTTTTTTTATTTTTATTGGTGCAGAGGCTGGAGGTTGCAGTGAAGATATGAAGGAACCATTGCCTGGTGATTTAAAAATTGTTCATATTTTATTTAATTCAGTTGCATGTTTAGAAAAAATGTTGTGTTGACTAAAATACATGGGAGGTTAAACACCTCAGCTCTGGGGAGAGGTGTACTTGTTGAACAGGGAGACCTTGATTTTTCCTTTATGCTTCTATGTTATTCGAATTTGTTACAGTGTTTACTTGGAAAGAAAAGACTTGTCCAGTTTATGAAATCTTTGCCTGGAAGTTACCTATAATAATTTACGAAATTGCTAAGCCTTAAAGAGGACCATTTAGAGCTGTAGTAAATAAAAAGTAAGTGTTTATTAGTCCCCAACTTTGTGCCAGGCTGTGGCACTTTCATATTGGGGAATAGAGCTAGGCTAGCCTAGTGGTGCAGAGGAGGGACCTTAGAGCCAGACTGTGGGCTGGAATCCTAGCACCCCAACCTGCTAGATGTAAGGCACTTACCTTTTTTCTTCCTCAGGTTCCTTTGAACAGTGTCGAGCACACAGGCTTAGCTCCATTATGGTTACTTTGGGAATAGCCTCTCGACTCAAATTGGGAATAAGAAATGTCACTGTTAAAGAAATCCCTAAAAGAAAGACAAGTAAAAAAAAAAAAAAAACCCAATAATAATGGAGAGGAGAGTGCCATTTAGAACCTATCTCTGATAAATATACAGTTGGCCTTCTGTATCTGTGGGTTTCACATCTGTGGTTCAACCAACCACAGATTGAAAATAGTTTTTAAAAAACTATGAAAAATAATACAACAATAAAAGTAAAAATTTAGGGCCGGGCGCGGTGGCTCATGCCTGTAATCCCAGCACTTTGGGAGGCGGAGGCCAGCGGATCATGAGGCCAGGAGATTGAGACCATCCTGGCTAACACAGTGAAACCCTGTCTCTACTAAAAATACAAAAAAAAAAAAAAAAGCCAGGCGTGGTAGCGGGCGCCTGTAGTCCCAGCTACTCAGGAGGCTGAGGCAGGAGAATGGCGTGAACCTGGGAGGTGGAGCTTGCGGTGAGCTGAGATCACGCCACTGCACTCCAGCCTGGGCGACAGAGCGAGACTCCGTCTCAAAAAAAAGTAAAAATGTAAAAAGCAGTACAGTATGACAACTATTTACATAGCATCTACTTTGTCTTAGGTGTTTTAAGTAATCAAGAGATGATTTGAAGTATATGGGAGGATATGTGTGGGTTTTATGCAAATACTACACCATTTTATATAAGGACTTGCACATCTGTGGATTTTGGTATTCATGGGAGGTCCTGGAAGCAGTCCCACTCAGGATACTGAGGGATGACTGTATACACATGTGATAGGGCTTTTGAAGTGAGAACTAAGCTTACAAGAATCAGGATGGTTTTTACTTAGCCTTATTAAGAACAGAATTAATTAAATAAAATTATGGAGATAAGCGTGGAAAGCTAGAACAGGAGAAACTTCGTTTGAGCTCCACATTTTATTTACTCCTACTCTGCTGTAATGATTCTCACTATGGGTGACACCTGGAGTTTGCAAGGCAGCTCCCCCCAGTTTGATGCCCAGTCCTTTGGGGCCATCTTCCATCCTCCTCCTTTTGCTCCTCTGTGTTTGAAAATGGCTTAGTGAGCCACCACTGCTGATAGATATACGTTTTAGCTTTGGAAAAACATGGAGGGTGAGCAGTGTGTAACACAACACTGCAGCTGGATGATGTCTTCTGGGCCCAAGGGCTCTCAGGGGCTGTCAGCCGCTGGGGGTCTGCTTTCACTTCCTGGCCTCGCTTCCTTCTCACAGCCCCATCCAGGGAACAGGTGTCTCCCCTGCCTGCTGTTTCACACAGAGATGCAGGTGTGCCGATCCTCACCTGTCCAGAGGTGCTGAGCCAGTCGTCCTCTCGGTTGCTGCCAGGGTTATCTGCCTCCCCCTTTAGTTGCCCTTCTGGTACCTCCCAGAACTGCTCACTGGCTTTGCAGCCTGTGCTCTCCCTGCAGGCCCCCACCCTTACCCCCATCAGTTTCATTGGAACTATTTTTTCAGGAGTTTCTCAATTCTGATCCAGGCACAAGCAAGCACTCTTGGTTTCAAAACCTTGTTCTTTTTTCCCCCTTCTCTTCCTTTTTGGCAATTTCCCCACTTCCCCCATCGCCTGTCGTTTTGAGTTAATTTTAGCTGGGTGATGGATATCAGTATGCATTATTAATTTACCATCTTAACCTAATTTTCTTTCTTAAAAAAATTAACCTTTTAGACTTCTGGTCCAGATAATCTTGTGAGTTTACACAGAAACATTCTCCTGCCAACATCAAAATTATAGCAGAGATAGATAAAATATTTTAGAATGTGCGAATCATGTAATCAAACTCAAAAACAAATTTAGACTGGGCATGGTGGCTCACAGCTGTAATCTCAGTACTTGGGAGGCTGAGGCTAGAGGATTGCTTGAGGCCAGGAGTCTGAGACCAGCCTGGGCAACATAGTGAGACCCCATCTCTACACAAAACTAGAAAAACACAACAACAACATATATAACTTCAAGGACCAGCAGTAAGCGAGGGCTGAAGTGACATATTTCCAGGGCTTTGGAATCAGACCAGGTGCCTGGAGGTGATTGGAAGTTCAACTCTTGCCGACTAATGGGGGCACTGGTGTATGGTTGGGGACTGGAGCCAGGCTCACCATGTGAAAACTGATTTGGGCGAGCCTTCTCTGTGAGTGAAAGCTTACAGTCAGTTTTTGGCCACCAACATTGAGCTAATGTCTGTGTTAATAGGAAGGGATGGAGACATTGGGCCTTGAGAAGACCCAAAATCTGGGCTTCAGTAATGGAAATGACAGCATAAACTAGTCATGGAAAGGTGGCCATCAGGAGAGGAAAAAATAAGCAATCATGTAAACCATAAAATAAACACTCCCTGCTAAGATGTACCTGCAAACTAACATGCAAACCATCATCAGGAAGCATAGCAACAGACTCCCAAAGTGGGAGAATGTGACAAAATGTGAACCGAGATACATTTTAAAACAATTGCACTTAAAATCTTTACGGAGATAAAAATCACAAAACACAAGTAAGTAGATTTCAAACTGACAGAAATCGAAAAAGTGAAAGATGCAGTCAGTGAAAAATTTGCCTTTGCTTAGTTGGTTTAAAAAGAAATAATTAGTGAAAAAGAAGCTTTTCAAACAGTGCAAAAGAACTATGTGATATTCTAGAAAGTGGTGATAAGGTGAAAGATCAAAACAGATCATCTGTAAGATCCCACCAAGTAGCATTTTAATACAGATTGTTCCTGCTTTTTATGCATATAGTTTTTTGGTACAAATATGGAATCATACTCTAGACTTTTATAACTTTTTCATTAACATAAACTTTTTTTAAATTAGTAAGTCTTCTATACCCTCAAATCTATACTTGCACATGGGCATGTCATAATTTATGTAAACATTCTGCTATTTTAAGCTATTTTGGACATGCTATAGTGAGCATCTTTAAATGTTATTTAAAAAATATCTTTTTCTTTGACTACAAAAATAAAAATATTGAAAAAATATAAAAACATGAAACAGATCACTAATTTCGCTGCAAAAAAATAAACTATAGATGTAATTCTGTGTGTGTGACTGTAGGTGCATGTGTGTGTGCAATAGCCATTTTATTACACATTTTGTGAATAGTTTTCCATGTAAAATATAGAGTCATATCACCTATAGCATGTTTAGTTCTCATTGTAAGCCTCTACATACATAATTAATTCCCATTGTATGACAGTAAGTTGTTTTATTTCACTATTATGAACAGTTCTATCAGTTATGGTTTATAAGTAATGTTGAGGTTTTCTTAACACACACTTATGTTCATTTTCAACAGGTGTTTGCTTATGATCATTGTTTCTGGTCTATGGATGAATCTGTCAAAGAAAAGTATGCAGGTAATAGAATCCAGCATCCTGTCAACTACTGATGGTGTAGAAGAGGGGTTCAGTATTTTTTCCCTTACACGATTGCTTGGCAAACCCCCCAAACTGTGTGTTTCCTCTGCTGTCACACCACAATAACAGTCATCAACACAGAAGATGACTTAATGTGACCAAATGTTGGGGGAGTTTTCCCTGCACCCCAAGCGGCAGACACTGGCTGGGTGTCCTCTAACTCAGTTCCGATGCTCTCTACCTGGGGACAGCGTCAGATCCACAGACTGAGGGCTCAGTCCCACAAGACCGCTCCCTCCTTCCCACCAGCGCAGGTCCAGGCCTCTAGAACTTCTGACCTACTGGCTTCCAATTAGGGTTCCCACAACCTCCTCTTTGGGTTTGATTAATTTCCTAGAGCGGCTCACAGAACTCAGGGAAACACTTGTGTTTAGGGGTTTATTACGAGGGATTTTCTTTAAAGGAGACAGGTAAACAGCCAGATGAAGAGATACAGAGGGTGAGATCTGGAAGGGTCCCAAGCGCAGGAGCTTCTGTCCTCATGGAGGTGGCGCGGCGCCCTCCCGGCGTGTGGATGAGTTCTTACCTTCCTATTGGGCCCTGTGTGTTTAGCAATCCAGAAGCTCTCTGAACCCAGTCCTTTTAGGTTTTTATGGAGGCTTCCTTATATAGGCATGATTGTCAACCGATTAGAAATGTGATTTGACAAAAAGTGCATGACTGAACACAGCACGTCCTGTCTGTTCAGACTTTTCTTGGCCATTCTGTGTAGCATTCCTTCCTTTAGGATATGAGGCAAGACCTTGTGGAATGAGAAGCTCTTGACCCACAATCAGATGAGAGTCTTGCCTCCGGCAGGTAAAAGGAGGGCAGGAGATCAGATAGTTTCCTGAGGCTAAAATGCCCCAACATGTAAAAGACTGCAACAAGGGTTAATGAGCCAGGAACTGCGGATGGTAACCTACATCTCTATAATTACCATAGGATATATATGAGTACCATAGGATTCTTTTGCATAACTGTAGAAAGTACAGACAACACCCTCCCGTGTTTGCTATTAGAGTTTTTAATGTTGATTGGAAAATGGGAGATTCACTGTGTGCCATTCTTGGTATACGTTGATGAAATTACATCACTAGTACACACAGTGGCTATTCCACATTCACACGCCCCAGCTCTTACATGAGGCCGGGAGCACAAGGTCGCCCCTTAGATTGCCCTGGAGGCCTGAGACTGGGCTGGAGAGACAGGATGGCATAGTGAAAGAAGGGGAGCACCGGCCAAGGAGAAAAGGAACCCTAGGCTGCAGGCCCAGCCCTGCTTCTTACCGCCCCTGCGCCTTTCAGTAAATCACCTCACCTGTCAGAGCTTCAGTTTTCTCTTTTTGATGGAAAGGAATATGCCATATTCTCTCTAAATTTTCTTTTGGCTCTGGAAGTCTGTTACTCTATTATTCTTCTAAATGATGACTGTCTCAAGCCCCATCTCACCACAAGTTTAGGACTGCAGTGACAGCCTTTGATTGCCTTTATTCCTTACTGCTTTTGTCGCCTGTTTTTAAACAATCTCTTTTAAATATTAAGCATCATATTGTTTTGGCTTCTGTTATGAGAAAGATGAATATTATGGCTGTTTTGAAGTTAAGATTCATTTGGTCTAGGTGGCCCAATATCAGAAGTATAAGTTAACTGGTATTAAAAAAAAAAAAAAAGGAAATGAGACATAATGGAATACCCTTGCCATAACATAAAAGCATCCAGTTCTTCCATGTGGTATTGAGACTAAGTGAGGTAGGGTGACTTGTCAGATTCACATTCAATTACTGACTAGTGACATATCTCATTTGGCCTGTCGGGGAGAATTTGACTCTGTTCTTTATGTCCATGATTGAAAGCTGAGGGAAATTTCCAGGCTCTGACTCCCTGTCCTAACTGGTATGTGTTGTAGATCCTGTAATTAGAAATTGTCACTGAGGGAAAGGAGAGGGGGTTGGTATATATGATTATTCTAAACTCTGGTACCCACCGAATAAAAGCATTGCCTGAGTGGTAAATAGTTAAGTCCAGGTACACCTGGGTCCCAAGTATAAATTTCAGATATTTATAATCATTGATTATAAAGTGAGCAGCTCATTGGCTCTGCATTGCAGGGGATTCTTAGTCGTGTTTATTTATTCAAGCATGTATTACAGGGAGCTGATTTTCCCTCATGTGCTAACTAGAAATAACCTGGAAGGCATAAGCCTTTGGGAGCATTCGTCAAATTTAAAAATCTTGTTTGGAGATAAATAAGCAGATTATACATTTTTGAGATTTTTGTTTTTGTTTTGTGAATTGTTCATATGTAGTTTTGGCTTAAAATATCTTTTCTCTTATTCTCTCTCTCTCAGGTCAAGATATTGTTTTCAAGTGCCTTGGAGAGAATATCCTGCAGAATGCTTTTGATGGCTACAATGCATGTATCTTTGCCTATGGACAGACTGGTAATGTTAAATAACATGAAATCACATAAACAACCATCAATGAAAGAAAATAGAACCATGTTTATTTTACTGAGTAACATTGCTGATTTATTCCTTGTTGTTTTTGCTTTCAGAAAGTACTGTAGATGTTGAAAGTAGTCAGTAACATTATTTTAAAATGAGTGTAATAAAATTAGGATTGGGATCTTTTATCTTTACTGATTTTTCTCACAAGGCACTGGCAGCATTGTTTTTCGAAAAAATACAGAGCTATGACTGTTGAACACATTACTAGCCATGCCTATAGATCATGCTTTTTTAAGGCTTTCAGAACCATAACAGATAAAATACCAAAAAGAACATACTTGTTAATATCTCACCAGTAATAACTAAGAAGCTTTTTGGCTTTTGAGTCTCTGTGGTCAAGAAAAGAAAATTTGAAGTGAACTAGTTACTTTTGTAAGAGTAAAGTATACAGCTTGTCCAACTAGAAATGTTCTCACAGAAGAATGTGTTGGATATTTTCAAGAAGCCTCATGTGTCGTGTTGAAAGGGCAGAAAGCTGGGGCCAGGCGGCGACAGCTCCAGTCCTGCTCCTGCAGCTGGCCAGCAGAGAGACCTGGGCAGTTACTTAACCTCTCTGCCCTTCAGCGTCCTTATCTGGAAAGGCTGATGATCATAGACCTTCTTGTAGGGTTGTCATAACGAGTTCCCATGTGCAAACTTTTTACAGAAGTCCTGGTACTTAGGAAATGTGGCACATTAGCTTTAGGTATTATGATAACAATAAAATGTTGCATGACAAAAGCAGCAACTTGTAGGTTAAAAGCATATTTGCAAAAACACTGCTACTAAAAACAGAAGGAATTATACTTAAGTGTCAGTAGTTACTGGTTTTCGGGCAGTAGGACTATGGTAATTTAAGTTTTTTCTTTCTATTTTCCTGTGTTTTCTAAATTTTATTTAATATATATTTCTTTTACAACGGAGAAAATCTTTTATTTTGAGACGGAGTCTTGCTCTGTTGTCCAGGCTGGAGTGCAGTGGCACAATCTCTGCTCATTGCAGCCTCTGCCTCCCAGGTTCAAGCGATTCTTCTGCCTCAGCCTCCGGAGTAGCTGGCACTACAGGTGCCTGCCACCGTGCCTGGTTAATTTTTTTGGTATTTTTAGGAGAGAAGGGGTTTCACCATGTTGGCCAGGCTGGTCTCAAACTCCTGACCTCAGGTGATCCACCCACCTTGGCCTCCCAAAGTGCTGAGATTACAGGCGTGAGCCACCGCATTCAGCCGAGAAAATAATTTTATATAAGAAAAAAGATTATTCTTTAGTTTCCACACTATAGTGAAAGGGTAGTGAGTTAATTTGCTCTGGGGTCCACAGGGAGAACCTATATTTTTTGTGCTGTGATCACTGGTTGGGAGCAGGCACTATAGTATTAATTATATGGCTCTTTCAGCTTATTTCGGAAAACTTTTAGACCTCACTATTTCTCACTTGTTTTAGGTATTTTCTTAAAGTATGAGGATGATTAAATAAGTTTATTTTTCTTTTTTTTTTTTTTTTTGGAGATGGAGTGTTGCTCTGTAGCCCAGGCTAGAGTGCAGTGGCGCAATCTCGGCTCACTGCAACCTCCGCCTCCCGGGTTCAAGCAATTCTCCTGCCTCAGCCTCCCGAGTAGCTGGGACTACAAGCACGTGCCGTCACGCATGGCTAATTTTTCTTTTTTTTTTGTATTTTAGTAGAGACGGGGTTTCACCTTGTTGCCCAGGCTGATCTCGAACTCCTGAGCTCAGGCAATCTGCCCACCTCAGCCTCCCAAAGTGCTGGGAATTACAGGCGTGAGCCACCGCACCCAGCCTATTTTTCTTTCTAAAGGACATTTGCTTTTCACTTTCACATGTGCAGTAAAAAAGCTTCTGTACTTATTATTCTCATTATATTTGGGTGTATTTCTCACTGCATTTTGGCGTTTTGCCAAGTGTTTATTATGAGCAACGGAAAGAGGGTTATGTATTTAACGTCTCAAAGAGACAATAGTAACTCTGATTTCCATTTTTTTAGGCTCTGGAAAATCTTATACCATGATGGGCACAGCTGACCAACCTGGATTAATCCCAAGACTTTGCAGTGGACTCTTTGAACGAACTCAGAAAGAGGAAAATGAAGAACAGAGTTTTAAAGTAGAAGTGTCCTACATGGAAATTTATAATGAAAAAGTTCGAGACCTTCTTGATCCCAAAGGGTAAAGGACTTTGAGACTTTAGTGTTTCAGCATTGTGAACTGAAACAGACTTAAATTGGCTTAAGTGCAAATCTTTTTAATTTTTTCAGAGGGTCTCGCTCTGTCACATAGGCTTCAGTGCAGTGGCACAATCATAGCTTACTTCAGCCTTGAACTCCTGGGCTCAAGAGTTTGTTTGTTTGTTTGTTTGTTTTTAAACCCAAGAAATTTCAGGTGGAATTCAGCTCTTTGTGGGCTGTGAGGTGAGGGAGAGGCATAATCAGAGAGATGAAACCTAGTCTTTAGGACAGTGAGTTTTTAAAGATTCTCAGGAACAAAAACAAGTGCCCATGATTTCATGGCACAGACTTGTAAAGAGAATTGGATTGGAAGTCTTAGGAGGCCTTCACAAACGCTGGTTTGACTCTACAGCTGTAACTGAGTGAGGAAAGTGCACGGTATCTAGAAATCTGTTCATTCCACAGAGTTTTTCGAGTTCAGATTTTAAGGAAGCGCAACAGTGGAGAAAGATGGAGATAATGACCACAGCCTGTGGCTTGTTGATGTAAAAACAGCATTAGGAAGGTCAAAGAGCCAAATAAGCTGAGGCCTACAGAAAGTTTGCAGGACAACAGGAGGACATTTAGTTTTGCTGGATGAGGAAGATGATCAAGGAAAAGAGGATCTTAGAGGCAGTGAGTCATAGTGACTCTCAGTCAAGAGCAAACAGAACCCTCAGCTCCTCTCTGTTGTCAGTTTTCCTTGACCAAGATGATAATCTTTAGGATTCTAACAGGGAGATTGAATTGATGCTCAGTGCTTCTGTACAAACTTTACTTAACAAACATTTATTGAGTGATCATTATATGCCAGGCACTATGCAAGAACTCACAGTGTGGACAGAATGAGAGTTTTGTAAACAAATAATTAAAATACAACGCTATCTGCTTTTAGCTTGTGAAGGAGGCTCCTACAAATTAGAGAGCAAAGGGACAATGACTGATCTTGCCCCTAGGAGAAGGGAAGATTCCAGAGTGTACTTGCTTGATAACATTTGTGCGGAGTGGGAAGTTGGTCCACTGGGAAGTTGGGTGAGAACTACTCAGGTGTAGGGAACAACCTCTCCCACACCTTGAAGGTGTAAATTAATCACCTTTGGAGAATGATCCAGCAGTTCAGTGTGGTCGGAGAGTAGGATGCACAGAAGTCAACATGGAACAAAAGGAGGCCAAGATGGGAGGATCGCTTGAGCCCAGGAGTTTGAGGCTTCAGTGAGCCAAGATTGTACCACTGCACCCCAGCCTGGGTGACAGGATGAGAGATTCATCCTGTCTCAAAAGAAATTAAAAATAAAAAATGTTCCAAAACAAAGAGGCTAGAGAGTACCTTACGGTCCAGGTACCCACATCCTACTTAATATTATATCCCTGTATATTTTTTTCTTTGTTCTGCCTTGAACACTTTTTCTTGGACTTTGACCTCGCAAAGATCATCACTTTTCTGAGATCCAGCCCAGACCTACTCTTTCCAGAAATTCTTAGCTGACTGACTTCATACCTGTTCATTCTTCTGCTTAATCCAGAGTGCTTGTATGGCATCTTTTTAACTTATCTGCACATGTACAGTCTTTAGTAATTTCTCCTATGTTTGTCTTGGGTATAGGTTAGTAATTAACAGCTTACTTACGGTAATTACTTACAGTAATTAACAGTGAATTCTGAAGAGCTTCGGATTTGCATAGCTCAGGATCTAGGTCCTCTACTTGTTACCTATTGAACAAGTTTCTTAAGCTTTCCAGGCCTAACTTGTCAGCCTAGAGGGAACTTGAAGAGGGAAATGATAGGATACAATTATCTCAGAGGGCTGTTGTGAAGATAGACTGGGATGATACACCTGAGGTCTTAGAACATTTGCTGGCATACAGTAAGTGCTCAATAAGTGGTAGCTGCTGCTATCTCCCCAGTGAAAATTTCTTGGAAATTTTTTTTTTTTAGTTTCTGAAGATTCAAAGTAAATGGATTAAAATCTCTAAAGGTGATCTCATTTCAGTCAAAGACCATTTGAGAAAACTTCATTTTTTATTCACGTACTAATTATATTAATTCAGCATCTAGTATATAGTAATGTAATTATGTTGTTTTACTCAGGAGATAATAGAGGATACATTAAGAAAAAGGAAATATGAAAGGAAAAAAGTCAATAATAGACTATATCCTGGGCGAGAAGTAAATCAAATATTCTATATCTACTTTATCCAGTTACATGGTAATAAGTGACATTTTTAATGGTTGATCCTAGGGTACTATAGATTTTAGATTTAAGAGTCATTTCCTTATCCCCTGATTTTACTGTTTATATGAAGGGTTATTCTAGAACTATCCTCTTCTTGCTGTCTTTATTATGGGTGTTAGTGATTGAATGTGGTTCAGCTTCTGTGCTAGTCATTCATTATATGTGTTCTACATTTCTTCCCTTCCTCTCCTGCCTTCTTAGTTACTAGCACTCGCTCTCCAAATGACGGAAGCTAACACATTTGGAGTCCTCACTGTCATCTTAATCTCTCTAATCTTCACTTTGTTAGTGAAGTCTGTTCATTCACTTAGTGATTCTTATGTGCCAGGACTTGTGCTAGGAACTGCAGACTCCCAAAATAATTAGACATTATTCTTGCTGTTCTAGAGCCCAAAGTTTATTATAATACAAATGGATAAAAGTAAATTAATTCATGCCTAAGGTGAGGATAAGGAGAAGCTGACTAAGAGGTGGTCAAGAGCAGATTATAAAGGAGCATGCGTAGCAAGCTGAGGAGTGTGCACCTCTCTTCATAGGCGTCAAAGAACCACCCAAAAACTTGACGCATTGGTTGGGCACGGTGGCTCATACCTCTAATCCCAGCACTTTGGGAGGCTGAGGCGGGCAGATCACTTGGGGTCAGGAGTTCGAGACCAGCCTGGCCAACATGGCAAAACCCTGTGTCTACTAAAAATACAAAAATGAGCTGGGTGTGGTGATGCACACCTGTAATCCCAGCTATTCGGGAGGATGAGGCAGGAGAACTGCTTGAACCTGGGAAGCGGAGGTTACAGTGAGCTGAGATCCTGGGTGATAGAGCAAGACTCCATTGGAAAAAAAAAAAAAAAAAAACAAACTTTAAGGATTATAATTTATTACTTATTTTAAAAAAGATTTTGTGTAGTTCAAAAGTGGACACACATTCGTGATTTAAAATAAGGATAAACAAAAATATAAAATGAAAATCAGTAACCTTATCATTGACATTCTTTTTTATAATTTGATTTTTAATTGACAAATGAGAATTGTATATGTTTATGGAGTACAGTGTGTTTTGATCATGTATATACTATGGAATGATTATATCAAGCTAATTAACATATCCATCACCTCACACACTTACCATTTTTTTTGTGGTGCAGACATTTAAAGTCTGTCTACTCTCAGCAATTTTGAAATACACATTATGTTGCTGACTATAGTCACCATGCTGTGCAGTAGATCTCAAGAACTTACTCCTCCTAACAGAAACTTTGTACCCTTATTTTTTGGTTTATTCTTAATATTTTTGGTTTATATTATTATTCTTAATATTTTTGGTTTATATTATTAAGTATGCTATCTGTGCTCTACATTTTTCTCAGATGTCCTTTATTGGGTTTATTAGTTCCTTCTTTGCTAAGAGGGGTTTTCTTTTAAAAAAAAAAAAACTTAATGAATATTTAATTTTAATTTTATTGAATCTTTTTTCATGCGTTTATTGAAATGATCATACTTCCCTCCTCCGCCCCCTTAGGCTGTCAATGTGATTAAAGCGCATGGCTCTTTTTTCCAATGGTGGATAGCCTAGAAGCCCTGAGATAAGCCCAGTTTTGTATTTTGAAATCATTGGATTCAGTTTACTGTCTTTGGTTTGTCTTTCTTCATGACTGAGACTGGTCTGTAGTTTTCCTTTCTCGCACAGTTAACATTTACTGAGTTTCTGCTCTTTGTACCACATTCTCTGTAAGACAAATAGATTGTTCATATTTATTTGACTCTGCATTCTTTGTAGTAAGTAAATAGGCATCCCACAATATACCCTTTTGAGTGATGTGATATTTAATCACATTATGAAGTTTTCTTCGCAGTGAAGATTTTAAAGTTTGGTTTAAATTCTTCTGGGATCAAGTCAGTTGGTTTTACTTATTTGGGGTCTTTCTTGGATTCATTGTATATTTTTATGGAGCAGAGCTGAGTCCTTTTTAAAAATAGGCTATTGTTAAAAAATCATTTCTTTGTTTTTCATGAACAGAAGCCGTCAGACGTTGAAAGTCAGAGAGCATAGTGTGTTGGGACCTTATGTCGACGGACTTTCTAAACTGGCTGTCACAAGCTACAAGGTAACAACATCCTGTATGTGAACTATTTAAATTTAGTGTAGTAGGGTGGGGCTCTTTTTTTTCTTGGCTTAATTTGTTATTTTTAAAAATTGCATATATAATAGCATCACTTAATAAATCACTTTACAAAAATCCTAAAAATGAGATAGTTGATCACAGACAAGCGAATAAATATAGACTAAATAGGATGAGGCTTTTAAATGAAAAGTTATCAGACTTAGTGAATCTAAAGTGGGTTTGGAATCAATCTAGAAAATTGTGAATTTTATCTTTTGTTGTTGTTTTCCCATTCTGGGGCCTACTTATACTTCCTTTTGCAGTTAATGTTTTTACTTTGAGGCTTTTTATGTATCATGGTGAATTTTTTTGTAAACATTCTTCTTCTAATAGAAAATTGTGATTTTCAGTTTTTGATGATGTGTGTCAGGTAGGATTGTGTTCAGTTGCACCTAACATTAAAAAAATGTATCAGAGTTATTTGAAACATGGATTATTATCTGTTTTGTCCATTATATATTCTCAGTGTCTGAAAAGTACCTGTCCTATGGTAGGTGCTTTCAGTATACATTTGAAAGTGTGAATGAATGGTGATTGAAACAAGGCTTTTCATGGAAAAGAAATATGGAGGTAGACTCTCCAGGGCTGGTATGGTGGCCCCAAATGTGTTATTAGGGACCTAGATTCCTTCCAGTGGTCAACACAGAGAGGTGTGGTAATGTCCTTATTCCCATAGTTCAAGATGGCTCTTAGAACCAACACGAGATAGCATGCCTACACCCTTAAGGAGAATTCCCAGATGGCGTATTTTAATTTTAAATCTTATTCACTAAAATGTCATGAGGCCAGAGTGAGCTGCAAGGGCATCTGGGAAATGTAGTCTCTTAGCTCGGCCATATGTGCCAAGTTGAAGATTGGGCTGCCCTACTGGAAAGAAGTGAAGACTGGGTAATGGGAAGCATCTAGTCGACTTTTGCACATACATTTTTCTCACTCCTCATTAAGATCCTTGTAAGGCAGATGGGTGTCATAGCTCTGCATTGTTATTAATGCAGTTAAAATCCAGGTTGGTTAACTGTTTTAGAGCTTATAACATTAAAAAAAAAAAAGAAAATCCCTTGACCTTCCTATTGTATTTTGTTGTTTCTCTTTTTTAGTAGTAGTAGCAACCAAGTGGTAAATCAATGCAGAAAATTAGTCTCTTGAGGTTCTCATTTTTAAAACCAGGTCTGCTAAGATAGTGGTAGTCGGTGATATGCCTGTATGAAGCGACAAATGGCACAAGTTATTTAAGTTATTTGTGTTGCTTATTTGTATAATCTAATTTAACAATAAATTTGTATTGCTTCTGTATTAAAGAAACTACGTTTTTTCAAATTTCTATATTAGATGAGGGTTGGTGTGGCATACTTGTTCATCTTGTGTGACCAAAGGTGTAGCTTCTGAACTTTGAGTCAAGGCTGCCACCTCTGTACCTGTAGCAAATGATGTACTTTGAAAGTTTTCAGAGACAGTATTGGCTATTGTACTCCATGGGGCTCAATATTCATTGAGAAACAAAATGTTAACTCCAAATGTTGTTGACTAAGTAGCAAAACTTGCAATGAATTTTGTAGTATAGCAGGATTTTAGTGTGTATTACACAAGTAATGAAACGTGGGTCTATGACTTGTTTCCACTTAGGATATTGAGTCGTTGATGTCTGAGGGTAACAAATCTCGCACAGTTGCTGCAACCAACATGAACGAGGAGAGTAGCCGATCCCATGCAGTTTTCAAAATCACCCTCACACATACTCTCTACGATGTGAAGTCTGGGGTAGGTGTTCAGATGCATGACCTGTTTTTATATTTCTAAAGTGGATTGTGGTTTTATTTTTTTCCTCTTCAGGTGTTAGATGAATTAAAGTCCTGGCTAGACTTGTGTATCAATGAGGACTCTGGACGAGAAACAGAAGCTCCTCTAGGTCAATAGAAAGGGATGTCATGTAGGGAAGCAGGTCATTCCAGGGTTGTTGGGACATCTGAGGAGGACCAGGTTCTAGACTGCCTCTCGAGGAATAACTTTCTGAACAGCACACATCTGGCTCCCGGGGTGGTGACACCTCTGAGGACACCTCTAGAACTCTGTGTTCCAGGCATACCCATAGCTGTGATCCAGGAAGCAGGAATAGAGAAGTTGCTTCTGTCCATGCTGCTGCCTCGTAGCACCCTGGAACCTGGAGAATGTGCTTGCATTTCCCCAGTCCCGCTGCCAGCAGAAAGAGCCAGAAAGGGGCAGCAGGCAGCCTCTGCTCTGCTTTTGCGTTCCAGCCTCTAGCAGGTGTATCCTGAGCCTGGGTGGCCAGGGAGTCTGAGAAATGTGGGTTTAAGCTTCCTGCCCACTCCCACTAAAGGAAGGTGGAGCAGAAGTTAAGTGCACCGATGGCCCACTGTCTGCCCCAGCAGTTTTTGAGTTTTAAACTGTGACGGCTAACTGCGTGAGCCAATGGTAATGCTCTCGCTTGCCCAGGCACTGTGCCTCACACCTGTAATCCCAGCACTTCGGGAGGCCAAGGCGGGAGGATTGCTTGAGCCCAGGAGTTGGAGAACAGCCTGGTAACATAATGAGACTCCATTTCTACAGAATATTTGAAAATTAGCAAGGTGTGGGTGGTTCATGCCCATAGACCTAGTGACTAGGGAGGCTGAGGTGGGAGGATTGGTTGAGCCCAGGAGCTTGAGACTGCAGTGAGCTATGATTGCCCCACTGCCCTGGGCAACAGAGCAAGACTCTGTCTCAAAAAAAAAAAAATTCTAGCTGATTTAGCAGAGGTTCTTTTGCAGTGTTGCCTTCTGTGAAACACTATTAGAAGGAATAAATGACACTGGGGCAATTGTACTATAAAATCACTTGCTTTTGTGGAATAACTTTTTGAGTGTTTGGTTTTGAATCTAGTGAAGAGTAAACCCAGTCAGAGATAAACATGCTTCTGCTGCATTGCAAACTTCTCTGTTGCCTAGTATATTTGCGTTTTCCCTCTTTTTATGTGAATTTTACATATTTTATTATGATGCCTACCCCCTAGTGTGTCCATTTTAAATACCAGAAGGTAAAATAATCACCCTGGCAAAGTGCTATATTTTGGCAGGATTTTCATCTGCTGAAAGCATATTTTTCTCCTTTTACCATCACAGCAAGATTAGTGTAACAACAAAAAGTTCTTTGTTTCTTATTTCCTTTTCAGCATAAAACAAAAAACATACTGAAGACTTTTTTTTTTTTTTTTTAACTAAAAGTACTTTTGATTTGGGACACTGAATAACCTTTTGTTAACAGCATGTTTATTTATGGAAATAAATGTCTATTTTAAAGGAAAGCTTTAAAAATGATTCAGTCTATAGATTTTGGTGTTGGTTTCCTACATTCCTTATATTGCTATTGAAGTACGAAGTATGTTACATGTATGTGCTTGATAAGAAAACACTTTTGATAAAGATATCTATGTATCTGTATGTATATAATATCTTAATTAGAAAAAGATGTAAATCTAATAACACCTGACATGAAATGGAATTATATATGAATAAGATGTAAATGTTACAAAATGTTTTGAGATTTTGAGGGGTTCTTCTGTTGTATAAAGGTCAGATTTTTTTTTTATGTCAGAATTGCAAGTGTTTTGTCTCAGGATTATTGATAAATATCCATGAAATTTTAAACACAGTTTCCAATAATAATAAAATTTGAGTCTTATAAGTACTTTTGTATACTGCTCTGAAAATTTCATTGGGCACCCTTCAAAATGGCCCATTTTGGAGGCACTGTTTTCCTGAGATAATTAGCTTTCATCCTGGCTGGATTAGTAGAGTTTTATAAATTTTCTGTGTCTCCACCGTTAGATTGTACAGTTTTCTTACAGTGTGTTATAGCAGCACAAAATAATTTTGAAGTAACAGTAAATACTTTTAATAAAGGGTTTAGATCATAACCCATTTGGTTGTGACAGAACTGCTTTTTGTATTGTTTTTTAAGAGACAGGGTCTCACTGTGTCGCTCAGGTTGGAATGCAGAGGTGCAATCATAGCTCACTGTAGCCTGGAACTTCTGGGCTCAAGTGATCTCCCACCTCAGTTTCCCAAGTAGCTGGGACTACAGGCACACGCCACCATGGCCAGCTATTTTTATTTATTTTTATTTTTTTGTGGAGACAGGATTTTGCTGTGTTGCCCAGGCTGTTTTTGAAATCCTGGGCTCAGGTGATCCTCCTTCCTTGTCCTCCCAAAGTGCTGGGATTACTGGCATGAGCCACCACACCTGGCCCTGTGTTCCTGTTGATTAGTATTGATTGATTTCCTTTGTAGACATCTGGAGAGAAAGTGGGCAAACTCAGCCTGGTGGATTTAGCTGGCAGTGAACGAGCAACGAAGACAGGCGCTGCAGGGGACAGGCTGAAGGAAGGGAGCAACATTAACAAGTAAGTGCTCTCAAAGCTTATTTTTATTGCTTTATTTATTTAATAGCCAATAGGGGAACATCTGTGGTTATTAAAATATTAAGGTGATTTGAAATTTTTTTCTGGTATTTTCAATGGGCCTGGGCCCATTTTAGGTTTTGTTGAGATGCCTGATGGGGCTGAAGAGCACAGCCTCAGTCAGGTCAGAGTTTCTCAGCAGTGGCCCTATTGCTGTTTTGGGTCAGGTAATTCTTTTCATGGGAGGGGTGATGCTGTGCTTTGTAGAGTGTCTAGCCGCATCCCTGGCTTCTCCCCACTAGATGGCGATAGTAGCTGCCGCCTCTTCCCCCACCCCCAGGTGTGTCAACCCAAACTCACTTTCAACAACCATGGCTGTTCCCTGTGGGGGCATAGTCACCCTCCAGTTGAGAACCACTGGTCTAAGCTATAGAGAGGATCAAAGCTAATTGGTCTCTCAGAGTGGAACTGTTGATCTTGACCTGTGTGTTGCTCTTTGGACAAACTTGTACTAACCACGTTGAGCTTTTCCTTTACTAAACACTGTCATGCTTGTCCAAGTCCAAGAAGCTAAGACTTTACGAAGTAATATTTTGTTTACCAGTTCCTTCATGTGGGCTCATTTTAGGTTTTGTTGAGGTGCTTGATGGGGCTGAAGAGCACAGCCTCAGTCAGGTCAGGGTTTCTCAGCAGTGGCCCTATTGCTGTTTTGGGTCAGGTAATTCTTTTCATGGGAGGGGTGATCCTGTGCTACGAATAATACGAAGTAATATTTTGTTTATCAGTTCCTTCATATGGACTTCACATTTTCTCCCTCAAGCCAAATTGTTAGCTCATTATGGGTAGGAAGTTTTTCTGTCCTTGGCTCCCAGAAGGACACATAGGAGTCATAAAGAAACCAAATGGAGATGATAAAACACTGTCACCCAGATGCTATCCTATTATTGAATCTCATATATACAATTTTTGCTTTGTACTATGGTTTAATTATTGTGTTTCTGGCTTCCTTTCTTAAAGATACATGGTTTTGGTGTTATATTGACCTGAAGATTTATAGCTCACATTTTTATGTACTACAAAATATTAGGCTAAGCATTTTTATTGCTTATAGTAGTATTGGGGGAAAATAACTATTTTGAGTTGTGTGCTTTTGAACTGAGCGGCAAAATGCTGACAGGGTGCTGCTCACATGCAGGTACAAGGGCATCTTAGTGTTCAATCTTTGTGCTAAAATGTGACATTTGATATATTTCATTTTTGTAATTATTTTGGTTTGTTGCACCATGCAGGTCCCTCACAACCCTCGGTCTGGTTATCTCAGCTCTTGCAGATCAGAGTGCTGGCAAAAACAAGAATAAATTTGTTCCATATCGTGACTCAGTTCTCACTTGGCTGCTCAAAGTAAGTTTGTTTTTTTTCCCTTCCTGGCATACTTTTGGTGGTTGGCAAGAAGGAAGAAAAAAGAGTAGACTGTTAATCCCTTCCAGGTATCATTTCCTCTATCGGTGTGCAAATGTATAATTATTAGGCTCTTATGGTAATGACATTTTTGATGGAATAAACGTAGGTTTTTTCCTAGCAATTCACATCCTAGCTTACTAGAACCTGGATGCAGTGGGGTTGCTGGACGCACACGGAATCACACGATTGCTTCTGGAGATTTAGGGGAGTAGAGAAAGGGCCTCCTGCTAATCTGACCACTGTGTGAGTCATGGAGGAGGAGCCTCCGCTGGCCTCACACTCAGCTGGGCCACCCTGGCCTTCCACAGACTCCTTTTGTTGGGCTAACATTTTGGAGCTTGTTTTCTGTTTAACTTTGGGACAGTCAGACCTTGGTTTCTGTTTAGCTTTACTCATGATGCCTTTAATTTGCTTTTGGCTTCTTAAAGATGTTGTTAGAGGCTGCAGAGTAGAGCACACAGTCATTCATTCATTCATTGATTGATTCAGTATGAACAAGAGCAATGGAAGTGAGAAAGAAGAAAGCCAATGTGCGGTGGTAGGAGAAGAACGTAGCCTCCATTTTAAAACAGAGGAAAACAGAGGGCGCTTCTTGCCCTCTCTGGCTCGTAAGGGAGATAAGATGTGCACACACAATATTAGAACATGAGTTTGTGATAGATCCATGACAGAGATGGTGATAACATGTAATAGGAGTCTGGTGAAAAAAGAGAGACTTATTTCCAGCTTCCTCTAGCCTTCCAGAGCCCCTTTAGTCTTCATAAGGTGGTGTGGTGAGTTGGATATCGGACTGGGAATTAGAGGGTATAAGTTGCAGTGACAATTTAACCCATTTATAGAGGTGTCACCTCACTAAATCCTTTAATACTCTTTTTTTTCTATTTTTAAAATGGAGAAATAATTTTATGTGCCCTGTTTAATTTTGTGATGTTTTATTTTCTTATTGATCAAGAATTTGTTGAACACCTGGCATGCGTTGCATTAGGGGTTGAAAATACTAAGATGAGTTCAACACGGGCCGCCCCAGTAGCTTAGTAGAGGACATAGTTACTGATTTAGTCCATAGCATGTTTAGAAAAAGGCCTTTGTGAAATGAAGTAGGGGTTTCTTCTGGTTTCCTCCTCCTCTCAAGAGTTAACTAGTATTCAACTTTTTAATTCAAAACTCTGCACACTATTTGAATATCTTTTGTTAAAATAAAACATTCTTTACGTAAATGTCAGTGTGTTCTCTCTTAAATGTAATGCTAAAATTCAGTAAATTTTCCACAGTAGAATATCAGGTCCATTACTTCCTTTGGCCAAAATGCAGGACTGTTAGAAATTTAAACAAAAGTGTAAACAAATCATGATAATTAAAACCGCTTGTAAAGGTTCGTCAAACAACCTCACAAACATCAGATAGTAAGAGATAATTATTAGGAACAAAATTAAAACACCTTGGCCCACCATAAAGACAATTCTAACCTTGTCTTTTAAAATAGAACATTATTATTCAGATATTGTTACTTGAATCCTGACGTCAGCTTACATAACTAAATACCTCAAGTGCTTTTACCCTAAAAAAAAAAATTTACTTTTCTTTCCTGTCTCAAACAGCATAAGAACTTCTGCTTCTGTAAGACTAACAAAAATGTTTTGTAGTTTTTTTTCTGTAATTAGAAAAACAAGCAAACTGCAAAATTCAAGACTTTGGAGGATGAATATAATTATTCTTTTTCATAAAAGCCATTAAAATCATAGAGTAAATAGGTTTCTTTAAAAAATTAGTGAACAAACTTGCAGTTATATAGGATATTAAGTCTAGAGATCAAATGGGCAGTCTAAGGACTATAGTTAATAACAGTGTATTGTATATAAAAAAATTTGCTCAAAGTATATTTTAGGTGCTCTTATCACAAAAGATAACCATGTAAGGTGATGGATGCGTTCATTTGTTTGAATGTAGTAATCAATTATATTACTATGTTTACATATATCAAACGTGCTCTATACCTTAAACATATGTATTTAAAAAATTTTTTTTTAAATCGTTTCATTACCAAATGAGTTTTTTTTTTTTTTTTGAGACGGAGCCTCGCTCTGTTGCCCAGGCTGGAGTGTAGTGGCGCAGTCTCGGCTCACTGCAACTTCCACCTCCTGGATCAAGCGATTCTTCTGCCTCAGCCTCCCGAGTAGCTGGGATTACAGGTGCGCACCGCCACACCTGGCTAATTTTTGTATTTTTAGTAGAGACAGGGTTTTGCCATGTTGACCAGGCTGGTCTTGAACTCCTGACCTCAAGTGATCCACCCGCCTCAGCCTCCTGAAGTGCCGGGATTACAGGCATGAGCCACTGCGACTGGCCAGGAATTTGTTTTTTTTAATAGAAGAAGTCTTTTTTTTTTTGGAGACAGGGTCTCTCTGTTGTCCAGGCTAGAGTGCAGTCGTGCAGTCATAACTCACTACAGTCTGGAACTCCTGGACTCAAGTGATCCTCCCACATCAGCCTCCTTTAGTAGTTGGGACTACACCACCATGCCTAGCAATTTTTTTTTTTTTTCAATTTTTAGTAGAGATGAGGTCTTGCTATGTTGCCCAGGCTGGTCTTGAACTCCTGGCCTTGAGCATCCTCCTGCCTCGGCCTCCCAAAGTGCCAGGATTACAGTTGTGAGTCACCATGCCTGGCCTGTAGAAGAAATCTTGATAAGATACTTCTTCTTCAAACTTTCCATAGAAACATTTCCTGATCATATATTGTCCTTGTTTCAGTGTTGCTACTTGAGTCCATTTAAAACAACAAATATCTTTTGTTGGCCGGGCATGGTGGCTAATGCCTATAATCCCAGCACTTTGGGAGGCCTAGGTGGGAGGATCAGCTGAGGTCAGGAGTTCGAGACCAGCTTGGCCAACATGGTGAAATCGCATCTCTACTAAAAATAACAAAATTAGCTGGGTGTGGTGGTGCATGCCTGTAATCCCAGCTACTCGGGAGATTGAGGCAGGAGAATGGCTTGAACCTGGGAGTCGGAGGTTGCAGTGAGCTGATATCATGCCATTGCATTCCAGCCTGGTGACAGAGTAAGACAACCCTCTCAAAAAAAAAAAAAAGCACCAAAAAACAAGAAATATCTTTTGTTAACTTAATCGACATAGTGAAAATGGCACGGGTAATCACTGAGTGGCTTCATTGGCCTGGAGGCCAGGAGCACCTGTTGCAGGAGTATCTGGTGCCATGCCAAGGGCTTCATGGGTATCGTCTCCTTTCCTTCTCAGAAGGGAAAGGGTGGTGTTCCCAGTGGTCAGATGACACAGAGGGTGCAGAACTAATGAATGGCAGGATCGGGATTGGAATCATCGCTGACTTGACTGTGCAGCTGTTTTTGCCAAGGCTGTGCTCTTCTTATCAAAGGTTAATTTTCATTAGAAGGATACTCACTTCATATTACCAGTCCTTGATAGAAAATAATGAAAAAAACTGTTCATAGTACTTGAACTTGAAGAATGAAACCATAACATTTTTTAAAAGGTCACTTAATCTGCTGTTTAGTTAATTTAGGTTATCATTGCAACTTTCATGTATTAAAAATAACTCATGTGTTTGCTGAATATTTGTCATTATCTTTTTCCTTAAAAATGTATGTGATTGGCTGGGCATGGTGGCTCACACCTGTAATCCCTGCACTCTGGGAGGCCGAGGCAGGCGGATCGCCAGGTCAGGAGATCGAGACCATCCTGGCTAACATGGTGAAACCTTGTCTCTACTAAAAAATACAAAAAAATTAGCCAGGCGTGGTGGCGGGCGCCTGTAGTTCCAGCTACTCGGGAGGCTGAGGCAGGAGAATGGTGTGAACCTGGGAGGAGGAGCTTGCAGTGAGCCGAGATCACGCCACTGCACTCCAGCCTGGGCGACGGAGTGAGACTCCATCTCAAAAAAAAAAAAAAAAGAAAAGAAAATATATGTGATCTGGCTGGGCATGGGGCTCACTGAGGCCTGTAATCCTAGCACTTTGGGGGGCCGAGGTGGACAGATCACCTGAGGCCAGGAGTTTGAGACCAGCCTGGCCAACATGGTGAAACCCCATCTCTACTAAAAATACAGAAATGAGCTGGGAGTAGTGGTGTGCACCTGTAATCCCAGTTACCTGGGAGGCTGAGGCAGGAGAATCGATTGTACCCAGGAGGTAGAGGTTGCAGTGAGCCAAGACCATGCCACTGCACTCCAGCCTGGGCGACAGAGTGAGACTCCATCTCAAAAAAAAAAAAAAAAGAAGAAAAAAAAATTATATGATTTTTTTTAACGTCATTTGGACTTCACAGAAGATCGTAAATAGGGGCATTTTTTTTTTTTTTCGCAAAACATGTTCCAGAGCTTAAGCAGTTTTCCCAGAGCTCTCTCCAAATTGGTTGAAATGGAGATCCTTTTCCTTTAAAGTGGGTTTTAGGTCCCTGTTGCTTTTTCCTTCTTAAATTCTTAGTCTGACTCACCCAGATCCTAGTTTGACATGGGCATACTTCCAGTATTCTTCAACATAATTTCCATTGAACTTGTACAATTGCCCATCTTCTATAACATTTTCAGTTTCACAGCGTCTTTTTTTTTCTGCCTCATATTTGCGTTGTAATTGTGTTGTGCTCTTAATGTGTGTAACATCTGAGAATGAGAGAAGCTGTGGCTTTTCTTGGTGATTTGGTCCAGAATAGATGTGAGTGCTCTTCTCCCAGGGAGGATGGAACAACCATTAAATGAGGGTTACGCATTCGCTGAGTCATCACTGGAGAACTATTTCATATTAAGATGATTTTTGGTCCTCTGAATAACCATCTAAATGTGGGCCTCTTAACGTGAAGTAACTTCTGGTAGTGAGTGCTCAGATAATGAGTATCTTTCTAATTCATCTCCCTCTTTTCGTTCCTACTGCCACCTCCCTAATGAAGGCCACTTTTCATCTGTCGCCTGGATGACAGTCGTTTCCCTCGAGCTTTCTTAGTCCAGTCCTTTCTCCATGGTTAGGTTGCAACATCTTTCTACATTAATACTTTTAACCTTCAGTCTTTTCAGTAACTGTCTATAGGCCCTTAGGATAAAGTCCAAGTTCCTTTTTTTTCTTTTTTGTATAAACAGGGTCTCACTATGTTGGCCAGGCTGGTGTTGAACTTCTGGACTCAAGTGATCCTCCTGCCTTGGCCTCCCAAAGTGTTGGGATTACAGGCGTGAGCCGCTGCGCCCAGCCACAGAGTCCAAATTCTTTAATGGCGTGTGACTTACAAGGTCCTTTATGAGCTGACCCCTTTTACTTTTTTTATTGTTCATCTTGTGCTTCTTGGTGTTACAAATTCCAGCTAAGTGATGAGTGTTGTCTTGCCTCTAGGACTTTACTCTTGTTCCACTTGGAACATGCTTTCCCCTCCCATCTCTTCAGTCTCTCCTCCCTCCTCTCCCCTCTCCCTTTACCTGGGTGATGCTTCTCTATCTTTGGGTCTCAAGTGTCACTTTCTGTGAGAGTCTTCCTTAACCTTTCAAGATTTGGCTCTCTGCTGTTTGTTTTAGACCATATTGTATTTATCTCTATCATCTTAGTCCTTGTTATATAGTATTACTTACCAGCATCCTCCCTAGTGGTGAACTCCAGGAAGAGTCGAGTGAATGAGTAATTTCAGCTCTGTTCTGAATCAGCTCTGTGACCTTTGAAAAGTCTGTCGTTTTCCTGGGTCTCACTTTCTCATCTGTAAAATGAAATAATTGGATTATATGTCTTCACAGAGTTCTTTCAGCTTTTAAAAATTCTGACTTCCAAAAGTAAATTCTTTCCTATGACTATTTAATTTGCTGTTGCCACCTTTGAAACAAACCTCATCTGATTTGCCTAAACAGTTAAAGAGTAAACAAGACACTTTCTACTTTCTCCTTGAATGAGTGCCAGTTCTTTTGTTGTGATTTCCTTTTTGCTGATGGCATGAGGTCATTTTTAACATAAGGGTATTGTTGCTCCATGAACAAGGGCTTTTAAAATATCAAGCATTTGTTGTTTGCCAGGTTTCCTTTTCTCAGCATAAATTGGAGCACAATATACATGCTTTTCTCCTTTGGTAGTTATCGTTACAAATCCCCTTTCAGCTGAGAGCATTTGCTGTTCACGTGGGCTGACAGTGTGCAGTGGTTCTCAGAGGACAATGCGATGCTGCCAGTGAACCAAATGGTGATGAGATTGAATTCCTGTGCTTTCGTTATATCACATTTGAATTTCATTCATGTTCATGGGACTCTTCATGAATTTTTTCTGGAAGTTGCCAAATCTGGAGCACCAGCTATGTGAGATTAATGTCTAGGAGTGAAGAGCAAAGCAAACAGTCATGGCTTTTACCTCCTAAAGTCCAAATTAGTTATAGTTCTTCCCATGTCATACATTAAATTATATTTTCTTCAGCAATATAATTATGTTTTCTGTGGAAAACCAAACTTTCACTGGTATATGAATAAGGGACATATTGTCTGTGATCATATTGACCTTTTAGTAACACCTTAGGAATCATTTTGTTTCTGAAACTAGGGCAAGATAATTTGGAAAGATGTCAGGTCACCTTATTTAATCTTCAGGCCTGAACTTTCTCTGTGTTACCAAATGTGTATTGTGGGCAGCTGTGGGGGAGTGGAAATCATGTTGGACTTGAAGGCAGAGTCTAACTGGGCTAGGATATTGTTCAACTTACCAGTTCTAGATTTTTAGGCAGAGTGCAAGATTTAACCTCCATTGTCCGAACAAACCTGTTTTCTCACCGATAAAACCAGGCTCTGTGATAAATCGAACTCACAAAAGGTGGAGACCTAAGTAAAGTGTGTGCACAAAGACTGGGGAAATCACAGATTGTACCAACTCATTTTCATTGTAATAAGATTGGAAAAGCCTTTTATTTTCAAAAGCAGTTTTCCATAGGTTAATGCTGCCCCAAAGTAGAGTTAGCTTTCTTATGCTCTAGTGAGTTTCCCATTACTGGCCCATTGGAGTGTTCCCTCTAATCTTGAGAGTCTGTCATTCAGTGACATTCTGTTCCTAAAAAGAGTATATTCAATCTTTTTGTTTGCTTCGATGATTTGTCTCAGCCTGGGTTGGTATCCTAATATATGAGTAGTTATCTATTGATTGTAACAGATTACCCCCAGAGGAACAGCTGCAAACAAGTCATTTATTGTCTCAGGGTTTCCATAGGTCAGGACTCCGGGTGCGTGTGGCTTAATGACGTGGCTCTAGCCGGGTTGTTTCACATGGATGTAATTAAAGTGTTGGGGATGGGGGGCTGCCGTCATCATCATCTCAAGGCATGACCGGTGTGGGGAGGTGTCTGCTCACTTACATGGTTGTCAGCAGGGTCCAGAAGATCTGCTTCCAAACTCGTGCCTGTGGGCCTCTCTTCGTAGGGCCACCTCACTTCACGGCAGCCCGTTTCCCCCAGAGTGAAAGAAAACACCCAAGACAGAAGCCACCATCTTCTTTGAATCTACCCTTAGAGGTGACATGCCATCACTTTCATTCCTTGGAGACCGATGAATAAGTCCTGGCCACCCTCAAGGGAAGCAGAGAGTACTAGGGTGTGGGCGCCAGGAGGTCGCCTGCATAGGCAGCCTTGTCTGTGGTGCAGCAGAGCGCAGTGGGCTTGATGCCCCAAGTCTTCTTTTGTGCTTGAGTTAAATCTCTATTTTTAATGTTCTCAAGTGAGGGTGGTTT
Source organism: Homo sapiens (assembly GCF_000001405.40). NCBI lineage: Eukaryota > Metazoa > Chordata > Mammalia > Primates > Hominidae > Homo > Homo sapiens. Next base: position 29,168,305 of record NC_000008.11, on the reverse strand, counting down.
TTCATTCTGTTGGAAGCCAGTCGGTCCTAAAGCCGTTTCACTGTACTTAGCAGTTTGAGTGTCATGAAGACAGTATCTCTTCTCAGGACCATTGTCTGAACGGTGGAAGTGCTTCTGTAGAACTTGCAATCTTAGTAGCTTTTGAAGTGCTATCAGAGCGAAGAAAATGAAGTTGCTTTAACATACTTTTTTGTGAGACTATAATTGTACCTTATGTTTTAAAAACTTTACAAGGTGCTTGATAGCTTGTAACAGCAACTTTCTGAGCCATTATTAGGCTTCACAGAGACTCCCAGTACAGGGGGTTGTGGAGGAGGTTGCCAAGTAAGTATCATGCTTGTTCCTCTAAGGAGGAAGATGTTGGAGGCATTTAAGGAGTCCTTTTTTATTCCGAGTAGTCTGTGTTCTTGTGGTATCATCTTGCCTATAAAATAGGGCAGATGACTTAGAATTAATTTGTGTTAAACCGAAATAAAGGTAGGTTTCATGACATTTCCCCGTCCTTTATCAAAGGCTAAAACTCCCTATTTTTAGTGCAATGGCTTGGCAGAGAAGAAACAGCACAGGACTCGAGTCCATACACCTGCATTTTAGCCCTGGCTCTGTCATTGAATGTGTTTGACCTGGGGAAATTTGTTCACCATTTTTGATTTCAGGTTTCTCATATGACGTCTTCTTCCAACTTTAATATGCTACTCAACTTTCTGTTTTCTCCTGTAGGACAGCCTCGGGGGTAACAGCAAGACCGCCATGGTGGCTACTGTGAGTCCTGCAGCTGATAACTATGATGAAACCCTCTCAACTCTGCGGTATGCAGATCGAGCCAAGCACATTGTAAACCACGCTGTGGTGAATGAGGACCCTAATGCCCGAATTATCCGGGATCTCCGGGAAGAAGTTGAGAAACTCCGGGAGCAGCTGACCAAAGCAGAGGTAGGAGGCACCACCGCGTGCGCCCTGTGAGTCCAGGAAGAGGAATCAGCCTAGAGCTTGAATTTCCTTCCCCTGGGCTGTGAGGGATGAGTACTCTACTTAAAATTTGCGAATTTCTTACAGCAAGAGAACTTTGGGATGAGTAATAAATAAAGGAAGGTTGTCATATTAGAATTCCAAAGAGGTTTTACAGATGTTAAAAAGATTGAACAGGAGCAAATAGAATTGAGAAAATGTTTGCATTTCTATTCAGGCGGCAGACAAAAGAGAGAGGTATAATAGAATAGGAGAGGAAGAGAGATGCTGGAGACCATGTGTATGTAATTTTAATTTTTGTGCAGAAAATGATGGAGAGCAGGATTTTTGTTGAATCTCATTTGTTACCTGGTAGAAGTCGGAATGAAAATCTTGAGTCTTCTACACCTTCATAATCTAGCTTTTCCATGTTGTGGATTAATTACGTTTGTAGAAAATATTTTGTAGTAGAAGTACCCATGTATTTAGTGGTACTCTATTACAGCTGTTTTCTGTGTATTCTGTAATGGATAATGTTGCATTAATAAATTTGAAAACCTACCAACTCTGACCTGCAATCCCAAGTGCTCATCTTCTTGGGAAAGTGGAATGAAATATTAGATTCAGGATTCCTACTTTTTTTTTTTTTTTTTGAGGTGGAGTTTCACTCTTGTTGCCCACGCTGGAGTGCAATGGTGTGATCTCAGCTCACTGCAACCTCTGCCTCCTGGGTTCAAGTGATTCCCCTGCCTCAGCCTCCTGAGTAGCTGGGATTACAGGCGCACGCCACCACGCCCAGCTAATTTTGTAGTTTTTATAGAGACAGGGTTTCTCCATGTTGGTCAGGCTGGTCTTGAACTTGAACTCCTGACCTCAGGTGATACGCCCGCCTCGGCCTCCCAAAGTGCTGGGATTACAGGCGTGAGCCACCGTGCTCGGCCAGGATTCCTACTTTCATTAGCATTTCTCTTCCCACAGTTACTCAGCACTGTGGGGCTCTTTCTGGAGTTTGCTTTCTTTCTCATACCTGTTTTCTGGGAATAAATCAGTAAGAGACATGGTCAGGATGATTATCTTGATCGTATTTTTACCTGTTGAATTTTATCCTGTTTTTATAGGAATAATTTTATAGTCCATGAAGACTGTTGTCTCCTTGGTGTTAATAACACCATCCAGTCTGCAACATGTACACATTTAGTCTGTACATATGTGGATAAATTCCTGAAGTCATCAATAAGGGCTAGAATGAATCATGTGTCTGAGTCTAGATGTATAACCTATTAGGATTTTAAAGATAAACCCTTAGAAGCTTTACATTTTTGCATCCTTAAATGTAATTATATCTTCACAATAGAGTGTCAGAAAAGGAAAAAGCCTTCTTTTTGGGCATATTTTGGATAACTCAATGAGTTTGTGGTCCTCAGACAATCGAGGTACTTCGATCTACAATCGAAGTAGATGTCAGACCTCAGCGTGACATTCAGCCATGAGGAGGCAGATTGTTACTTTTGTCCTTTTAGAGTTGGCCACTTCTTTTTCCAGGGCATCTTCTAGACATTTCATGAAGTAAACATTTTGCTTGTAGGCAATGAAATCTCCAGAGCTAAAGGACCGGCTGGAAGAATCTGAGAAGCTAATCCAGGAAATGACTGTGACCTGGGAGGAGAAATTAAGGAAAACGGAGGAGATTGCACAGGTTCGTGTTTCCTGATGATGAAGCGCATGAAACCTCATGGCAGTTTGCACAATGGGACACATGGTGTTTCTGGTTCCTTTTTGATCTTCAGCTTGGCTGATGGCAAATCTCACACTATCATTAGGAATCTAGATCTGAAAGAATCTATACTTTGCAAAATTAATTTGAAGGATAAACAGGATATAATTGCACTTGATTGTTTATGTAAGAAATAATTTTTTAGTATCAGTAATCTTTAAAAAAAATTTAATGAAATAACTCCTTTGTAGCCCCTGGCTCTTAACACCGCATTCTATTAAGTGCTTTGGAGACCTAAGGAACTTCCTGAAATTACAAAATTACTCCATCTAGTGCATGTGGCCAAGAAAAAAAAATACTGCTAATAGATATTAGGCCATGAACTTCTTGGTTCCATGTGAAAACCCAGTGAAAGTAAGATGAAATTCCTAAATCTGAGGTGACTGTCTCTCACCATTTTCTAGTGACAGTGATAGTTATGAAATCGTAGGGTGGTGGCTGGGTGTGATGGCTCACACATGTAATCCCAGCATTTTGGAAGGCCAAGACAGGTGGATCACCTGAGGTCAGGAGTTTGAGCCCAGCCTGGCTAACATGTCAAAACCCTGTTTCTACCAAAAACACAAAAATTAGCTAGGCGTGGTGGCACACACCTGTAGTCTCAGCTACTTGGGAGGCTGAGGCACAAGAATCGCTTGAACCCGGGAGGTGGAGATTGGAGTGAACTGAGATCGTGCCACTGCACTCCAGCCTGGGTGACAGAGCAAGACTCCATCTAAAAAAAAAAAAAAACACGTTAGGGTAGGAACATTAGAATTCGTCTAGGAAGATCTAGTTAAGTTTAGCATTGGGAGAAAAAGTCTGTCTACCTAATAATAGATTTACACTGTAGCTTTCCTGTTTCATGATTTTCCAACTGTTTTAGAAATACATATGGTAATGTGGAGCTCAGGACCCCATCTAACAGGCTTTTCATAATCAGACAACTCCAGTAGTAGCGATTGAATCAGTCTTTTATTCTTTTACTTCTACTCACTGGCCCTAGTTTGTTCTTTTGTAGCTAAGAGCGTTAAGTGTCCCACCCAAACACAGTAACTGGTGATGGCAGTAACAGCCAGCGTTTATTGGATACACTTATGTATTGAGCCCTATGCTAAGCACTTTTAACTACAGAACTTGATGTAATCCTCTCAGTAGTCTAACAAGATAGGGACTGTTACTACCCAAGTTGTTCATCTATTTAAAGTCATCTCTCTGCCTCTTCCTCTTCCTTTTCTAAGTTAAAATTCCCTGTTGTTTTTAACTGTTCCTTGTATTAGAGAATATATAGAACTTGCTCAATCTGTTTTCACTCAGTAGATTCCATCTTGAAATGTGCTGTCCAGAATCAATCTGTGTATCAGATGTTGTAGGATGATACTGTTGTTACTTAGCATAAAGTGGATGTTATATTAGCACAGACTGGGATTAAAATAGATTTTAAAAACATTTTTATTGCAGACATTTTCAAAGTAGATAAAAATTAGAGAAGAGTATACTAAATCTATAGGTACCCATCACCTGGTTTCATTAAAGATCAGCATATGGCCAGTGTTGTTTTTGTGTCCCTGCATTGGCTTATCTTAAAGCATATCCCTAAAATTATAGAGAAGAGATCAGTGTATAAACTATTTCTCATTACATATCTCCCTGTGTTTTTTATAAATTATAAGTCATTCTAATAATTGTCCCATTTGGAAGCTACTTTGTGTGAGCCATTCTGAGCTGCTCCAACAGTAAACATTTGTTGTCATGAGTCATTGTGCTGATAGAAAACAGGGCAAGTCTAAGTGAGCCTACATCTTGGGGAGCTTAGTGTTGGCACCTTTTCTTTTCCTCTCTCAGGGGTCCCTTCTGGGGGCACTGCCTGATTTTATTCAACAGCTCCTTCAATGCCTTAACCTTCCAGAGCTCCCAGGCTTTAGTGCTGTTGAATGTTTTTCTTTTCTCATTGAAGAAACCTGGTCTCTTGATCACTTACTTCTTCCTAATCCAAACTGATATCTTTCAAAATCTATTTCTGACAGTAGAGCTACAAAGTGTTAATAAGTCTTCTGGAAGATGACTTGAGACATGTCAGTTGACATGGTCCATGGTCAGATAAATTTGGCAATTTCCGGGCAAACTGAATTCAATGAATTTCTTTTTTGAAGGACTTCTCACGTCATTCTGGGGGCAGTTGCAAGTTAGCTGGGTTCTCCATGGGTCCTCTGGGCTCTGTAACATCTTCCTGTGGGGTGCAAGCCCTCGGATGGCCCTACCACAGAATTCTCTGCAGCCTCTGCACCCTTTGACCCTTACATCATCCAATACTTCACCATTGTTTAATTGTTATGTATAGTTTTAGTCCCTGTTGAGTTTGTAAGTTCTTAAGAAAAAAGACTGTATCTTTTAGTGTTGTATGCTCAGTAATATTTTTGCATAGAAAGAACTCAAGATGAGTATTTTCTAATTCCAGTGCCATATCTGCTATACCACATTGTCCCTTATTTTTATCTTTTATGTTCCCATTAAAAGATACACACTTAAGTGAAATCAAAACCTTGAGATAGATCAGGGGTTGACAGACAATGCATGTGATTTAAACCTGGTCTGCCACTTGCTTTTGTAAATTTTTTTGTCATATAGCTGTGCTCATTTGTTTATGTATTATGTATGGCTTCGGCAGCAGGAATGAATAAGACAGAGACCCCATGGCCCACAAAGACTAAATATTTACTATCCGACATTTTATAGGAAAAGTTAACCAACCCCTGATATCAGAAGCAATATTTGATGATATCAGTAAACTGTATTTTATCATATAGTACTTTGTTATGAGCTGATTCCTAGATGTTACAAACATTTGTAATTTTTTTAGATGATTTAAAACTTTAGTTTTTGGTGGCAAACGGAATAATGAATTGACAGTTTTCCACCATTGTGCCTCTTTCGGCTTTGACAAAAATTTTGTAGCGTTTTTACCATTATAGAATCTCAAATGACAGAAATATGCACAGGGAAGTAGTGTAAAACAGTGATAACTAGGATAACTTAGAGAAAGGTATAGTTAGTTACCTCATCTTATGGACATGAGTCTTTTTCAAGGAGAATCACTTCTTGGAATTGAGTGCAGAAAACTCTGATGGTTAGCATTAAATGACTCAAAACTTCTGAAAGAACCCTGTAGTTCTTTTTGTTAGAACTGGATTTAAAGACTTGATTTGAAGACCCAGGACCAAAATACACATTTCAATTTTGTGGTAGTATACTTCTAGGCAGGATATATTGGCTGAGTTGCAGTGATTGTATAAATTACGATGGCATGCCTAGAAATAGCAAAATTGTGAAACTTTATTTTAATTATGCTGCGAACTTACTTTGTGGCTGTAGTTAAATGACTTAGTTTGTCTTGCCTTTCCCCAGAATCAGAGGTCTTGGGTGATTGACTCATTGCTACTTGCTATTTACCCATAGTCGAAGATACCCTCTCCAGCCCCGACTGTACCCTAACTACAGAGCATCTGGTTGTGAGATCCATGCCCATATCCTTACGATGTACAGATGTTCATATATTGTATGGGTTCAGAGGCAGGCACAAAAAAGGAAAGGCCCGTGTTATGAAAATAACGCTTGAGTGCATATGCAAATTTGTTTGTTTTTGGATAAATTCACCACACTGATGTTTTGAGTGCTCACCATGTGTCCTTCACTGTGCTAAGTGCTGGGAACACAACAGTATATAAGATAGGATCCATACCCACACAGCACACAGTCCTGTGTGAGAGAAATGGCCCGGTGAACAGTTACGAAGTAGAACACGTCTGCTCCAGATAGAAAAAAGAGGTATAAAATCTTTTCAGCTAACGAGAACACAGAGAACGTTTGTTTTGTTTGTTTGTTTTTTGTTTTTTTTTGGGGGGGGGTTTTGAGATGGAGTCTTTCTCTGTCGCCCAGGCTGGAGTACAATGGCATGATCTCGGCTCACCACAACCTCCACCTCCCGGGTTCAAGTGATTCTCCTGCCTCACCTTCCCGAGTAGCTGGGATTACAGGCACCTGCTGCCACAGCTGGCTAATTTTTATATTTTTAGTAGAGATGGGGTTTCACCAGGCTGGTCTTGAACGCCTGACCTCAAGTGATCTGCCTGCCTTGGCCTCCCACAGTGCTGGGATTACAGGCATGAGCCACCACACCCAGCCCAGAGAACATTCTTAGCACTCTCAAGGACCTGGAACTTGTTTCATGCAGTGCTGGGTTTGACAGGAGTGAGAAGACATGAAGCCAGAGGGGAAGCAGGCCAGGTTGAAGGGCCTTGTGATCCTTACTGAGGGAGTTTGGCCTTTATCCTGATGGGGAGGTCACTGAAGATGTCAAGCAGGAGAGTTTATTGATCCTCCTTTGCTTTTAAGAAGGATCCCGGTTGAGGAAAGTGCACACACTTTTGCTTTTATATATACAGAGTTAAATGAGATGAATTCAAGACATCAGATATTTTCAAGAATGAAAACTGAGAATCACTAGTACAATTAGTTACTATATGTAATAGACTTTATTTTTCAAAATAAAATTAGAATTAACAAAAAAATCATATAGTTTGGAAAGAGAAAAATGCAATAAATCTATAATGCCATAGCCTAAGAGAATGTATTTGAATTACAACACTATTGAATAATTGTAACATTGTAATGTAAACGCTTGGATATCTCACTGCCTCAATAGCTGTGAAATTAATACTTCTCTGATAACATTTACAGGAACGACAGAAACAGCTTGAGAGTCTTGGAATATCTCTTCAGTCTTCGGGAATCAAAGTTGGGGATGATAAATGCTTCCTTGTGAATCTGAATGCTGACCCAGCTCTGAATGAGCTTCTGGTGTACTATTTAAAGGTGAAGTAATGTGCTTTGCTACTAGATTCTTGTTACAAAATAGGACAATATTTCACAGTACTTTAGTAAACTTGGGGAACCATGCTTACTCAGAAAACAGCAAAAAGTTATAGAACCATCTTGGGTTTCTGGACTCAGTTTTCTTTTTTAGTCTTTGATGCCATTCAACCTGACAATATAAAAAAATGATACTCTGATATTATTTCCAACAAGTCAAATACCTTACCTACCATTATTTAACGTGATTTGTATCAGGGAATTAAGTAGATAACTTTAAAAATGGATGACTTTGAAGACTAAATGATTCATTTAGTAAGTATACGAAAGCTTTTATGGTTTATGTGAAGCACATTCTTTTGTGAGCAGTGTGTTAGCTCACAAGAAAAAAATGTATAAATAAAGTTCTTAGGACCAGTTGGTATGAAATTTATGTTTCCAGTAACTCTTAGGAAAAATTAAAAATTTGGGTTATCAATCTATTAAAAGAGAGAGAGTATAGGTTATTTAGAGACTCAGTGAGTCAGAGCACAGAACAGAAAAGAAGACAAATATTGGTATCCACTGAAATCTATAAATCATGGGATATATTAGTAAGATAAGAGACAACTTCAGAATAAGTCTGAACCCTGAGACACCACACAGATTCGAGGAGTGCCCAGAATGGGCTGTGTCAAGCCCAGAGCACAAATTACTTATCATATATGATGGACTACACGACTCTAACACAGAGTTGATAACTGTTGGCACACAGTTTCTTTCCCCTCACATGTGTGGGTTTAATGAACATGACCAGGAAAGTAAAGCTAACAGGCTGACTATGTGGGAAACAGCTCTAAGAGAATTGTGTGGTTTCATTTCAGAAAAGCCTGGAGAGATCCTGGGTCAGTGACTCTGTGTCATTTTGAGAAGCCCTGTTGTTAATAAGTATCTTATATGATGTATTGTCATGCTGTGAGTTAGGCTGTGTCTTTGATGCATACCTTCATATGTGCATGTCTCAAGTGTTGTGGTTCAGTGGCGGCAAAGCTGGGGTAGGAGGGAGTGACCTGTCTCTCTAGTCTACGGCCAAGCCCTTTGCCCCCTCTAGTCTAATTCCTTTGTAAATGGAGGGAAGGTCTCTGGCTACTTTGCCAGGTTCCTGTGAGGGTTGGAGATACAGAAGTACTTCGTAAACAGAAGCACTATACAAATAGAAAAGATCCCACATTCCACTTTTTTGTTTGATACCTGTATGGTTTCTTATACACATATTATCCTTGCCTATTAAAAAATGATATATTATTGGCTGGGCGTGGTGGCTCACACCTGTAATCCCAGCACTTTGGGAGGCTGAGGCGGGCAGATCACTTGAGGTCAGGAGTTCAAGACCAGCCTGGCCAACATGATGAAACTCCGTCTCTACTAAAAATATAAAAATTAGCCGGGGTGGTGGTACATGCCTGTAGTCCCAGCTACTTGAGAGGTTGAGGCAGGCCAATCGCTTGAACCTAAGAGGTGGAGGTTGCAGTGAGCTGAGATCATGCCACTGCATCCCAGCCTGGGCAACAGAGCAAGACTCTGTTTCAAAAAAAAAATGTATTATCACATTACTTACTTTGCTTCTGAACAGTGCTGGTAGCATTCTGAGTTAGGATGTCAGCTGGGGATATTCATATGAATGTGACCGGGAAAGTAAAGCTAACGAGCTGACTACGTGGGAAGAGATGCGATGTTAGAATAGGACCTAAATATTCTGTCCTTTTCTCAGAACCAGACATTCTTTTTCTTTGCATTGTACTGTAGTTCAAATTGGTACACACAAACACACATATCAAGAAAAAACTCTGATTCATATCTGCTCCTTAACTAAAAACGTAAACAAAGAAGCTGTTTAAAGATGTTTGGAGAGTCATCAAAGTTTCTGGTCATCTTGTGTGGAGGTGTTTGGGTTGTGTTTCAGACTGTGTGGCCAGCCCTGTTTGGCCAAGTCTGAGGCAGTGTTGATTTCTTGATCGCCCAAGCTAACCCCACAGCAAGCATATCTTCAAGACAAAGCACATTCAAAAGGATGATCTCAGTCCAAGAACAGTTTTATGGTGGAATTTGGAGGCTGAGCATTATTCATTACTTTGCCTTCCAATTCAAAAGTCAATTTAGATGCTGGGCAGATGAATTCACGTCTCTGGATGACTTCAGCCACTCCATGTGTAAGTGAAGGCATTGGATTAAAACATCTCCAAAGTTCTTTCTAGTTCCAGCTGTACAGTTCTCTTAGTCTTCTAGAATATAACACCCCCTTTATTTATCCTGGAATTCTTTATAGTAGCATACTTCAGAATCATTATACCCATCTATCAATAAAGAGACTGAGATGCTATCCCTGCTTAACTTTATCTTATTTTGATTACCTGGGCACACAAAAGGAAATGATTGTGCATTTATTTTTATATTTTTTTAATGCCTACATATGCCAGGCCTTTGTTAAGTGCTTGGAATACAAGATGGACAGTAAACCCACAGTCAGTCAGTGTCATGGAAGGAGTTAAAATAGGGCAGGATGACAGTGGCTTTTTCCAATTGTGAGCTCAGGAAGCACCTCTCTGAGGATGTGACTTTAAAAGCTGAGATAGAAACGGTAAGAAATGACCCATGTCAGGATCAGGGGAAGAACATTTCAGACGGAGGAAACAGCTAGTAAAAGGCAGTAGGATGGAAATAGGCTCAGTGTGCTCAAAGAACAGATGGGAGGCCGATGTAGCTGGCACATGCTCTGTGAGGGGAAGATGGTGAGTGTGAGGGTCAGAGACAGGCAGGGACAGGTTGTAGAATGCTTTGTAAGCCCGGGTAAGAATTTGGGCTTTATTGGAAGTTCAAAGAGAAGCCACTAGAAGGTTTTATTCTTACTTTTTTTTTTTTTTTTTTTGAGGCAGGGTCTTGTTCTGTCACCCAGGTGAGAGTGCAGTGGTACGATTATGGCTTATTGCAGCCTCAATCTCCTGGGCTCAAGTAATCTTCCTGCCTCATTTTTATATTTATTTATTTATTTATTGAGACGGAGTCTTGCTCTTTCGCCCAGGCTGGAGTGCAGTGGCACGATCTCAGCTCACTGCAACCTCCACCTCCCAGGTTCAAGCCACTCTCCTGCCTCAGCCTCCCGAGTAGCTATGATTATAGGCATGTGCCACCACACCTGGCTAATTTTTTTGTATTCTTAGTAGAGACAAGGTTTCACCATGTTGGCCAGGCTGGGCTTGAACTCCTGACTTTGAGTGATCCACCCACCTCAGCCTCCCAAAGTGCTGGGATCACAGGTATGAGCCACCGCACCTGGCCACAATTTTTTTTTTTTTTTTTTTTTTTTGGTAGAGACGAGGTCTCACTGTGTTGCCCGGGCTGGTCTTGATCTCCTAGGTTCAAGCGATTCTCCTGCCTTGGCTTCCCAAATTGCTGGGATTACAGGTGTAAGCTACCATGCCCACTCTTAGAAGGTTTTAAATAGGGGATGGTGTGACCAGCTGTTGTGGCAGGAGTGGAAGGGAGTGGCATGCAATGGAGACACAGTAGGAAGCTCCTGTATCCACAGGCAAGAGATCCTGGAGGCTGAATCTAGGATGTAGTCATGGAGGTGGGGATCACAAGCTTATTCTTGATAGACCTTGGAGGAAAAATCTGTAAGGTTTTCCCTGATTGACATGGGGTGGGTATGGGCTTGTAAGAGAAAGAAAGAGGACTCAAGAATTATATCTAAGCTTTTCAGTTGACTGACTGGTGGTGGTAGTGCCATCCATTATTATTGGAGAAGGAAATAGACTTCTGTTGGGTTAGGGGAGATGGGAACAAGAGTTTAGCTTTGGCGCTTATTCCATTTGATATATCTTCAGACATCCAAGTTGTGTCAAGTAGGCTGAGTAGGCAGAAAATAATAGTGGCTGAGGCTGGGCACAGTCGCTCACACATGTCATCCCAGTACTTCAGGAGGGTGAAGTGGAAGGATTGCTTGAGCCCAGGAGTTTGAGATCAACCTGAGCAACATAGTGAGACCCTGTCTCTACAAAAAAAAAAAAAAAAAAAAAATTAGTTGGTCAAGGTGGTGCCTGCCTGTGATCTCAGCTACTCAGAGGCTGAGACAGGAAGATTGCTTGAGCCCAAGAAGGTGAGGTTTAGTGAGCATGGATAGTGTCTCTGCACTCCAGCCTGGGTGACAGAAAAAGACCCTGTCTCAAAAATAAATAAATAAATAAAAAATAAGTGACTAAGACTGCGATAGTGGTTGTGGAGGTGGGGAAAAAAACGGAACTAAAGTATGTAGCTCTAGGGTGGTGATAGAGATGTAGTTTATTTGTAGATGGCATTTAAAACCATGGGAGTAGGTGAGTTAGTCTAGGTCAGGGTCAACCAACTGCTTTTCACAGGCCAAATCTCGCTCCCTTCCTGTTTTTGTTTCAACCATGCCTGGCTTCATTTGCTTTTAAAAAATCTTTTAGGCCAGGCATGGTGACTCACACCTGTAATCCCAGCACTTTGAGAGGCCAAGACAGGTGGATCACTTGAGGTCAGGAGTTTGAGACCAGCCTGGCCAACATGGTGAAACCCTGTCTGTACTAAAAATACAAAAAAATGAGCTGGGCATGGTGGTGCATGCCTGTAATCCCAGCTACTCGGGTGGCTGAGGCAGGAGAATCGCTTGAACCTGGGAGGCGGAGGTTGCAGTGAGCTGAGATTGCACCATTGCCTTCCAGCATGGGGGATAGAGCAAGACTCTGTCTCAAAAATAAAATAAAAATAAAAAAAATTTTCGCAAAGGTAATAGGACAATATAAGAGGGCTCAGTGTAAATGATTTCAATTGTGTATATGTAAGAATACAGTATTAATCAGTGAATTTGGTTTTTTCTTAGGAACATACATTGATAGGGTCAGCAAATTCCCAAGATATCCAACTGTGCGGCATGGGAATTCTTCCTGAACACTGTATTATAGACATCACGTCAGAAGGCCAGGTTATGCTGACTCCTCAGAAGAACACCAGGTAACATACTTGAATTAGTGTTCATATCACAAGAGTTTTTCAGAGGAAGAAAGTACTCTAGTGGCAACAGTGGCCTTTGTTGCTTTTAAGTTGACCACATTAAGTAATCCAGTTGGTTGGGCGGGCCCCTTACATTTAGCTTTAATGCCTCTCACACCCATTCCTTCCTCTCTATACCCACTGCCATGGCCTTACGTATTTAGGCCCTCATCAAGTCTTGATCAGAGCCCCTGCCAACACCACGAGCTGCCTCCTGGTTCACTCACCACAGCCCTAGAAGGCTTTCCTCTGTTTGTGACAGAAAATCCCTTATAACCCCCCAGTTTATCTCCTCCTCCTCAGCACCTGCCAATCCTTTGACCTGCTAACTCCTGTTGGGTCTGCAGGGTTAAGTGCTGCCATGTTCTCCTGTGGGGAGTCACTGTTTGGTCTGAATGCACTGCCCTTAAGAGGTATCGGACCATCGCCCTGTTGTGGCAGTGCTTCTTAGTGTCTGCCTGTGGGCTGTGAACCCTTATTACCCCATTAGACCATGAGCTGCTTGAGGACAAGGGCCTTTCTTTTTTTGATTCTCCATTCCTGGCGCATAATATGAGACTAGTACACAGGAACTTAATACACCATGGAGGAATGAAGGGGCTCCAAATTTTATGAATGGCACGTTTGTCACTTTGTTTCCTTCAGCTATAGAGCTGTTATCCCCTGTTACAGAGTTGGAAGTATAACAGTCTGTAACTGTTAGAGACAGTGGTTAACTGAATTATGTTGACCTTTCAAATGCTAATTTGTTTCATTTTATGATGTCAAAAAATCATTAATATCACTGATTTTATCCATAAAGTCTTCAAGTATTGAGACTATCAAGCTCTGGGGAAGGATCAAGTGAGAAAACAGGAGCAGAAGCTGGTGTGGCCCTCACAGCTGTGTTGTGCTGTTCTCTAATGAGGCCATAAATAATCACACAGAACCCCAGCCTCAGGCAAGGGTTCTCCAAGACCAGGATGCAATAAGACAGAGCAGGCCACGTCATCGTTGCGTTTAAGTGCAGATGAAAACATGGTCACTGTGCCACCCAAAGAATACCCTTCTCTGAACCAGTATGAGTGACTGCTACTTCTTCACCAGTTGCAGCGTTATTCTGTTCTAGCCTGAACCCATGGATACGATTTTGTGAAATACCCATTCATACGATTACTCCCACTTTCTGACAGTACCCAGCATATGTGGAACCCCTGCGTTCTTAAATTCTGTCTGAAGTCATCCACCCAGAGCCAAAATCTTACAACAGTTTCTTTCTCACACCGGCTCCCTGCCTCCCCTCCCCTCTTCCCCTCTGCCCTCTTCTGTGCCTCACTTCCTCCTCTCCCCTTCCCTTCTCCCGATCCCTTCCCTCCTTTCCTTCCCTCTTCTTGACAGGGCCTTATTCTGTCACCCAGGCTGTAGTGCAGTGGTGCAATCATAGCTCACTGCAGCCTCCAAGTTCTGAGCTCAAATGATCCTCCCACCTCGTCCTGCTGAGTAGCTGGGACTACAGGTGCGTGTTACCACACCCACCTAATCTTTTAAAAACTTAGTTTTGTAGATACAGGGTTTTGATATGTTGCCCAGATTGGCCTTAAACTTCTGGGCTCAAATGATCCTCCCTCCTTGACCTCACAAAGTGCTGGATTACAGGCATAAACTACTGTGCCTCGCCAAGATCCAGTTACTTTTAGTGTGTAAAAACCTGCATCATGAAAGAAATCTAGATAGGAAATAAAATTTTGCATGTATGCATACACATAAATCACGAATACTATATCACCAGGTAAATGCTCCATAGCTTTACAGAGTTTAAAGAAACTAAAATACTGTAGGTTGAGGTGATTGGCATCTCTTACAGAGGAAGTAGAAACCCAGCTGGGCTTGGATTACAGAGTAAGAGTAGGAGGATGAGAGGAATGGGAACCTTTCTCCAGGTTGTAGGACTGATAGAAGCCTGGATTTGGAGGAAGAGTTGATCATGTGTAGTGTACAGAAAATAAGCCTTTTCTTTTTTTTTTTTTGGCAGGAGTTAAGAGGCCTTCCTTGTGGGAGGAAGAGCCTTTAATGTAAAGTTAAAAAAATTGTACTTGATATCCTGTATCTTAATAAACGAGTCCTTCAGCAGGAGAGGGGCATGATGACACTGGTGTCCCAGGAATATCAGTGTTACCATGCTGTGCATACTCTTAATTATTTCCCGCCCTTCCAAATTCTTCCCTTAGTGGTATTCTACCCACCACTTCTGTTGAATGCCATTTTCATGATAAGCAGCACAGTGGAACTGGTAAATTTTCCTTATATTGATAGGATGTGATCATTTTCCTTGCTATGGGAAGTTACCGAAGACTTTAATATAGGTCTCATTTCTCATTACTGATATCAGGAGATGTTTGTAGAGTCTGGTTGTTTGGTTATTTTCATTCACGTAGATTGGACATATTTGTTTTTGTTGTATATTGCTACCATCTTTTCATTATTGGCTGTAATGGTTCCCTCTTTACTCCTTAATATACTGTGGAACAAATTTAGAACTTTTAAAAATGGAGGTTATTTATTGATCTCTAATACTTCATACCATAAGCATCTTAAGTAACTACATAGCACTTGGAACTTTGAAAAATGGGGGATAATAATCTATTATACAGGCATACGTTGGAGACTTTGCAGGTTCGGACTTCCACAATGAAGCAAATATCATAGTAAAGCAAGTCACACAAATTTTTGATTCCCCAGTGCATATATAAGTTAGGTTTATACTATAGTCTACTAATTGTGCAATAACATTATATCTTAATATATATTCCTTAACTTAAAAATACTTTGCGGCTAGGTGCGGTGGCTCACGCCTGTAATCCCAGCACTTTGAGAGGCTGAGGTGGGCGGATTACTTGAGGTCAGGAGTTCATGACTAGCCTGACCAACATGGCAAGACCCTGTCTCTACTAGCCAATAATCCCAGCTACTCGAGAGGTTGAGGCAGGAGCATCGCCTGAACCTGGGAGGCAGAGGTTTCAGTGAACCGAGATTACACCACTACACCCCAGCCTGGGTGACAGAGAGCAAGACTGTGTCTCAAAAAAAATTTTTTTTTAATTAAAACTCTGTTGCTAAAAAATCACTGGAGCCTTCAGCAGGGGGTAGCCTTTCTGCTGCAGGAAGGTCTTGCCTCCATGTTGGTGGCTGCTCACTGATCAAGGTGGTAGTTTTGCTGAAGGTTGGGATGGCTGTGGCAATTTCTTAAAATGTGACAACAGTGAAATTTGCCACATTGATTGACTTTTTCTTTCAAGAACGATTTCTCTGTAGCCTGTGTTGCTGTTTGGTAGTATTTTACCCACGGTAGAACTTTTCAAAATTGGAATCAGTTTTCTTCGACCCTGACACTGCTTTATCAACTAAGTTTCTGGAATATTCTAAACCCTCTGTTGTCATTTCAGCAATGTTCACAGCATCTTCACCAGGAGTAGATTCCATCTCAAGAAACCACTTTCTTTGCTTATTCATAAGAATCAACTTACCCACTAATGTTTTGTCTTGAGGTCACAGCAGTTCAGCCACATCTTCAGTCTCCACTTCTTATTCATGTCTCTTGCTATTTCCACCACACCTGCAGTTACTTCCTCCCCTAAAGTCTTGAACCCCCCGAAGGCATCCATGATGATTGGACTCCTTCCAAATTCCTTGTTAATGTTGATATTTTTACTTCCTCCTCTGAATAACAAATGTTCTTAATGGCATCTTAGAATGGCGAATCCTTTCCAGAAGGTTTTTAACTTACTTTGCCAAGATCCATTAGAAGAATCACTGTCTATAGCAGCTATAGCCTTATGAAATGTATTTTTTAAATGATAAGACTTGAAAGTGAAAATTCTTGATCCATGGGCTGCAGAGTGGATGTTGTGTTATCAGGCATGAAAACAACATTCATATCCTTGTACATCTCCATCAGAGCTCTTGGGTGATCAGGTGCATTATCAATGAGCAGTAATATTTTGGAAGGAATCTTCTGAGCATTAGGTCTCAACAGTGGGCTTAAAATATTCAGCAAACTGTGATGTAAACAGACGTACTGTCATCCAGGCTTTGTTCCATTTACAGAGCACAGGCAGAGCTGATTTAGCATAATTCTTAAGGGCCCTAGGATTTTCAGAATGGTCAGTAAGCATTGGCATCAACTTAAAAGTCACCAGCTACATTAGCCCCTAAGAGAATCAGCCTGCCATTGAAGCTTTGAAGCCAGGCATTGACTTCTCTTCTCTAGCTAAGAAAGTTCGAGATGACATCTTCTTCCAGTAGAAGTCTGTTTCATCTACATCAAAAATCTCATCAGTGATCTTGCTGCAGCTTCTCCATCAGCACTTGCTGCTTCACCTTGCACTTTTATGTTACAGAGGTGGCTTCTTTCCTTAAACCTCATGAACCGACCTCTGCTAGCTTCCAACTTTTCTTCTGTTGCTTCCTCACTTCTCCCAGTTCATAGAATTAAAGAGAGTTAGGACCTTGCTCTGGGTTAGGGTTTGGTTGAGGGAATATTGTGGCTGGGTTGATTTTCCATCCAGACCACTGAACTTTCTCCATATCAGCAGGAAGACTGTTCAGCCTTATCATTCATGTAGTCGCTGGAGAAGCACCTTTAATTTCCTTCAAGAGCTTTTCATGTGCACTCACAGCTTGGCCAACTGTTGGTACAGGAGGCCTGGCTTTTCGTCCTGTCTTGGTTTTCGATGTGATTCCTCACTGAGCTTAATTATTTCCACCTTTTGAGAGATGTGTGACTCTTTCTTTTACTTAAACAGTTAGAGGTTATTGTAGTTATTAATTAGCCTAATTTCAATATGGTTGTGTCTCGGGGAATAAAGAGACCCGAGGAGAGGGAGAGAGTCAAAACCCATACTACATTTACTAAATTTACCATTTTACATGGGTGCAGTTCACGATGTTCCAAAAACAATTAGAGAGGTGAGGTCAGAGGTCCCTTATCACAGACCTCCATGACAGACGTGAAGTGAGCACGTGCTGTTTGAAAAGTATCTCCTGTAGCCTTGCTTAACATAGGATAGCGTTTGTAAAAAATGTGATATCTGCAAAGCACAATAAAGCAAAGCGCAGTAAAATGAGATGTGCCTGTGCTTTGTACCATAAACATTTTAGGTGAATCAGCAAAGGAGTAAATGCAAATATTAAAATTCACCAAGAACAGGTTGTGTTTGGGGGAATTATTGTTTTCCCTAGTAACTATATCTCTATGTTATTGGGAAATTAAAGCAGAAGACATGATACTGTACTCATCATTCACGTTTGATCTCTTCTCCTTACAGAACATTTGTAAATGGGTCATCTGTCTCCAGTCCAATACAGCTACACCATGGGGACAGGATATTATGGGGAAACAATCATTTCTTCAGGTATGATGTTGTTCATGTCCCTTAAAGAGATTGTTGAAGATTGTGCTCTGAAATAGAAAATACATGTTAAAAAGTAAACCTTTCTCTACAACAATTATGTTATTGTGTGTGTACGTATATATTTGCTGCATGTGTATTATATATGTGTGTGTGTGTTCATTCACTGTATATGGTCTGAACCCTAGGGACATATAAACAATATACTCTGGAAAAATACTGAGTTTACCTACATAGTTTTTCCCTTTTATTTCCCACTAGAAGATGATTCTTTTGCCGTGTGGTGTAAGAATTTATTAATGTTTTTCTGACATGTTTATCTTTTTTTTTATTTATTTTTTTACGGAAACGTAGTCGTGGTTTTAGTTTCCTTATCTATAAAATAAGGTTCTTTTAGGAATTCTTTTCAGCTCTAAGTCATGGCAAATTTTACTGTAATGGGTTAGACAGATCATTTATTCCCCTGACAGAACCAGAAATCTAAAGGAACATAGTTGTTAGTGTTGGCTAAGCCTCTCAAAAAAAGTCATGGCTAAAGTCTGGTCACTGTCTTGGCATCTCTCTGTGGCCTGAAGTTGGCCATGCTGCACTGCCGTCAAAGCAGCATTCAGGTACAGGAAGAAAAAGGAGAACCATAGCTGCACTAGCCCTGACTGTCCTGTTCATCCAAAAAAACAGAGAAGTCTTCCCAGAGTCCCCAGCAATCTTCTCCTTCTGTCTCCTTTGCTAGAATTTGCCTCTTAGCTACAAAGGGGGCTGAGAAAGACTGTGTCTCACCTGGGGCTGTACATGTGGTTTCCCAAACAAAATTGATGTTGTGTTGACAAGGCAGGCAGGCTGGATATTGTAAAAAGTTAACATCCTGGTCTCTTGTTATTGTCACTGGTCGGTGTGCTCCAGATGTCATACTGACTTTTCTGTAGCTAACAGAGATCCTTTGCCATGGGCCAGTGATATTTTGGTTACTGAGAAAAGGGTAGATGGGCACAAAGAGCATGGAGCATTTTTTTCCTTCCTAAATTAAATGACGTGTAAACTGCTTTGTTTTGTGTTCAAAACCCTCATCGTTTGGATTAAGCTGATCTTTCCAGCTTTAGCTCTAGTGTGCTATACAAATTTTGAATATCCCGTTGTTTTACCCATTTCTCCAGGGAATATGAACATTTCCATTTTCACATCTTTTCCCACACTGTTCCCTCTGTCCTGCTTTCTCCTTATCCGTGAAGACTCAGTTCAAATGATTTCCTCCTGTCGCACCTTCCTTTATCACCTTGCTCTGAAAACGTCCTCAGCTTTCCTTTCACTCTGAGCTTGTCACAGGCGTGTGGCCTAGTGTCATACTTTCTGTTGTAAGTTTTTGCTGGCACATGAGTGTCTTATTTCTACGACAAGATTATCAACTTCCTGAGTACAGTAATTGCCTTGTACTTACATGGTATCCACTTGGCTTCTAACAGATACCAGTACTTAATGAATGACATGAATAAGTGCCTATCTTAACTTCAGAAAATAATACTCTTTTTCCCACCAAGACTCAATTTGCCTAAAAAGAAAAAGAAAGCAGAACGAGAGGATGAGGACCAGGATCCCTCCATGAAGAACGAGAATAGTTCTGAGCAGCTGGATGTAGACGGAGACTCCTCCAGCGAGGTGTCCAGTGAAGTTAACTTTAATTACGAATACGCACAGATGGAGGTCACCATGAAGGCCCTGGGCAGCAATGGTGAGCAAGTCGGGCGTGCACTTGAGAATCAGTTCCAGTTGGTAGAGGCTGAGGTGGGGAGATCGCTTGAGCCCAGGAGTTCCAGGCTGCAGTGAGCTGAGACTGTGCCCGTGAATAACCACTGCTCTTTAGCCTGGGCAACATAGCAAGACGTTCTCTCTTTAAAAAAAAAAAAACGGTAGAGTGTTAAAAATGTTTATGATTGGGGACTTTCAAATGTTAACAAAAAGGAAAATCTTTATGTTGCTATTCTCTGTATTTTGTGTCTTTGGCTTTAATTTATATTTATCAAAATGTTCTGCCTTAATATGCAGTCAGATCACTTTGATCTGATGGATAGAATCTCTCTTGTTTATTTTATTTTAATTTTTTGTGAGAGAGTCTCGCTCTGTCGCCCAGGCTAGGGTGCAGTGGCACGATCTCGGCTCCCTGCAACCTCTGCCTCCTGGGTTCAAGTGATTCGATTCTCCTGCCTCAGCCTCCTGAGTAGCTGGGATGACAGGCGTGCACACCACCATGCCTGGCTCACTTTTGTATTTTCAATAGAGACAAGGTTTCGCCATGTCGGCCAGGCTGGTCTCAAACTCCTGACCTCAGGTGATCCGCCCACCTCGGCCTCCCAAAATGCTGGGATTACAGGTGTGAGCCACTGTGCCCGGTCAAATTTCTCTGCTTTAGAAACTTGCCTGTCATTGGCTTATGATTGTATTTCTGGAGGATTCGCCATGTCTTAGGTTATGTGTAGAACATATAATAGACCTGCTTTTTCTGCAGGGAAGATGGTTGAGGATATGTCTGAGAATATATAACAACATGAGTGATTGAAAGTCAGGAAAGCTAAGTTTATGCCAAATTGTCTTTAAAGTATTAGGTGGTATAGTTAAGATGACAGACAACATTACCATATAGAACAACATTTGAAGTTTATTATGTTGTAACTCTCGATCATGTATCTTTTTTAAAAATGTGTTTAGATCCGATGCAGTCCATATTAAACAGCTTAGAACAACAGCATGAAGAAGAAAAACGATCTGCACTGGAGCGCCAGAGGCTTATGTATGAGCACGAATTGGAGCAGCTCCGGAGAAGGCTGTCTCCTGAGAAGCAGAACTGCCGGAGCATGGACAGGTTTTCTTTCCACTCGCCCAGCGCTCAGCAACGCTTAAGACAGTGGGCTGAGGAGAGGTAGGCGGCACAGAGGGGCCTGTTAACTTTATAGCTCAGGCTTGCCACCTCTAACACACCTAGGGAAAGTGTCAAATGGGAACATTAAGATGGTGCTTACAAAAGAATTATGTTAAAAGATAAGTGTTAACAGCCAAGAACCACTTTGCATTTGTTTTTAAAAGGGGAATTGCCCATTTATATTGCATTATTTAAAACTGTTGGTGTTAGGTGTTGCTCCATTTTCAGTTGGTATGGCTTTTGGATTTGGATATAGAAGTACACTTGATCATTGTATTATGCTTTAGGTTCTGAAGCTTGGGTAGATGATTTTTAGAAAAACAAAGTTGGTTATCTGGACTGATTAGCTCAGGTAGGTAAAGCATGGTGCTGATGAGATGCAGATTGCAAATTTGATCTCTGTATGGGCTAATTAGCATTGCATTGAAATGCCTTATCCCATGGTTGCAGACTGTACTTCACTAACCTCATACTATTTAAAGTTTGGTCTGCAGGCAGGCAGCTTCCCTTTTACCTGGAGATTGATAGAAATGTAGGATTTCAGGCCTCCACCTCAGACCTGCTGAGACAGAATCTTGAGTTGATGAAGATCCCCTGGTGATCTGCATACAGGGGCACTGCTGTTATCTACAGCCGGCTTGCTGTGTGGCTGCTTTCCAGTGCTTATCGTGTAGTTGAGGTTCAAGCGTGTGCATGGGTCAGTGTCAGCAACACAGTCCCTGCGTGCAGACGACCACGGAAAAAGCTCAATTCACACTTTGGCAATGATGTACTACCACTGTATGATTTTCTGACTAGCTGCTTTGTGTTAATCTCTTCCCTACCTCTGCCGCTTCTTTATTTTTTTTTAGAGAAGCAACGTTGAATAACAGCCTGATGAGGCTGAGGGAACAAATTGTTAAGGCCAATCTATTGGTGAGAGAAGCTAATTACATTGCTGAGGAGCTGGATAAAAGAACAGAATACAAAGTTACCCTACAGATTCCAGCCTCCAGCCTGGATGCCAACAGGAAGGTGAGGTTGCCGTTCCTTGAAAAAAACAAAGATCTCATTGGATAAGATCGCCTGATATTTCCTGGTGTTATTTAAGCTTCAGATCCCTGTCTGTGCCTGCCCCAAGTCCAGATCCTTTGTCCTCCATGCTTTTGGGTAGAATTGACTTCCTTTTCCATTCTCTACCTTTGAGTGTATGTATATTTTATCTGCTAGGGGAATATACTCTGCATCTCACCTGGCCCTGACAGTTCATTTCACTCAACTTTCTTCCTTCAAATCTGTTTAAATTCTTTCTTAGAAGTCTTTTCTGATTAATCTTCCCCGAATGTCTTTTTTTCCTTCCTTATGCTACCACTCTACAACCCCTTCTCCACAAGTTAGGTGTTCATTTTGCTTATGTTATTTTCTACTTGGAATAGCTTGCTCTGTAAAACTGCTCATTAGTTGTGTCATGGTGTCATGTATATATTCAGGATCATACTTTTTTTGGTATAATAAATTTAATAAAATGTAGGGGGAAAGTCCCATCACAATCTTCTATCTTTGCCATTCAGTTGGGTTTTTTTCCTTCATCTTTTTTTTTTTTTTTTGAGGTTCTTTTCTAGCTCTTGATCACATTCATACATAATTTTTGATGGATTAGGTAGAATTTTCTATTCAGATGAATTTTTTGTGGATCCGTGTGTTCTGTTTAGCCTGCGGTAGTCAACACAGCAAAACTTTAATCAATCCATCTTGGATATTCTATTTTTCTTTTTTTTGTTTGAGAGGGAGTCTTACTCTGTCACCCAGGCTGGAATGCAGTGGTGTGATCCTGGGTCACTGCAGCATCTGCCTCCTGGGTTCAAGCGATTCTCCTGCCTCAGCCTCCTCAGTATCTGGGATTACAGGTGTGTGCCACCACGCTGGACTAATTTTTGTATTTTTAGTAGAGATGGGGTTTTGCTGTGTTGGCCAGGCTGGTCTCAAACTCCTGACCTCAAGTGATCCACCTGCTTTGGCCTCCCAAAGTGCTGGGATTACAGGCGGATATTATTCTAATTTGATAGCAAGGATTACATCTTTCCCTATGACATCATAGCATCAAGGTCAGCGTTTTGTACAGGGTTAGATATTTGGCAAATATGATTCTTAGTATTTTGAGAAAGGTATTGTAAATATGATATGATCGTTACTTTACAGATCATTGTTTTTGTATACTCTGTGTGTATTTTGAAAATTTTTACTTAATTAGAACACTAGTATTTGTAGGGCAAAGTCTGGGTACAGTAGGACTCACCAAAAACCGAAGAGGAAGGCCAGTCACAAGGAGAAGGTTCAGGGCCTAGTTTCTCCTTGAAGGCTGAGAAGTACAAGATCCTCTTTGATTTTATAGTGTATAAGTTGAAAAAAGCAGAAACCTGAAAGATTTTTCCCCAGTAAGCATGACCGCAGCCCTTTTCTCCGTAACCTCTTTTGGGCTTTGTTGAAAGGTGTGGCTCTGCACTGGGGCAGCCATGTCAACGCCTGGAAGAACTCATGTCGCCTGGCATCTCTCCTTAGTTAGGCTGACTCTGTAGTCTTTCGTGCAACAGACTATTTTTTGGTATTTGAAAAGTTGTTTAAAGTCCTGTCCATTCTGTGAACTCTTCTCTGGTGAATTTTTTTCTTATTTCCAGTTTTGCAAGAGGGCTAAGTTATGGTAGCTGCACCATATTGCCCGTTGCTATTATAGTCCCAGGTCCAGCATTCTCCCCCAGGAAAGCCACTACCCACACAGGTCACAAATGGGATTTTTGTATTTATTCACTGGCTGGCTGAATATAAGGTAGGAGGGCCTTTAATTTTGACTGTAAGATGGCCGGGCATGGTGGCTCATGCCTGTAATCCCAGCACTTTGGGAGGACAAGGTGGGCGGATCACCTGAGGTCAGGAGTTCGAGACCAGCCTGGCCAATATGATGAAACCCCATCTCTATTAAAAATACAAAAATCAGCCAGGCGTGGTGGCAGGCGCCTGTAATCCCAGCTGCTTGGGGGGCTGAGGCAGGAGAATCACTTGAACCCAGGCGGAGGTTGCAGTGAGCCGAGATTGGGCCACTGCACCCCAGCCTGGGCGACAGAAAGAGACTCTGTCTCAATTAAAAAAAAACACACACACGCATTTTGACCGTAAGAATTCTCAAATGTTTGTTTTATTATTTAAATTTTTTTCTTAGAAAATGATTGTAGGCAAGATGTTAATGAAACATCAATGTATTTCAAAGTTCTCTTCAGTTTTAAGTAGAACATTTGAAAAATTAAGCCAGTAAACCTAAATTGATTAGATAACCAGTAGATATGTCTCCCTCGGGGAAATGTATAGGGGCTTTTTTTTTTTTAACTTTGTGGTTTTTTAAAAGTTCTAAAATTTTTTCTACATTAAAAACACATTGCTCAAGTTCTACTCTGAAAAAAATCCACATTGCTCTTATAAGCTGGAAAAACTTCAGAGCATACTTTTTTTGGGGGGGAGGTGTGATACTTGCATAATAGAACATTACTTTTTTTTAATTTTATTATTATTATTTTTTTTGAGACAGAGTCTTGCTTTGTTGCCCAGGCTGGAGTGCAGTGGCGCGATCTCGGCTCACTGCAACCTCCTCTTGGGTTCAAGCGATTCTTCTGCCTCAGCCTCCTGAATAGCTGGGACTACAGGCGCCCACCACCATGCCTGGCTAATTTTTGTATTTTTAGTAGAGACGGGGTTTCACCATATTGGCCAGGCTGGTCTCAAACTCCTGACCTTGTGATCTGCCTGCCTTGGCCTCCCAAAGTGCTGGGATTACAGGCGTGAGCCACCACACCTGGCCAAACATTACTATTTTAAAGTGAATAACTCAGTGGCATTTGGCACGGTAATAATGTGGTGTGAGCACCGCTTCCATCTAGTTCTGTATGATCTTAATAAGAAACCCAAACAATGCATATTTGGAAACTGGTATCATTAATTGCTTCCACGTGGGTGAATCGGGGACTTTTCAGTTTACTCTTTTAAGTGTTTCATGTTTTATACCCCCTGAAGATGCCATCCATTACAATAAAACAAAATTCAGCCTCTGAGAGGGACGTTTCTTCCCCATACACCGCAGCAAACTTTCCCTCTCTCCCCATTGATAACGTTGTGGTCATATGGTGGCCTGAATAAAATACTTTTATTTCAACTTGCTGTTAAATGTGGTCTTTTGGGTTTTAAACTTAAAATCATTTCCAACTACAGTCAAAATTTAAATGTGGTGGCTCATGCCTATAATCCCTGTGCTTTGGGAGGCTGAAGCAGGGGGATCACTTGAGGCCAGGAGTTCCAAACCAGCCTTGGCCATATAGCAAGACCCTGTCTCTATGCAAAACAGACAAAATTAGCTGGGTGTATTGGCATGCACCTGTGGTCCTAACTACTTGGGAGGCTGAGGCAGGAGTATCACTGGAGCCCAGGAGTTCGAGGCTGCAGTGAGCTATGACGTGCCACTGCACTCCAGCCTGGGTGACAGAGTGAGATGCTGTCTCTTTACACACACACACATGTATATATTTATTTATTTTTGAGAGTCTCATACTGTCACCTAGGCTGGAGTGCAGTGGCAAGACTTCAGCTCACTGCAACCTCTGCCTCCTGGGTTCAAGCAATTCTTGTGCTTCAGCCTCCCAAGTAGCTGGCATTACAGGCACGTGCCACCACACCCGGCTAATTTTTGTATTTTTAGTAGAGAGGGGTTTCACCATGTTGGCCAGGCTGGTCTTGAACTCCTGACCTCAAGTTATCCACCTGCCTTGGCCTCCCAAAGTGCTGGGATTACAGGCGTGAACCACCATGCCCAGCAACTCCCCCCAAAAAATTTTTAATGTAAGTTTATACTTAAAGTGAAGTTTATAAATAGGTTTTGATTGCACTTGGGTAGGAAGGTATTATGTTATAGCTTGTAAGACTTTTTGGAGGCTTTGTAATCAACAGATTAAAGGATGATTGCCATTTGAGTTTTGGTGTAATGACATTTGACTGATGGGGGTGGAATTGTCAGCTTTGACTTCCCCGCTGCCTGTGTGTTTCTCACGGTCATTCTTACTCTCTTTGCAGCGAGGCTCTCTTCTTAGTGAGCCTGCAATCCAGGTGAGAAGAAAAGGAAAAGGAAAGCAGATTTGGTCTTTGGAAAAACTGGACAACAGGCTGTTGGATATGAGAGACCTTTATCAGGAGTGGAAAGAGTGTGAAGAAGATAACCCAGTAAGTTATTTAAGAGAAAATCACTTAATTGGTAATTATGGAAGGAGCCAAGCTGGAATGAGTCTACCCATTTCAGGGGAAAATTGTTCTTTTTCCAAAATTATAATCCTATTTCTGGAGTAAGGTTTATTTTAATCCCCTAAATTGTTTAGCAAATTAACAATTTTAATAATCTCTCTTTCTGGTATCTTCTTTTTTCTTCTCATTTCTGTCTTTTAGATTTCTAGCAGAATTCTCCACTTTCCATTCTGACTTCTGTTGGTGTGCGGGTGTCTGTCTCCTGTGCTCTCTGGGAACCTCTTTAGGACAGAGGCCAGGCCTCATTATTTGTCTCTCCTCCCATTGCTCAACCCGTTTAACCTTGCAGATAATAAACCTACAATATATGTTTTGTAAGTTGAACATCGGTGGTATCTTAATATTTACACTCCAAGGAGCATTTTTGAAGAAGTTTTGATCATAACATAAATGCCATAAATCTATACATTGGTACTCTGTCCTTAACTTGCAGGTTTTCTTACTTAGATCAGCCATGTACTCATACGTATTTAAAATAGAAGTGCATATTATGTATGTCTGAACATATTTTCATTACCGTTAGACCTGTTTCCGCATAGAGTTGTTTACTTCCTTTGCCTTTTGTTTTGTAAAAATGATTTTTCCAGATTGTTATCAATAAAAATGTTTCTTATAGTTAGGTGATGTTTTTGCTTAAAACATGTTTGTCTCTTTGGTACCCCTCTCCTATTTCAACTTAGAAATAAAACAACAGTAATAAATAATGAAAGAGCCACTCCCATAGGGGCTCACCTTTTTTTTTTTTTAGATGGAGTCTTGCTCTGTCATCCAGGCTGGAGTGCAGTGGCACGATCTTGGCTCACTGCCTCCTCTGCCTCCTGGGTTCAAGTGATTTTCCTGCCTCAGCCTCCCGAGTAGCTGGGATTACAGGCGCCCACCACCACACCTGGCTAATTTTTGTATTTTTATTAGAGACGGGATTTCACCATGTTGGGCAGGCTGGTCTCAAACTCTTGACCTCAGGTGACCCGCCTGCCTTGGCCTCCCAAAGTGCTGGGATTATAGGTGTGAGGGCTCACCTTTTATTAGCAGCAGTTTTATCTGATGACTTGCTAGGAATAAGCAGAGCAGATAAGAATTACTGTCTTTCCCAAAAGAAAGGTGAAGTGTAGTTTAGCACACTCTACTTCTTTTTCTGGTCAACATATATTGTTTATTTTGTGGCAAAATTTCCATGTAAAGGAGAATAGCTGATAAAAGTAATGACCTGTTACTGGGATCGCTCTGTCATGGGTGGAGGATGCTCACCTCCATTGTGAATGGGAATGAGGAAGAGTGTGTATGGGAGTAATACAGCGCTGTGCTTTAGCAAAAACTTTAGAATGTTTTACTCTAAAAAATACAAGAGTTAGGATGATGAAAGTTAAGTTTAATAACCTAGAGTGCATCAAAAAGCAGTAGGTTGAATGCATTTATTGTAAATGGTTTTTCTGAAGTTGTGT
The DNA here is from genome assembly GCF_000001405.40 of Homo sapiens. Lineage (NCBI taxonomy): Eukaryota > Metazoa > Chordata > Mammalia > Primates > Hominidae > Homo > Homo sapiens. The sequence continues at coordinate 29,140,636 of NC_000008.11, read as the reverse complement.
GTTCTCAATCTCTTTACAGGTAATACGATCATACTTCAAACGTGCTGATCCATTCTATGATGAGCAGGAAAATCACAGTCTCATTGGGGTGGCCAATGTCTTCCTCGAGTCACTTTTCTATGATGTGAAGTTACAATACGCTGTTCCCATCATCAACCAGAAAGGAGAGGTTGGTTTTCTCTTCATGCCTTGTTTCCTGTAGAGAATAGTTTAAGAAACAAGAGGGTGGTGATGGGATATTGTTGCTATTTTTTGTCAGTAACGTGTCTTATTAATACCTTGTGTTTCCAAGGACTCTTAGGGTAGAGTAACTGTCAGAGACTAGGCCTCTAAATTCCCATACACCATTAACCTGACAACTTGACTGTAAAAGAGAAGAGAGGTCATCTCAAGGGAGCACGAACCAAATCTGGAGAAATGTTTCTGCCTTCCCTCATTGCTGCAGGTGGCAGGTCGGCTGCACGTGGAGGTGATGCGACTCAGTGGTGATGTTGGGGAGAGGATCGCAGGAGGCGATGAGGTGGCAGAGGTCTCCTTTGAGAAGGAGACCCAGGAGAACAAACTGGTGTGCATGGTAAGTCCCAGCTTCATCCTAGTATTACGTTGATACAAAAGTCATTGCAGTTTTTGCCATTACTTTTAATGGCAAAAATCACAATTACTTTTGCACCAACCTAATAGCTGATTTTGAGAACTGCAGGTCTTTAGATGGTAAGTATTATGTTCCTTTTCAAATTTTGGAAGTAGAGCAGAGCCTCCCCCACTCATGATAATGCAAAATCGCCTCCTCCATTTCCAAACACCCGCTAGTGAGCCAGACCTGCTGGTGGCTGAGAATCCCTGCAGGAACAGTTCTTATAAAAAGAAGGTGCTGGGGGACAGGAAGTCAGCGAGGGGCGCAGGTGCAATGTACAAGTGAGAAGGAGGTGAGGTGAAGCGAAGAAGGCCTAAACCTGACTCTTAATTCATAGCTCATCCTAGAACCAGTCCTCTTTCCCAGTAAACATCTCTAGAATTGAAGCTGATGTTGAAGGGAGTAAGTTACGTGTCAGCCACAAGGTAGCGGGAAGCTGGAGCTGTTGGAGTTGGGCTGCTTTCTGTAAGACTTCGCGTATATTGAGAGGGCTTCTGGTGTTTCAGTTACTTCACTAGGAAGGGGGAGGAATCTTAATTCACTGAAGGGTTCATTTTTATTATATTGTACTTGATTTCAGAGCAGCTCCTTTGAGTCATGTGATGATCGGAGATGGAGACATAGGGTTGATGACCCCACAATGGCCCATTTTAAAGGTGATGGACTAGTAAATGCAACTCTCAAATATCACCTTCTACTATTAAAGTAAAATAACATACAAGGGCACTTCTCACTTGGGAAATTTATCCTTATTACTGAAAAAAAGTAGTACATTCTAAGTCATATGGGCTTCCTAAAATGAGGTTAAAATACCATGTTTTTTAATGGAAGATCTCAAATATACATAAATAAAAGTAGTGAGAAATGTGTTACGAATCCCCATTCACCTTCGCTCCACAATTACCACCTGTGGTCAACCTCGTTTCATTCATACACTCAGCCACTTCTGTGCTGCCCCCCTCCCTTAGCACCCCAGGCACGCCCCAGCATCATATCTTATCTGTAAATAGTTCAGTGTGTGTCTCCAAAAGATGAGTCCTTAAACCAATATAACCATAATTGCCAAAATTAGTAATTTGTCAAAAATTAATAATTTCTTAATATTAAAATCGTCAGTTTTCTTAATTGTCTTGGTTGGTATGTCTCTTGGTCTGTTTCAGTCTTTAGGCCCTGGTATGCTCGTGCTCTCTCACTCGCTCGCTTTCTCTTTTTGCCTCTCTTACCACACCTGCAATTCATTTATTGTAGAAACTGGGTTGTTGACCTGCAGTTTCCCATAGTCTGGATTCTGCTGATTGGTGTTACTTAGTATGTTAAGATGCATTTGCTGAAAATTGGTAGTTAGGTATACAGGTGTTACCTGGGGGAGGGAGGCAGCCAGGGTGCTTTGTAGGTGGTGGCCTGCGTTCTTCCATCAGGAGCCACATCTTGTCTAGTTGTTTGTCTTTGAGGGATGATCAGCCACTGATGATTCTTACCTAGATGCATCATTTTGTTAGGAGTTACAAAAGAATGGTTCTATAATTCTATTGTCATTTCATTTTTCTCCAGAGAAAATCTTCCTATTAACAACTGTTTTGCTCTACAGAGATAATTTGTATAGAAAAGGAAGGATAAATGTTGCATCTCTCCCTTTATTTACAATTTTTATTTATTTATTTTATTTTTGAGACAGAGTCTGGCTCTGTCACCCAGGCTGGAGTACAGTGGTGTGATCTCAGCTCACTGCACCCTCCACCTCCTGGGTTCAAGCGATTCTCCCACCTCAGCCTTCTAGGTAGCTGTGCCACCATGCCCAGCTAATTTTGTATTTTTAGTAGAGACAGGGTTTCACTATCTTGGCCAGGCTGGTCTTGAACTCCTGGCCTCAAGTGATCCACCTGTCTCAGCCTCTCGAAGTGCAAGGATTACAGGTGTGAGCCACCATATCCGGACTAATTTTTAAAATAATGAATTGGTTTTCCAAAATGTGACAAGTTAGTTTTTTTGTCCTTAGTCTTAAAAGCATGATTATGAACTCTTGGACTTAACCATATTTGGTGTGTGTCTATCTGTTGCATTCACTACCTGTATTTAAACACAAATGTTCCCATCTTTGGCCAGTGGGAGCCGCTTCAGTTGGCCCTTGAGTCCTGTTGTCATAACTCTAACCTTCCTGGACTGGGGTAGCTTTCTTGTTTTCCGGTGTGATGAATATTCCGATCTCATCTTGTGTATTTCCTGTCCCAGACCTGGAATCAGCCATTTCTCCAAGGAACCTGATTCCTTTCAGTGGGAAGTGGTTTTTAGAGACCATATACTGGCATGTAATGGCCTTTTATGTAAAAAGGACGAGGACAAATAAGCTATATGACAATAAATAGAACACTGGTAGAAAAACAAAAGAAACCAGCCTGGAGACAGTTAAGATGTCATGCGTGGTGAGTGTAATTAGCCCCCAAAGAAGTCTGGATTTGTTTTTTTGTAACAAGGCTATATGCACATATTAACATCTCCATGTTTTCACTGATATGAAGTAAAGTTTGTATATTTAAAAACCTGGGCGCAGCATCCGTGCCTGCAGACATTCCTGGGCTCCTCTGTCTTGAACAGCTGCAAGTTGAAGTCTGTGATACTCTGACACCTTGTGGTGGTTATAGTTTTTGTGTGCAAAAACTTTTTTGAAAACCCCACAAAACCCAAACAGCCTGTGTTCATTTCTTATGGCTGACAGTCTTCATTCCTGGCAGTTGCATTCCTGAGAGGTTGCCCATAGGCGAGAGTTCAGCATATTAAATCTTGTTTCTTGTCTATTTTAACATTAAAATTGTGATTAATTTTGAATGGTAAAAAAAGGTTTTCAGATGGAATTTAGTCACTAAGAAGTATGTATTGAACATGTATCTACTCAATACCTGTCACAGGGCCGGGCGCGGCGGCTCACGTCTGTAATCCCAGCACTTTGGGAGGCTGAGGCGGGCGGATCACAAGGTCAGGAGATCGAGACCATCCTGGCTAACATGGTGAAACCCCGTCTCTACTAAAAATACAAAAAAATTAGCCGGGCGTGGTGGTGGGCACCTTTAGTCCCAGCTACTCGGGAGGCTGAGGCAGGAGAATGGTGTGAACTTGGGAGGTGGAGCTTGCAGTGAGCCAAGATCGAACCACTGCACTCCAGCCTGGGCAACAGAGCGAGACGCCATCTCAAAAAAAAAAAAAAAAAAAAAACCTGTTACAGGTCTCTTTCATTTCATTTCATTTCATTGGTGTGGTAAGTCTCACCCCTGTAGAGTAAGGTAGCTACTGATATTCCCATTTCACCTAGGAGAAAACGAAGCCTAAGAAAACTAAGAATTTAAGTAATTTGAGCCAGCACACAAGCTGATAAGTGGGTGAGATTTATTTATTTTAATTAATTAATTAATTAATTAATTAATTTTTGAGCGGAGTTTCGCTCTTGTTGCCCAGGCTAGAGTGCAATGGCGTGATGTCAACTCACTGCAACCTCCACCTCCTCCCGGATTCAAGTGATTCTCCTGTCTCAGTCTCCTGAGTAGCTGGGATTACAGGCACGTGCTACCACATCTGGCTAATTTTTTGTGTTTTTAGTAGAGACGGGGTTTCTCCATGTTGGTCAGGCTGGTCTTGAACTGCCGACCTCAGGTGATCCGCCCACCTTGGCCTCCCAAAGTGCTGGGATTACAGGAGTGAGCCACCACGCCTGGCCGAGATATTTATTCTATTTATTTTATGTAACTCCAATATCTTGTAATCTTCCCAAATGCCATATTGCCGTGCCTTAAATAATATAAATATTTAAAAACACTTAATGAGAAAATGATGGTTTTTAAAAACTTTGTGGAAAAATTAATTGCAGAGTATTGTTTGCTCAGTTTGGTTTGGAGGAATAAAATATGTCAGCCAATCTGTCTTTCATAGCCTGTCAGGAAGTAGCTATCTAGGTGTTTCAAACTTCTGTTGACATCACAGAAAAGATGAATTATAACGGGGGTTCCTGTTTGTTGCTCACCCATTATATGTCTAGTATGGAAGAAAATATCTGGTTTGTGTAATTTTGTGTGTCATCAATACTTCTCGAAATGTGTTTTTGCTTGTTTGCTTGTTTGTTTTTTGAGACAGAGTCTCTGTCACCCAGAGTAGAGTGCAGTGGTGCGATCTCTGCTCCTGCAACCTCCGCCTCCCGGGTTGAAGCGATTCTCGTGTCTGAGCCTTTGGGAGTAGCTGGGACTACAGGCATGTGCCACCACATCTGGCTAATTTTTGTAATTTTAGTAGCGATGGGGTTTCACCATGTCGGCCAGGTTGGTCTCAAACTCCTGACCTCAAGTGATCCTCGGCCTCCCAAAGTGCTGGGATTATAGCCTGAAATGTTAAGGTTATGTTTGTGGCTTCTGAACTACATGAACTCATATGTCATATATTCAGATTTATTTTCATTAACTGTATTTACTGGAGGTAGATTAAATCATACAACATGCAGAACGTGACCAGGTGAAAAATATGATTTATGATTAATGCTCAGTCATGTGAAAATTGGTTTAATCAGTTATAAAGTCAGAACTTAGCTTAACGACTTCAGGATTTCATTTTCTTCGTAGTTGGAGAAGTTGTAGAATATTGCAGTTTATCACAAAAACTCCAAATTAAAAATCAAACCACGCCAGGCATCGTGGCTCATGTCTATAATCCCAGTATTTTGGGAGACTGAGGCAGGAGGATCACTTGAGCTCAGGAATTCAAAACCAGTCTGGGAAACATGGTGAGACCTCATCTCTACTAAAAATAAAAAAAATTAGCTGGGCATGGTGACACACACCTGTAGTCCTAGCTCCTTGGGAGGCTGAGGCTGGAGGATCGCTTGAACTCTTAAAATTGAGGCTGCAGTTAGCCATGATTGTGCCACTCACTCCAGCCTGGGCAACACAGCAAGACCCTGGCTCAAAAACAAATCAATCTAATGCTGCCCACCAAAAGAAATATTAAGAATATTTGGCTGCTTAGAAACTGTTATAGGCATTTCTTCTGGGGCCTTTGGGTCTGATTAGACATGTATCTCCAGTTGCACTTTGTTACAACCGCACCCTGCCCTCCTGGTCCGGAGCACGCTTCCTTTGATACACCTTCCCCCAAATCTGCATAGAGAAGGCTTTCCGTAAATGCTGCAGAAAATGGTCATCATTCACTAACTTCACTTCCCTTCTATCTCTCCCCACATCTTTAAATTATACATTTCTGGTGCTTTTAAGTTTTCCCAAACAATGTTGTATAGTATTGTGTAACATTTTCAGTTGAGAACCTTATTCCTCTTTATACTTTAAAATATCAAATCCATGTTTTGCTCTTTCCTTGATATTTGTTGTTTCTTGGCCCATACACCGATTTTGTTCTTCATTCGCTATGCCTGACAACCTTGTTCTGTTCTATGGCATATCCATGGTTAGCCAAGTTCATATCATTGAAGAGTGCTGATGTTTGAGATCTTTCTTCATCTGAATTAACGAGATGATGATTCTTATATTCTGAGAAACTAACATTTAAATGTTCTTAGACTTTACAACGTCCACCTCTGTAGTCAAGGTCCTTGTAACCCTGTGTCCAGCCTCTCACTAAATATAATCATTGCTACCACTATTTCCCAGATGCAGAAGTCCAGTCTCAGGGTGAATGGGATTTGGCCAACATAAATATCATAAGCACCTAAGTTAGTGACAGAGCCGGGGCTGGAACCTGCAACTCTGAATGCTTGTTGGAACCCTCAGATTTCAAAACACAGAGCCTTCTTTTTCCTTCAGGTTAAAATCCTGCAAGCTACTGGGTTGCCACAGCATCTGTCCCACTTTGTGTTCTGCAAATACAGCTTCTGGGATCAACAGGAGCCGGTGATTGTCGCTCCTGAAGTGGACACCTCCTCCTCTTCCGTCAGCAAGGAGCCGCACTGCATGGTTGTCTTTGATCATTGCAATGTGAGTTTGTTTTCCAGAGTAGGTCAGCATTTAGATTACTCATGTGAAAACAAAACAGAAAATGAACCTTGTTTCTTTGACTAAATGTGCCGTTATATGTCTTGGAGCAGTTTCTGTAGAGTGTGGGGATTGAGTAAAAAGTGTCAATGCATCTATACTCCTCCACAACCCAAAGGTAACTTTTGCATGAGAAACAAAACACATATGTATGTATATATGCATATTCTTCTCCAAAGAAAATCTATGTCCTATATTAGGTTACTGAAGAAATTATCTAAAACAGTTAAGAAACTTGTGTTTTAGAGAAAGTGAACACAGGTAACAGAGAAGAACTAACTTTATTGAGCACCGAATGCTCTGTAAAGCTCTTTGTTATTCCTTCATTTGGATCCTCCACCGTAGTTATCTTTGTTGATAGTGCATTTTTTTGTGTTTGTTTGTTTTGTTTTGAGACAGAGTCTCGCTCAGTCACCCAGGCTGGAGTGCAGTGGCACGATCTTGGCTCACTGCAACCCCTGCCTCCTGGGTTCAAGCGATTCTCCTGCCTCAGCCTCCCAAGTAGCTGGGATTACAGGTGCTTGCCACCATGCGCAGCTAATTTTTTTGTATTTTTAGTAGAGACAAGGTTTCACCGTGTTGGCCAAGCTGGTTTCAAACTCCTGACCTCAAATGATCAGCCCACCTCAGCCTCCCAAAGTGCTGGGATTACAGGCATGAGCCACCACACCCAGCCAACAGTGCGTTTTTTGTTGTTGTTGTTTGTTTTTTCCCAGCTGAAAACACAAACAAATCAGAGAGGTCATTTTGCCCAAAGTAGTTCTTCACTGGTTTGTCCATGGCTGGTGAGCAGCAGAATGTGGACTATTGGGTCCCCAAGTCTTTCTTGCTCCTGTACCACACTTGATCCATTTCATCTCTTTCAAGAGAGAGGCCTCTTTCTAATCCGTTTAAAGCCAAAATACTTCACTACATTAAAGATAGATAGAGAGGGGGAGACAACAACAGAGATAGGAGATTCTGTGATTTCTTTAATAAACTGTTTTAGAGCTAAATCCTAATTGCAATATGCTATCTTATAAAGATGGACAGGCTGGCAGAATTTTCACAAATTAGATCTTTTTTTGGTGCTAATGATTTTATTTCCTTATTCTCCTAATAGAGATAGTTAACTTTCTAAAAAGTGGGAAAAAATGTTTTTGCAACACACTACCTTATTGCATATAACTTTTATATCAACACATTATAGATCAGTGTTGTAACACTTTATACAATTATGCTCTTAAAAATAGCTCCCAAAATATTGCTAACAAAATAGAATGCAATGGTGGTCTTACATACTAGACTTTCAATCTGAAAAGTTTAAAAAAAATTCCGATTTATACTTATGTTTAAAGTCAAGAACCTTTTGCCATCTGAGCATTCATTATGGGTTTTAGATGATAGTTCTGTATAACTAAAACATTCCATTTTCTATTTTTTTTCCCTGATATAATTAAGTATGTGATGTCTGGTATAAACAATCATAAGATTACCAGAAAGAGTTTGCTCTTCTGTAATTAGCTGTTGTGTTTCAGGAGTTTTCTGTTAACATCACCGAAGACTTTATCGAGCATCTTTCCGAAGGAGCATTGGCAATTGAAGTATATGGACATAAAATAAACGATCCCCGGAAAAACCCCGCCCTGTGGGATTTGGGAATCATCCAAGCAAAGACACGTAGTCTTCGGGACAGGTGAATATTAGATGTTCATCTGATTCCATTTATATATATGTAATTTTTTTTTTGTTTTTTGAGACAGTCTCATTCACTCTGTCACCCAGGCTGGAGTGCAGTGGCACGATCTTGGCTCACTGCAGCCTCTGCCTCCTGGGAGTAAGCAATTCTCTTGCCTCAGCCTCCTGAATAGCTGGGATTATAGGCATGCACACCACGCCTGGCTAATTTTTGTATTTTTGGTAAAGACAAGGTTTCACCATATTGGCCAGGCTGGTCTTGAACTCCTGACCTCAAGTGATCTGCCCACCTCACCCTCCCAAAGTGCTGAGATTACAGGCGTGAGCCACCATGCCTGGCTAGATTCCATTTATAATTTTTAAAAATTGCTAGAGATTAGTACTGCCATTTATAGAGGTTACTATTTTCTGAGCATGACCAGTGTTCCCTGAAGGGATGGCAGTGTCTCCAGGGTATTAATCACACAATTAAACTTCCTTAGGGAAGTGGACTGCAGAGAATAATGGAAGAAAGTTCAATTTGTAGCTGATTAAGAAGAAACAGTGAAATGAATTTTGGAGAATAGTGACTTACCGTTATGAATTACTTTTAATTAATCAGCTGTAGAGAGTATGGATCAAGATTCACTCTAGTGTTGTCTTTAGCTCATAGCTCTGAGTGGCATCAGTGTTGGAAAGAGGTAGGCTTCTTTGTGGACTTAAAAGGAAGCATTAAAAGGGATTGACTGAAATTGCATATGTTTGTGCTTTTCACCTAATTATAGATGAAAACAGATTTTCTTTTTCTTTTTTGCATTTGGATAGTTTAGCAAATACTAAATTAGAAAGTGACATTTGAGATTTTTTCCTTGATTCTCTTACTGACCTGAGAAAAATACTTGGCACATCACTGAAGCATATGGCACTACCTTTGTCTATCTACGAAAAGACAACCCCTGTATTTGCTTTTTTTTTCCTTTTTTTTTTTTAATAGTTTCAAATTATTTTAGATTTGGGGGTACATGTGCAGGTTGTTTACCTGGGTATATTGTGTGATGCTGAGCTTTGGGGTGTGATTGATCCTGTCACTCAGGTAGTAAGCATAGTACTCAGGAGGTAGTTTTTCAACCCTTGCTCACTTCCCTGCTCCCCAACTCCTGGGAGTCTCCAGTGTCTGTTGTTGCTATCTTTTTGTCTGTGAATACCCAGTGTTTAGCTCCCACTTATAAGCGAGAACATGGGGTTTTTGCTTTTCTATTTCTGCATTAATTTGCTTAGGATAATAGCCTCGAGCTGTATCCAAGTTGCTGCAAGGGATATGATTTTGTTTGGTTGTATTTTTTTATGGCTGTGTACTTGCTGCTTCTGTACATCTGATTAGAATTTCCAATTTTTGAGTAACGACTTTGAAATAGATTTGTCATTACATCTTTTTGAACAAAGTAAAGGAGCCATTTCTAGTTCTGATATTGTGAGTTTAACTTTGCTTTCCATTATTCTTGCCAGTATGTACATGCATGGTATTCACTGAACTACAGATCATTCTGAATTACTCTGTTTGGAGGTCATTTTCATTGTTAATTCTTATGTGTGTAGGACCCTAAGCTGCCTGTAATGAAATAGAAATGTATGATTTTCCAAGAACTTCGCTTATTTCCTAGATGGAGTGAAGTGACCAGGAAATTGGAATTCTGGGTTCAAATCTTGGAACAGAATGAGAATGGTGAATACTGCCCTGTAGAAGTGATTTCTGCAAAGGATGTCCCAACAGGAGGAATCTTCCAGCTCCGGCAGGTAACAAGATTGTGAATGTTTACATTAGATTCTTTGGTGCCAGAAAGCTTAATATTGGCTTCTTTTTAGTGGAAATGTTGGCAATAATGAAATCTAGACTGGCCAAGTCCATTTCTTACATTAAAATTCTCCTATCTCATGTCACAAGTATTGCTATTAAATTTTTTTTTCTTTTAATGAAGTAGAGACACAGGGATCTCGCTTTGTTGCCCAGGCTGGTCTTGAACTCCTAGGCTCAAGCAATCCTCCCACCTTGGCCTTCCAAAGTGTTGGAATTATGGGTGTGAGCCACTGCTGTCAGCCAAATATTGATATTTATAATATTTTAAAAACCAGTTCTGTTAGTGTTAGGTAAGAAAAAGATAAACTTTAAAGGAAAACTTAGAATTGATTTGTAGGACATAAACCAAACATATCAAACAGCTTTAGAAAGAATTGATTTGTAGGACATAAACCAAACATATCAAACAGCTTTAGAACATTTAGGAAGACAAGGAGAAGCTATGTGACATGCCAGAAATAATAAGCATTCAGATTGTAAAATGCTTGGGCTCAATTCTGGCTCTCTAGTGTCCTGGCTGTCTATCCCTGAGCAAGTTCAATAACCTCTTGCCTTCGCCTGTTATGTAGACATGATGATAACACCACCTTCATGAGATTAGTGTGAGGATTAAGAGAGATGCATGTTTAAAGCACAGGGCCTGACATGCCAGGTGTTAAGTACACACAGCTGGGTAGATACACATGCCAGAATCCACAGAGCAGAGAAGAATATGGGAGTGGCCACTTAACCCCACATGCATCCGCAGAGTCTGTGCTGCCAACTAACAGTGAGAGGGAAATTTTTAATTTAATTTGTATACAGGATTTGGAATTTTTTTTTTTTGCTATACTTTAATGCATTGTTTAGGAGACTGCCATATTCTATGAGTTTCCATACTTTAAAACAGCAGTAAAATACTAGAATCGCTCTAGAAAACGAGCGTAGAAAGCATTCAAAGCAAAATAGAGAAAATTAAAGGAAAGAGAACATTTGCTTACATGTTTAAGTTTCTGAATGTTTTAAGAGGAGGATGATGATAAACACTTGTTCTCTGACCCCAGCAAATAAATTTTAGCAAAGTGAAAGATTAGTTTAAATTAAAGCATGTGTTGTACACATAAAATAGAATTCTTAAGGGTGTGAAGAACATCTTTTTCTGGGCGTCTGTTAAAAAATATATGTATCTTCTTCGAAGTCTTAGAAATTCATCTACTGGAAGGCAAGACTGGATAATTTTCTATGATTTAGTGTAAATTGGATATTTAAGTATTTGTCATACTTCTGACACCCTTTACTAAAAGTGTTCAAAGAAATGTTGGTTTATCAGGAAAGGGCTTTTTGAAGGATATGCCTCTTTACCTTCATATTGAAAAAATCATGCAAGTTCTGAAAGGATTTTTCTTATATGATGGCAAAAACCGCAATTTTCACCAACTTAATGGCAAGAATAAAGACACAGAGGCCATAAATTAGGTCCATTTGGATAGAAAGTCATGTGGAGAAAGAGCTGGAAAACAGGAAGAGAACAGGTTGCAGAAGCTTCTGGAGGCTGGTTTCGGAGGGCCTTGAATGCTAGGCTCATTTGAGTCTAATATGTTTGAAAATTGGCTTGTATTGTTCTTGAACGGGAACGTGGCAGAGGACAACTGATTAGCTTTAACCATGTGAAAAGTGCTGTTTTTGTAGAAATAAATGGTCAAATATCAGTAGTGACAGGAAGTTCTGTCTAATAGTTTAAGTGTACTTTTAAACGTTTTTCTGTGGAACAGTAAACCATTGCCAGATCCTTTCTCTCCTTTTCTTCCCTCTCCTTAGGAATCTTCCCTTCAAGTGCGCACTTCACCCTTCACACTTAGGCACAGATTCACAATAGATCACTTCGGAAAGTGCTTAGGCAAACTAAGCAAATAAAAGGTAGCTAATTGAAATGACAAAACTGTTTAGGCTATTAAAATATTTTCTTTAGGACTTTTCCCACAAAATATCTGAGGCTTAGTCCTTGGTGATATTAAATCAGAAAACATCTGTATCCCAGCCACTCAAATGGAGTTTGATAGGATCAGTGGTTGCCTGAGCTGATTTTCCTGATCATGCAGAGCTCTTGGGAACTAAAATCTGATGGAAGAGGGCAAGAGTAATTGACTTGCAATTGAACATTTAAATTCTGTTTTTCAAATGCTATTTTACATTTCTAAAATTTATAAACCAAGTTTGAAGTCAGTAATTTGGGAATACTGTGAATTCTCTTTTAAAATATTACTTCATTGTAAATATATACCAAGTCTCACATAATAAACAGTCTAAACAATCATATTTACTGATTATTTTTTATAATTATATATTTATATTTATATTAATGATATATACTGCTATATCAGTAAATTATATTTTATGTATTATATACAAGTTATTTACATAATATATTTACTGATATATTTACTGATACTGATTTTTTATATTTACTGATTTTATATTTATATTTATATTTACTGGTACTTTAACATGTCATATGTTTTTCTACAGTAATACTTTAACAACTGTATAGTGTTTCATTATATGTTTCACAGTTTAAGGTTATTGTTTTGTATAAAACAAATAATAAAGTTATTGAATGTATAAAATATTCATTCAATTTGTGTCTAATTTTTTGTTCTTAAAGGTGCTTAAGATTTTTTGTGTATATGTATGATTATTTACTTAGCTCTCTGGAAAGTTGAATTGCTGGGTTAAAGGAACTTATATTTTTAAGTCAAATTGCCTTGCAGAAAACTTGCACCAATTTAAATTCCCACTTACAGTGTATGAAATTGTTTCGTAAATGTAGGGCATTGGAAATTCCTCTTTTAAAATATAATTGCCAATTTAGGAAGTGAAAATACAGGTGTGTCATGCTTTAATTTAATTTGTATTTATTTAATTATCAGTAAGTTGAACTTTTTTATTGGCCAACTGTTTGCATTTCCTTTCTTAGAATTTTTTAATGTTACTTCTTATTGAAAGAATATGTAAACATATATTTATTCTGTTTTTTAGCTCACTTAAAAGGGAAATGATTTTTCCCGATTAGTTTTTAAATTTGTATTTTAATGCTTAACAATAAGGTATAGTGACAGTGTCTGAATTAAACATTTTTCTCAACATCAGCCTGTAGGGGTCTCTCTAAATCAAATTTTTGGAAATCAAGACACTGATTTTAAGACTCTAAATTGTCTGTGACCCAGGGGCAGTCCCGGAGAGTTCAAGTCGAAGTGAAGTCAGTGCAGGAATCTGGGACTTTACCACTGATGGAAGAATGTATACTGTCTGTTGGCATTGGATGTGTCAAAGTTAGACCGCTCAGAGCCCCCAGAACACATGAGACCTTCCATGTAAGTTTCTATACCTGTTATGTTCTTCTTGAAAGACAAAATCAGACCAGAGTGCCTTTTGGAACCCGTACGAAACTACTTTTTATGAACATTTCTTTCCGTGAATCTCTTTGTTTACCTTTGCTGTCTTTTTTTGTGTCTTGCATTTTCATGGAATCACTGCATCGGACTGTATTACTGGTTTTGCCCTGGTGTAGGTGGCAAGCTGAGGGTTAAAACGTCTCAGCCTTCATAGATTCCACAGTGCCTGCTAGTGATTAACTCCTCAACATCACCCCACCCCTCTGGAGAAACCCCCTACTGGCTTGTAAAGACTATTTGCCAGCAGGTGTTTGATTTCCCCTGGCGAGTGGGACTATAAACCCAGCAGGGAGAGCATTGCACTGGTTCCCGAAAAGGTCAAATGAGTGTGCTTCACTCTTCTGTGAGCGGCTCCAACTTCCTGACAACTGTAAAACCCAGAGTGAGGGTGTGGGTAGGTGGGAGATGAAATAGTATATTAATTCAATTGGAAAATATAAATTATGGGTAAAGAGTCAGATTGTTTAGCGTAGCCTGATTCTTGGATAAATCAATAATTCAGTTCTTTGTAATGTATATTTTCTTTTAGGAGGAAGAGGAAGACATGGACAGCTACCAGGTAATTTAGCACCTGTTAATCTCATCTCAAATAAGCATGATTAAAGTATATAATTACACATTCCTGGATCTGGCTATACTGTTATTTAAGGATTAAACAATTCATACTGATTTTTTTGTTGTTTTAAAGTAAAACAGAGTAGGGAACATTGAGTGTTGTTTCATAGGCTGTAAAGTGTGTTAGGAGTGGGAAATCATTCGTGACTGAGATCCTTTTCCAAACCTGGAGCTCCCCAGCCAGGCTCCCTGAAGATCCGTTTCTCTGGATCCTCTTCCCTGGACATTTTCTCTCCTGAGTGAGTCCCCACTCGTTGCCCCTATTATAGTTGTCTCATTCTGAGCTTTAGTCAACACTAGGTGTTTTGCATTTTTTTGTTTGTTTTTGTTTTTTTTTTTGTGACAGAGTCTCACCCTGTTGCCCAGGCTGGAGTGCAATAGCGCCATCTCGGCTCACTGCAACTTCCCTCCTGCCCCAGCCTACCAAGTAGCTGGGATTACAGGTGCACGCCACCATGCCCAGCTAATTTTTTGTATCTTTACTAGAGACGGGGTTTCACAATGTTGGCCCGGCTGGTCCCGAATTCCTGACCTTGTGATCCACCCGCCTAGGCTTCCCAAAGTGTTGGGATTACAGGCATGAGCCACCGCGCCCGACTGAATTTTGCATTTTTTAAGCTAGATCTTTCTTCCCTACTTCCTGGAATCATACAGCATTTGGAATCTTTTTTTTTTTTTCCTTTGTTTTCTTTTCCTAACCTCCTGCAAGACTTTGTTTCTTTCTGTGCAGTTTCATCTGTTAGTCATCGTTCAGGACTGTCAGGGCTCTTTGGAGCCTGATTATGTCATCCGTGTAGTCACTTTCCTGGTTTTGCATCATTCTAATTTGATAGAAATGTCTGCTTTCCTATAAGTCACTGATAAAAACACTGTATCAGATAGGATTAAATACAGAGTCCTATGGCACAACAATAGAGACTTTTTTCAAGCTGACATTAATCACTATTCTTCGGATGTGATATTTGAGTCCTCTGTGATTTCACTTAAGTAGATGCATCGCACGTTTCTCCATCTTGTCCACAACAATGTCATAGGCTATTTGGTTAAGTGCCCTAGTAAAGCCCAGACACACTATATCTGCAGCATTCCACTGACCTACCCAGTCTTGTAACCTTATTAGAAAAGGAAATGAGGTAAGATTGATATTCATGTAGGTGTTGACTGGTAGGTTGTTATTCTGTTGATGACAACCCCTATCCCCTCTTTCCCCTACCTGTTGCCCCACAAAATGCATAAAAACAAGTGAGAGAAGCATTTACATGTTGTCTTCAAGAGCCTGTTTTGACATATAGAAAGCAGAAGTTACAAAAGTTGATTCTTCTGATTATTCTAAGGTACATAAATTGAAAGTGGTTTTTTGTTTGTTTTGTTTTTTGGAGACAGAGTCTTGCTCTACCACCCAGACCATAGTGCAGTGGAGTGATCTTGGCTCATTGCAACCTCTGCCTCTCAGGTTTAAGTAATTCTCTTGCCTCAGCCTCCCAAGTAGTTGGCATGAAAGGTGAACACCACCATGCCCAGCTAATTTTTTTTTTTTTTTTTGGGATGGAGTTTTGTTCTTGTTGCCCAGGCTGGAGTGCCATGGCACAGTCTCGGCTCATTGCAACCTCTGCCTCCCGGGTTCAAGCGATTCTCCTGCCTCAGCTCCCAAGTAGCTGGGATTACAGGTACCCGCCACCACGCCTGGCTAATTTTTGTATTTTTAGTAGGGATGGGGTTTCACCATGTTGGGGAGGCTGGTCTCAAACTCCTGACCTCAGGTTATCTGCCTGCCTTGACCTCCCAAAGTGCTGGCATTACAGATGTGAGCCACTGCGCCTGGCCAATTTTTTATATTTTGAGTAGAGACAGGGTTTCGCTGTGTTAGCCAGGCTGGCCTCAAACTCCCGTCCTCAAGTGATTCACCTGCCTCAGCCTCCCAAAGTGCTGGGATTACAAGTGTGAGCCACCACGCCCAGCCATATTGGAAGATTATTGAGTCCTGTTTATCGGTTTTATCCAGCAAAGAGACCTTTTAGAAGATTTTTGTTGCAGGTGCTTAAAGCTCTACCCCCAAGCCATTAGAAATAAAACTGGTTCTGGATACCTGAGAATGCCCTTTCTGTTCTAGAAAATAATGCTTTAAATTCTGAAAATAGCTGTTTTGAAAGATGGGCGCAGTCAACTGGTGGTAGCAATAAAGAAATTATTGTATACTACCTTACCTTTCCAAGGCATAGTAGAGCAAGGTAAGATAGAGCATCAGTTTCAGATAGATTATCTTGACATTACATTGAATATGATTTTCCTTGCTTGCTTCCAGGATCGAGATTTAGAGAGACTTCGTAGAAAATGGCTAAATGCATTAACAAAACGTCAGGAGTACTTGGATCAACAATTGCAAAAGCTTGTCAGTAAACGTGGTAGGAAAAACAAATAGAATATTTTTCTCCCCTGCAAATCAATGCATAATTAATTATTCTCCCTTTGTAGCCACATCAGTTAAGAACCAGATGAACACATCAGTAATGGGGATGGCAGGAGCAGATGAGTGTTACTCTTTGTTTATGTCATATCCTTTATCCAGCTGTCGTATCTTGGTGGAGGTCTTCCTCCCACCCCCTACAAAGAAAGAGCAAATACAGTGCACAAAGCATACATGGTTTGTCAAAGATAACATAAAGGAAGGTGGTAACTTTTCTTATCCAAAGGGCTCGAGTCCTCTGACTCTGGACCAGTCACTCCTGTGCGGTCCCTCTGTAGGCCTCCCAGGAACTGAAGATGGCCTCTCTGCAGGAGCCCATCTGACCTCTCTAGCTGTGGGTTAGTTTTTATCACTGGGGAGCACTTGTGAGCTAATAATTGAAATATAGGCAAATCCAGTCTTTACTCAGGACAAAAAGATAAATGGCAAGTGAAGTTTTGTCATTGAATCCTCATTCTCGATGTTCTAGATAAAACAGAGGATGATGCTGACCGTGAAGCGCAGCTTCTGGAGATGCGGTTGACCCTAACTGAGGAGAGGAACGCGGTGATGGTCCCCTCTGCTGGCAGTGGTATTCCAGGGGCCCCAGCAGAATGGTATGAACCCTGTGGTGCGTCTTGTGAGGTCTGAACGCTCACCAAGCCACTTGCTTTTAGCTTGAATTTTGCGTGTGCTACGGTTAATGGAAGAGTCAATAGCATGGGGGGAAATGTTGTTTAAATTAAAGGAACTGTTAAATTATTTTCATGAGTTGAATAACTATGGCCTAAAACTGTTTTATTAAATAATGTTGTTATTGGCCAAAGTCATTAAGATTTCTGAGAACTTAAATCAATATTTAATACCACTGCACTTAGCATTAAGAAAATAGTTAATATGTTAATTACTTGGGTCATTCCCTTAGAAGACTGTTCGGTCATAAGAAAATTGCATCTCCACGCGATTTTGGTTTTGGTGCTGGCTTAAACTGTACTGTCAGCAAATGTTCTGTGCTACGTTATAGAAATTAAAAATAGTAAATTTAGCCAGAGGAAGCCCTTAAGTATATCATTTTATAAGAAAGTAGGTTTAAACAAGAGAACTTCACTACAAACAGGTAGTGTCTTATAAGGCTAAGTTCAAATGTCAGGGTATGAAGCAGCAGCTACAGTGGAGGCTTTGTGGCCTCTCTGATTCTGGATTAGAGTAAAATCAGGGCCAGGGTTATTACTGCTTTGCCCTGTAACAGCCCTGAATGCCATTAAGGCTGTGTTCCTACGTGCATGCCACTGAGAAAGTAACCTGAGGCAGATGCCATTTGTTCTTCCCGTTTTAGGACCCCAGTACCTGGGATGGAGACACACATTCCTGTTATATTCCTGGACTTAAATGGTAAGTTAGGAGGTGTTTTCTGAAGGCTTACCTCTGAAAATTTAGTGCCTACATAACATGTAGATTCCAACCAAGTGCATCGTGAGGCAATTCTGTCCCCCTAAGGCTAGAGCCAGTTTGACGTGTGTCCATGTCTCCTGGTTGCAGACGGACTGATTGGTGTGTCATAGTCTCATGTTTATGACAATAATAGGCGTGCTTCACCATACTCCTCACCTCTCATCCCTGCAGCTCACGGTGCCATGTGGATGCTCTGTTCTCCTGGTGTTAGGATGGTAGCAGTGTTTTTCTGCACTAAAAATATTTTCTAATTTATTTATTTATTTATTTATTTTTTGAGACAGAGTCTTGATCTGTCACCCAGGCTGGAGTGCAGTGGTGTGATCTCGGCTCACTGCAACCTCCACCTCCCCGGTTCAAGCGGTTCTCCTGCCTCAGCTTCCTGAGTAGCTGGGATTACAGGCTTGTGCCACCACGCCCGGCTAATTTTTTGTATTTTTAGTAGAGACGGGGTTTCACCATGTTAGCCAGGATGGTCTCGATCTCCTGACCTCGTGATCCGCCCTCCTTGGCCTCCCAAAGTGCTGGGATTACAGGCGTGAGCCACTGCGCCCGGCTTCTTCTTTAACTCTTGGGGAAAGACTTCTCTCTGGAAAGGACAAATAACTAGCGATACTTATGAAGCATGTTTCCTTCTTGTGGTGTTTTCTTAGCATTATCTAATAAATATCTCACTTTTTCTATGAGTTCTTGTGCCATTCATCCCTGTATTACCTGTTTAAAAAAAAAAAACTGCGAAAATTTTCTCCCATGTTGTAGGTTGCCTGTTCACTCTGATGGTAGTTTCTTTTGCTGTGCAGAAGCTCTTTAGTTTAATTAGATCCCATTTGTCAATTTTGGCTTTTGTTGCCATTGCTTTTGGTGTTTTGGACATGAAGTCCTTGCCCACGCCTATGTCCTGAATGGTAATGCCTAGGTTTTCTTCTAGGGTTTTTATGGTTTTAGGTTTAACGTTTAAATCTTTAATCCATCTTGAATTGATTTTTGTATAAGGTGTAAGGAAGGGATCCAGTTTCAGCTTTCTACATATGGCTAGCCAGTTTTCCCAGCACCATTTATTAAATAGGGAATCCTTTCCCCATTGCTTGTTTTTCTCAGGTTTGTCAAAGATCAGATAGTTGTAGATATGCGGCATTATTTCTGAGGGCTCTGTTCTGTTCCATTGATCTATATCTCTGTTTTGGTACCAGTACCATGCTGTTTTGGTTACTGTAGCCTTGTAGTATAGTTTGAAGTCAGGTAGTGTGATGCCTCCAGCTTTGTTCTTTTGGCTTAGGATTGACTTGGCAATGCGGGCTCTTTTTTGGTTCCATATGAACTTTAAAGTAGTTTTTTCCAATTCTGTGAAGAAAGTCATTGGTAGCTTGATGGGGATGGCATTGAATCTGTAAATTACCTTGGGCAGTATGGCCATTTTCACGATTTCGCAACCTACTCATCTGACAAAGGGCTAATATCCAGAATCTACAATGAACTCAAACAAATTTACAAGAAAAAAACAAACAACCCCATCAAAAAGTGGGCGAAGGACATGAACAGACACTTCTCAAAAGAAGACATTTATGCAGCCAAAAAACACATGAAGAAATGCTCATCATCACTGGCCATCAGAGAAATGCAAATCAAAACCACTATGAGATATCATCTCACACCAGTTAGAATGGCAATCATTAAAAAGTCAGGAAACAACAGGTGCTGGAGAGGATGCGGAGAAATAGGAACACTTTTACACTGTTGGTGGGACTGTAAACTAGTTCAACCATTGTGGAAGTCAGTGTGGCGATTCCTCAGGGATCTAGAACTAGAAATACCATTTGACCCAGCCATCCCATTACTGGGTATATACCCAAATGAGTATAAATCATGCTGCTATAAAGACACATGCACACGTATGTTTATTGCGGCACTATTCACAATAGCAAAGACTTGGAACCAACCCAAATGTCCAACAATGATAGACTGGATTAAGAAAATGTGGCACATATACACCATGGAATACTATGCAGCCATAAAAAATGATGAGTTCATGTCCTTTGTAGGGACATGGATGAAATTGGAAACCATCATTCTCAGTAAACTATCGCAAGAACAAAAAACCAAACACCGCATATTCTCACTCATAGGTGGGAATTGAACAATGAGATCACATGGACACAGGAAGGGGAATATCACACTCTGGGGACTGTGGTGGGGTCGGGGGAGGGGGGAGGGATAGCATTGGGAGATATACCTAATGCTAGATGACACGTTAGTGGGTGCAGCGCACCAGCATGGCACATGTATACATATGTAACTAACCTGCACAATGTGCACATGTACCCTAAAACTTAGAGTATAATAAAAAAAAAAAAAAAAAAAAAAAAACTGTCATTTTTCTGTTTCCCACTCACCACCATGTAAAATATTTTGGGCCTGGATACGTTTTACATATACTCTGCCACTAGGAGTTCTGCCTGTAGGAGGGAAAATAGAAAATGGAAGAGTAGATTAAGGATCTAAAAATAAGTTAGAAGTCAGCAGTTAAATTCCTAACACATCTGCAGAACTATGTATTAACGTTAACTCTCCTTAATAGATGAGTGTGGATGTCCTCCGTGGTTTTCTTCCACCTAGCTGACAGCGAGATGCAGTCTCTGAGGCATTTAGGATCTCCTGCCACTTAGCTTATTTAAATGGAAGATTTTTCTATGCATAGAGTTAGAGAATAATACCGAATAATACAGCCACTGTCTGTTTGCTTGATGGGGTGGAAGGTGTTTGTTTTTAAATGTTTGCCACAAGTCCTTATCCTGCTGTGGTGTTCTGAACTTGGCGCCTGAGGGTGATTCTGGCCTGTTCTTCTGTTAGGCTTCCTACGTAGGTGAGGTGCTTGTATTTGGGTGCAGGCAGGCATATGCATAAGAAAGTGAAAGACAATAAGCTTAAGGAAGACGTGTTAGTCTGGGCATTTGAGGGGATCATCAGGACTTTGGTCAGCATGGTACATGTTCTCGGTCCCCCCATGCCCACCTCCTAGAAAAGGAACTTTGGATGTCTGCCCACGAGCTCCAGGTGAAGGGGAGTGGGGAGGGCCAGGCTCGGGCCTGAGGAACCAGGGGGCCATGGTGCAGTCCTTCCATTTCCAGCCCATGCAGCCAGTGGAACCTTCTGGTGAATGTTGCTGTCAGGTGCCTGGAATCACCCTTGCTCGTTTCTGACCCTTCAGTGCACTAAATGGTACGGAATTTGTGTTATAACCCGGTCACTGACATTGATGAGATGACCTTGGGTAACCTCTTAGGTATCTTGGTTTCATTTGCCTTCCCTATAAAATAAGGCATAAGTGTAGCAGATTGGATGAGATCATTTTTTGAGGCACTTTCTTATCTTGAAGATCTGTGAACTTTTAAGTGGTCATCTTCAGTGTCATGTAAGATTTCAGAGCAAAAAGCAAATGAAATTTGAAGCAGAAGAATTGTAATAATCACATTGAAATTTAGCTGGTAGGGGTTATCCTTGAAAATGATCTCAGTATTTAATGGAACTTCTTTGCTTTTAGCTGATGATTTCAGCTCTCAGGATAATCTTGATGACCCAGAAGCTGGTGGATGGGATGCGACCTTGACTGGGGAAGAAGAAGAGGAGTTCTTTGAATTGCAGATTGTGAAGCAGCATGATGGGGAGGTAAGGAAAGCCTAACTTGGGATGGTCAGATGAAAAGTGGTTTCCTTAACCTCTCCTCGAGCTTTTTGAAACAATAAGGCAATCATGCCAGTACTTTACATTTCTCAAAATACATAAAGCAAAACCTTTCATCATGACTTCCAGAAGAATGGAGCTTGAACATCATATTACATCCATTCACCTTTTCCTTCCTTTCCTGGTAACTTGTACTGAGCTTGTGTGAGCAGTTCAGATCAGCAGCGGTCAGGAGCTTGAGGCTCTCTCTGTTCCTCAACCAGTGAGAGATGGAAGCAGGGGCTGCGGAAGTGCGTGGAGGTAAAATGGCACCAGGTTTGGGATTTGCTTTGGGATTTTTTTGTTTTGTTTTTGTTTTTAGATGGAGTCTTGCTCTGTCACCCAGGCTGGAGTACAGTGGCAGGATCTTGGCTCACTGCAGCCTCTGCCTCCCGGGTTCAAGTGATTCTCCTGCCTCAGCCTCCCGAGCAGCTGGGATTATAAGTGTGCGCCACCATGCCTGGCTAATTTTTTTTTTTTTTTTTTAGTAGAGATGGGGTTTCACCATGTTGGCCAAGCTGGTCTTCAACTCCTGACCGGAAGTGATCGCCTGCCTTGGCCTCCCAAAGTGCTGGGATTACAGGTGTGAGCCACTGTGCCTGGCTGGGATTTGCTTTGAAATCATTTTGTAAGGACTTTTTAATTTTTTTTTTATTGAGATGGAGTCTTGCTCTGTTGCCCAGGCTGGAGCGCAATGGTGCGATCTCAGCTCACTGCAATCTCTGCCTCCTGGGTTCAAGTGATCCTCTTGCCTCAATATCCCAAGTAGCTGTGAGTACAGGCACATGCCATCACACCTGGCTAATTTTTGTATTTTTAGTAGAGATGGGGTTTCACCATGTTGGTCAGGCTGGTCTCAAACTCCTGACCTCAAGTGATCTACTTGCCTTGGCTTCGCAAAGTGCTGGGATGACAGACATGAGCCACCGCGCCTGGCCAGGATTTATTAAAAAGGAAAAGAATAGGTGAAAGCAGTGTGGTGACATCTTGATTTTCATGGTTGAATCTGAGTGATGGGTATCTCACGGGAGTTTATTTTCTAATTTTGAGTATGTTTGAAAAATTATGAAATATATTCAGGAAGGAAAGCTGATATGTGATATTTGAGGACACATTATTACTTAATAGTGTCCCTAAGAAGCGAAACTTGAGTCTTGACAGTGAGGAGTCAGTCCGACACACCCAGCGGCTATGCATTCTGTAGAATAGTGGGCCGGCACCCTTCCAGTTCAGCAGGGTCAAGCGTGACAAGGAAGGGCCAAGGAGCTATTGCAGATTAGAGTAGACTAGAGAAACGTGACAACTAAAGGCAGTGTGTGGTTCCGGGATGGGGAAATTGAAAAATTTGAATAAGGGATTTTATATTAAATAATAGTGTATTCCTGTTAAATTTCCTAGATATTACTTTCAACTTACTTGAAAGTGGTTTAGCAAAAGTAATAATGTGTGTGTGTGAGTTGTGAGAAAGAGAAGCAAAAGTGGCCAAATGGTAGCAGTTGGTGCGTCGGGATGAAAGGGGTACAAATCACTCGACTGAATTTTTGCAACTTTTCTTGACATTTGAGCATTTTTTAATACAAATTTTAAAAGTAAGCCAGCCAGGATCATCATGCTCTATACTTTTCAGGCTAAGGTGATTGTGGCCACACTGTCACACTCCATTGTCTTTTCAGGGCAGCTGTCATAGTAGAACTTTGCTGGTGACTGGCATGTGCCCTTTCAGCCTGAGCCAAGGTGGTTTCCTTGAAAGAGTTTTCATGTTTCTGGAGAAGAGAGAAACCTGTTTCCTCTCTGTCTTCTCTCCAGGTGAAAGCAGAAGCCTCCTGGGACTCCGCGGTGCATGGCTGCCCTCAGCTCAGCAGGGGCACGCCCGTGGACGAGCGGTTGTTCCTGATCGTGCGCGTGACGGTCCAGCTCAGCCACCCTGCTGACATGCAACTGGTGTTACGCAAGAGAATCTGTGTCAATGTTCACGGCCGCCAGGTTAGTCTTCAGTGGAAGAAACGACTCTAACCACAGTTGCGACCTGAGGGTAGGGCCGTGCAGTGCTTGCTGTTAACCTTCTGTCCAAACAGGCTCCCGGAAGCACTGAGCTTTTCTTTTCCAGGTGACTGCTGCTGTCCTGTACCCATGCTTGCTTCAAGCCTCAGATGTGTCACTTGCTCCTGGACAGTATTTTTACACTGAATCTTTCTTAGGGCAGATTCACAAATTATGGTTATTCTTTTGGGTACCACACAACCCTGTCAAGGGCAAGGTCTGTGGTTTGGTTGTTGCCTTTTCATCTGGGCCCTGTCAAATGAGGAGTTTCCCTCTTACTCTGCTCTTTCCAGACTTTTTTTTTTAAGATAGAGTCTTGCTCTGTTGCTCAGGCTGGAGTACAGTGATGCGATCATAGCTCACTGCAGCCATCGTCTCCTGGGCTCAGGTGATCCTTCCATCTCAGCCTCCCCGGTAGCTGGGACCACAGACGTGTGCCACCACATCCGGCTAATTTTTTGTATTCCTTATGGAGACGGGGTCTCGCCATGCTGCCAGGGTGCGTTCCAGACCTTTTACCTCTTGCAGTCTTTGATTTGTATATTTGGCTTTGGGATAAAAAGGTGAATAAGAAATGAGCCCAGTGCAGTGGCGCACGCCTGCTCTCCCAGTAACTCAGGAGGCTGAGGCAGCAGGATTACTTGAGCCTAGGAGTTTGAGTCCAGTCTGGGCGATGCATCTCAAAAAAGAAACAAAAAGAAGTCTGTGTCCTTAAAGAGCCAAGTTGATTTGTGTAGGTAGATACGTAACAGGCAACTGCTCTCGGCCTGAGCTGAGCACGTGGTGCAGGTCCTCATCACTTGTGGTGAGAATGCAGGTAAGAGAAGGAAGAATTCAGCCCCAGGGAGTCGGGGTGGTGGGGGCGCTTCAGAGAGGAGGGCAGCGTTTGAACTGGGACTTAGAGAGGAGGGGCATTGGCCAGGCATAGTAGGAGGAGATGCAGTTCCGTGGACAGGAGGAAATACACATGCAGAGAGAGTGGGGAGGGCAGGGCAGGACGGGGCAGGATCGGGGACCGCGAGGAGCTCCATGTGCTGGGGGTCCTGCCTGTGCCAAGGAGCATGGCTCTCACATAGTTGCAGCTGGATTATGAAGGTCCATGTGCCATATGAAGGGGTTTAGTACAAAACTTCTAGGTAAGAATTTAAGGCCAGGTGTGGTGGCTTATGCCTGTAATCCCAACACTTTGGGAGGCCGAGGCAGGTGGCTCACCTGAGGTCGGGAGTTTGAGACCAGCCTGACCAACATGGAGAAACCCTGTCTCTACTAAAACTACAAAATTAGCTGGGTGTGGTGGTGGGTGCCTGCAATCTCAGCTACTCAGGAGGCTGAGGCAAGAGAATTGCTTAAACCCGGGAGGCGGAGGTTGCGGTGAGCCAAGATTGCACCGTTGCACTCCAGCCTGGGCAACAAGAGTGAAACTCTGTCTCAAAAAAAAAAAAAAAAATTCTTTTTTTTTACTGGTTTTGCAAATATAAAGATTTGGGAGATTGCGTCTGGGGATCCTTTTAACTGTCTTATCTCCCTTTTTTGAGGCATTCTCAATACACTGACTAAAACCAGTACAGATGAAAATCTTTTCATTTAAAAGAGCACAGTCATGGTTGACAGACTCCTAGATGTAATCTCCACCCCTAAAAATTAATCTTTAGTTCTAAATGTCACACTGATATCAATCTTTGAAATGAAGACTGGCGGTAATGCCATTAAAATTGCAGCTCTTTAGCTTGGCAATCCAACATCAATAAAATCCAGGTCACGGGGTTAGCTATAGATGTATACGGTATGCACCCATTCACTCTCTCTGTCTTCCTTTTCTCATGAGTCTGTGAGGGTTTGAAAAAGACACACTGCTCATGAGGAGCATTTTGAAGAGCGATTTTCCATTTCGGAATTAGACATCCTGGTTGCCAGGCCCTGGGACTGACCTGGCACAACCACCGGCCCTACAGGGTCCTTGACAGAAAAGGTACATTGTATAGTCGCCGCATGTTGCTTGGTTTTTGTTTCTATTGTAGGGACAATAGGTTGCCATATTTTTCTTTTTCCTGGTTGAAATGATGTGGAAGTATTTTTAAGGCATGCCATTTTCTCTCTCAATTTCAGATATTTCATTCCTAAGAATCGTCATGTGGAAGGCTCTCTTCTTTATAACAAGAATAGGACCTTCCACATGACCCTAATACACACACGTCAGCTTCACTAATTCCATACAAATGGAAAACCAAAAGGTAGGATAATAGTAGCATCTACATCTCCCTTCACCACCCCTAAGGACAGTGATCTCTATACCTTGACTTGTGTAATTAGCCTTGGCTCAGCACTGCAAGGCTAAAGTTAAGGGAGAGAATTAATGACATAAATGGTCTCTCTGCATTCTGAGATGCTATATTCTTTTAAAAATGTAAAGATCATTGAATATGAAATAAATCATCATTAGGTAGGTTTGTGAAATGATGTATGTCTAAGACCAAATAGCTTGGCTTTGCTCTTTTCTTGGGGGCTTCACATGTTTCTGCCATTCCTGTTGCATGGGGTGAAAGCTCGGTGCCCATTTCATGTGCTCTCCCCTTTACCTTTGTTCCCTGATGGTATTCTGCTCTCATCCCTGCTCTCTTCAACCTCTGCAGGGTGTTCAGTCTTAACAGCATCTTGAAATGAGTCATCTATGCATTAATTCAACAGTTCAATTCCTAACTGTGCAAAGAGCGCAGTCAGCATAAACAATGACCGTGCACTCTTAAATCATTCCTCATAACGATCTTGCTTTGGTCAAGAATTTAATGCCCGGACTTGTCAATATTCATGGTACGAGATGTCCATCGTGCTGGGGAGAAAAAAAGTGTAAGCATCACCAGTCGTTGCTTCCATCTTAGTTAGAAGGTCATTTTATTGTATGGAAGTCAACAAGCTTATATTTCTGTAGCATTGAAGCACCGTTCATCCAGATGCCTACTGCCAGTTTACAGACTTGGTGGTGTATACTTTTCCTATGTTGGGTGTAGGACCTGTCATACATGGTGGGCATCTAATAAGTTGGTTTCGTACCATAGGACAACGATGAAGAAACCGTACTTGGTGATTTCACTTGCTTATGTTGGAAACCTGCTCTGTTTTCTTTTGGTTAGAATGAACCAGTATTTTCCATGCTGTCTTTTGTTAATGTAAACTCAGTTTTTCAGGTGGGAAACCATATCTTCTATTTTGTTTTTCTCTAGGGTTTTGCACAGAGTCTCCTAAAAAAGATGTCTCATCGAAGTTCTATTCCTGGCTGTGGAGTGACTTTTGAAATTGTCTCCAATATTCCAGAGGTGAAGGATATACAATTTAAATTTACTAAAAATAAACACTTAAAAAGAGCCAACTCCCTGAAAAGTGACCTACCCATGACATACATATGAAGTGAAAGTGTATGTTTAGGGAAGGTATAGATTTTTAGAGGAATTTTCTAATATCAATTCATAGTAAAATGTACTTGTGGCTTTAAAAGTTCTAGTTTTAGTATTTTGTTGAAGAACTTTCTTTTGAAAAGCAAATCAACACCTTCTTACGCAGAAGGTGACAGAAGAGAAACATATTGTACCCAGGAAGGGAGGCAGCGTAGCATAGAGATTCCAGTTGGATCCTGAAGTCAAACAGAAATCTTGTTTCTGTCACTTATTAGCAGAGTGAACTTGCGTAAATTACTCTGAGCCCATATTTTTTTTTTCTTGTCAAATGGGGTTAGTAATATCTTTGCACAAAGTGTTTTTAAGGATCAAATGAGACAATGTGTACCAATTGTTGTGCGTGTGCTAGAGAACATGTTATTGCTACTATCGTTGTTACTATGATTATTATTTTATTAGTACTATTATTATTTCTCTTTCTGAACTAATTGAGATATTCAGAGGATTCAGAGAAGCAGAGCTTAAATTTATCCCTGGTACAAGCTTGATGGAAGATGTGGCTTATCTGTACTTCCTGATAGGTGATTCGTGAATTAGACATGTATTCATTCACCCAGGTGCCAGCACAGCTGGGAAATGGGGCATCCCTTGCAGGGCCAGGAGAAGTGAGGGTCCTAAGGGAAGGACTCTGTGAAAAGAGAAAATTCCTTCTCCCACCCTCACCCTCAAAGAGGGGATGTGGGCAAGGGGGTGGAGATTTCACTTCCTCGGGGTTGGAGAAGTGGGGGTGTGAGACATCAGAAGACGCCCCTCATACCATGCCATCAACACCAGCACCAGTTCCCGTCATTTCAGGGCTTAGGATTTGCCCACTGACACTGTTGAGTATTTGAACAATAGGTGAACAGTGTATATTTTAATACAGAAATCAGCTTTTTTTTTTTTTTTTTTTTGAGACTGAGTCTCGCTCTGTCACCAGGTTGGAGTGCAGTGGTGTGATCTTGGCTCACTGCAACCTCCGACTCCCGGGTTCAAGTGATTCTCCTGCCTCAGCCTCCCTAGTAGCTGGGATTACAGGCACGTGCCACCACGCCCAGCTAATTTTTGTATTTTAAGTAGAGACGGGATTTCACCACGTTGGCCAGGATGCTCTCAGTCTCCTGACCTCGTGATCCGCCCGTGCTGGGATTACAGGCGTGAGCCACTATGCCTGGCCGGAGATCAGCTTTTGGAAAAGAAAAATATTACATGGTACTTAGGCTTTCTTTTAGATATCTTGTGTTGCAAAATGCTTTTGCCTCTCAAGTCATGTTGGATAGTAACTAGTTCTTTCCTGGATCTTTGAAGTGTTAGACTTGCATAGTAAATATTAACCATCTAATTATTTAATTTGGAGTTTGCAGAACATTTAAAAATTAAGCCTGTTTGCAGAGTTAGTCGTTGCACGGTCTTGGGCCTGTAATAGATTGCTCTGTGTGCTTCATTCACTCTTGTTTGTAAGATTTAAAACAAGTATACATCTATGTCTAGCTAGAGACTTACTGTTTACTCTGTGTATCTAAACATTTTCTATATTTTCCAGTTGTTTCAGATCTTGTCTCTGTAAATCGCTTGAATGCAGTTGAGAAACGGTGATGGCTGTAGGAAACTGCTTTCATTTCTTCCTTTTCTCTCTCCATTTCCCCTCCCTTTTCCTTCTCTCCCACTTAGTTTCTTATGCCTTTTAAAAAAAGTGCTTTTATTCTCCAGGCGATAGGGTTTTAAAAGGAAAGAAATATAGGGGGGATCAGCTTGAAGATAAACATAACCTCATGTGAATTTGCTGTTAGTTAGCTAAACATCCAAGCTGGCAAACATTGTTTCCACATTATCAAATCCTGATGATAAAGGCAAAATGAAACATAAAGCTGATTGTGTAAAGACTAGATCTAAAAACAAAATAAAAAGATCCCTTAATAGGCAAGTTTCATCATGAAAAAGCCCCAAAAGTTGCTTGGGTTCTGTATCACAGAAGCCATTAGGGCATCATGGCCAAAAGAAGTGGCCCAGGCCAGAGACAATTTCTTTCTCCTTATAAAATTAGGATAATATCTGTTCCCTCCAGACCCTGAAAGTATTCTGTGTTGGGGTGAAAAGAATACCCTACCAGGAGACGGGAGACCTAAGTTCTAGTTTTGACTCTTGCTAATTGTGTGGTCTTCCTCTTGTCATCTAGGAAATGAGGATGATTCCTTCTTTTCATGGTTATTACAAGGCTCAGATGAATTACTGTACAAGACAAAAGTTTTTGTGAACTTAAGCCGTCTTACAAATCCTCCCACATTTTATCTGTTCTAAGACTCATTTAAATTTTTAAAAGTATCTTTGAAGTAGAATGTGTCTTATAATTGATGGTATCTTAAAATTAACAGAGTTTGTTTTCCCCTCAATCTTGTTTAAAATATTTTGTCTTACAGTTGATGGCATTTAAGATGCAGTGGCATATGGTTATACATTTTGTAGTTTTGGCATTATTATAAGAAATTTACAAGTGAATAAAGTATCTGATTTTTCCTGAGAACAGTAATTTGTTAAGAGCCCACTTTGCTTGAAATAACTAAATACATTAATAAAGCCTCTTTCTGACTGTGCACCTCCCATTTGTATGCACAGCCAGCTCACATCCCAGGATTGGGGATGGGCTATACCAGAAAGCTCAGTGTAGGAGAACTTACCTAGATAACCTCTCCTTGGTCGGCTCCAGGCCTTTGGCCACTGCCACTCGAGCAGAAGATTGAACCAATTCTAGAAGCTGCCATGTTCTGAATATGTCAGCTACCCTGGGCTGCTTGGTGGCAGGCGCTGAAACCCTATGTCCACTATCTTCTCCCTTCCGGGCCTCCTCCCTGGGAGGCAGTTTGATTCCTACGCTGTGTAGCAGTCACCCCAGCCCCTCTTCCCTTTCTCTGTCCCTCAGGAGTTCCAGGGCGGGGGTAATGTTCCTGAATTGTTTTTACGGTGGTTACATTTCTGGCTAGTCGACAAAATCCTTTCTAACCAGTCATGGGTTTTTTGTAGTGGGAATGTAGTAGAGAACAGTTTTGTTGAGAATGCGCTGTGTTTCAGCTGTGCTGTGTTTAAATTAACCAGCCTTTCAAGTGGACCTAGTCACCTAATCACCTTTTCATTATTTCCTTGGAAAAATGCTTTGGCGTTCCAAAGCTGACTTTAAAATGGAATTTTGGAATACGTTCTGTGTGTCTGTGTGTGCACGCGTGTACGTGTGTGTGTGTACATCAAGAAGCTTTTATAATGTATAACTTTCCACTGCTCAGGATGCCCAGGGAGTGGAAGAACGGGAAGCATTAGCAAGAATGGCAGCCAATGTTGAAAACCCAGCTTCTGCTGACTCGGAGGCTTATATTGAAAAGTACCTCAGGAGCGTGCTGGCTGTAGAAAACCTCCTGACTTTAGATCGTCTGCGCCAGGTTAGCCAACCGCATGGATAGGGCGGGCAGCAGAGGCCCTGATGCAGGCTGAGTCTGTGTTTGACTCTGTAATTCACAGTGTTGTTGCACCTAACATTTGAAGAGTTCACTCTAATGAACTTTGAATAATCCAGAGTGATTGTAATTGGGTCATTCTGTCTTACAAAGTAACAGCCTTTATTTAATTTTAAAAGTCTGTTTATGGGTACATAGTAGATGTATGTATTTATGGAGCTCATGTGCTGTTTTGATACAGGCATGCAGTACGTAATAATCACGTAACAGCATTGTTTAAATAGCTAGGAATGTCTGTATAGATGGGGGTTGCAAGTCTGCTGTACATGGTGTTGCTTTTGCAGTGTGTCTCTTACATGTCTTTTTCCTCTGTATGTTTTCTGATTCACAGGAAGTTGCAGTGAAGGAACAGTTAACAGGAAAAGGAAAGTTGAGCAGGAGGAGTATCAGTTCTCCAAATGTGAACAGAGTGAGTGTGTGGAACCAAGCTCTGTGCTGTGCCTGGGACTTCTCTCCTCTCCTCTTTTCTTGGGTAACTCTTCTCCACCCGTCAAACCCCATCTCCGAAACCCTTCCCTTGCCAGGACTGATGTCAGGGCCCCTGGTCTCCACCCCACTGGGTCTGTGCACCTCTGCCCCTGTTCCTACTAATATTATAGGGGAAGTAGCAGTTAAGTACCTTTCAGGTGTTTCTTATCTTCCGATCACCACTGCCTAGCATAGACTGAGGTGTTCAGTGAATGTTTGTGGAACTAAACCCAAACTAGCCACGGGCCTATGGCAAGCCAATGCCATTTTCTGGGCTTAGATTATTTTTAAGTTGAGGAGGAGTCTGGACCAGGTTCACAAACCAGTTGTTCACAAGACAGCCAGGGTGGTGTCCATGCGTCAGATACATGGGGTTGTTTCATAACAGTGGCTTCAGTTTATTGTTGTTTTTAAAAACCTATATATAATTTATGTGCATATTGAACATGGGAATAATCCTTCACAAAGAAATAGGCTCTTGGCCGCTTGATTACTCTTTTCCTCATTTTTGATGAAGATGTGGATATGAAAAATGATACTTTCCTCCTAACTTCACACCAAGAGAAGTTACAGCACAAGCATTGTGAGAAAGGGCAGCTGACCTTGGCCTTAGTGTCTGAGAGAGAAGAGAGAGTGATAGGAGGAGTTTCACGCTGGATGCCACCAACCATCTCAGACATTTAGGAAGATCACTTTAACTCAAGGCGGATAACGTCTCATTTATTCAGAAAATGATATATTAAAATACACTGACATATGCAGAGATTCAGTGTTTGGGATCTGATAGTTTAAATAGTTTGTGAGTTTATTTACAGTTGCTACAGATACCAAGAGAAAGGAATCATAAGCTCAGGCCATGGTTAGATAACAAGTAACCTGGTATCTTTCACACAGAAGGGCTCACCCAACGCGACATCTCTTGTTCAGGTCCAGCCGGTTGTGACCTCAGTGTGAACTGAATATCCAGATCTTATAGAAATCTCTCATCTGAAAATTGTTCATAACCAATTCAATGTTTGTAATGTCCCAAAGACCACTAGTGTGCAGCCTTCGTCATGACAACCTCTCTGCTGCCACCCAACTTTGACGTTCGGTTGACTGGGTTGGCAAAGACTGGCGTTGCCTAGACCACGTGTATGCTCTGATGCATAAATAACTAACCCCCCTTTCTTTCTTCTTCAGTTGTCTGGAAGCCGACAAGATCTCATTCCATCATACAGTCTAGGCAGCAACAAGGTAGGTGTTTTAACTATTTCTATCAGTGTTTTAAGTCCCATTTCCCATTCAGCTTTCATCTTCTCAAATCTCAGGTTATTTTTGCAAGCCAGAATTTCCTCTACTCATCTGTATTATGTGAAACTTACTTGAAAGTGTTTTAGAGTTCATTTCTTTTAATTTGCCAATTAAAATAAGGTTTATTAGACTCTGACTACTGGGGTTGAAAAACAATTTTTCTGCTAAAGCTCGTACTTCTGTCTAAATTTCCTTCCTATTTCTGTCAGAAAAGAAACTTCAGGCTGGGCGCAGTGGCTCACGTATGTAATCCCAGCACTTTGGGAGGCCAAGGAGGGCGGATCACGAGGTCAGGAGATCGAGACCATCCTGGCTAACACGGTGAAACCCCGTCTCTACTAAAAATACAAAAAACTAGTCAGGCGAGGTGGCGGGCACCTGTAGTCCCAGCTACTCGGGAGGCTAAGGCAGGAGAATGGTGTGAACCCCGGGGGGCGGAGCCTGCAGTGAGCCAAAATCGCACCACTGCACTCCAGCCTGGGCAACAGCGAGACTCTGTCTCAAAAAAAAAAAAAAAAAGAAACTTCAAATTAGATTTTGTGTGTGTGTGTGTGTGATGATGTTTCGCTCTTGTCACCCAGGCTGGAGTGCAATGACGCGATCTCGGCTTACTACAACCTCCGCCTCCCAGGTTCAAGCGATTCTCCTGCCTCAGCCTCCCAAATAGCTGGGATTACAGGTGCATGCCACCACACCCAGCTAATTTTTATGTTTTTACTAGAGACAGGGTTTCACCGTGTTGGCCAGGCTGGTCTCAAACTCCAGACCGCAGGTAATCCACCTGCCTCAGCCTCCCAAAGTGCTGGGATTACAGGCGTGAGCCACTGCACCTGGCCCAAATCAGATTTTTGTAGAGAAGTACTGATGTATAATGATTGAAAAATGTAGGAGGAATAAGAAAATTATATCTAAAAGTTAACATTATTTGTGAGAAGAAAGAAAAACAAGGGAACGGAAATTTTATTCGCTGGAATTTATTTATGTGTAATAGAGCCTTCCCTGTTTAGCAGAGTTTTAAGCATGGAGAACTCATTCTTTTTCAAAAAGGTTAGCACTCCTTGAAACTGTCTTACTTGGGCACCACACATCGTAGTTTGTGCCTGTCACTTTTGAGGGGTCTGGTTAGATGTTGGTACTGCCATCTGTGTGCAGCATGCCCCATGTTGATTTGCAGCCCTTGAGGAGGTCAGTAGTGGCTGTGGTCTTATGAGATGGTCTGATGTGAGGGAGTCGTTTTCAAATCTACGAGGCAGCGTGACAGAGACAGAAGATTGGCTGCTTCATGATAATTCTTAAAGCTGAGTGGAGTTCATTGTGCTATTCCAATTGTTAATTATTCTACACTGTGCTTTTGTGTATGTTTGACATTTCCCTTATAAAAACTTAAGAACAATGAAGATTAAGTTGATGCATTAATTAGACTTTTTTTTTTTTTTTTTTTTTTTTTTTGAGACAGAGTTTCGCTCTTGTTGCCCAGGCTGGAGTGCAGTGGCAGCATCTCAGCTCACTGCAACTTCTGCCTCCCAGGTTCAAGTGATTCTCCTGCCTCAGCCTCCCCAGTAGCGGGGATTGCAGGCACTCGCCACCACGCCCTACTAACTTTTGTATTTTTAGTAGAGACGGGGTTTCACCATGTTGGCCAGCCTGGTCTCGAACTCCTGACCTCAAGTGATCTGTCCGCCTTGGCCTCCCAAAGTGCTGGGATTACAGGCATAAGCCACTGCTGCTGGCTGTAGACTCTTTTAAGATCTAGATTATTAGTAGTTTGCCTACACTATGATACATGTATATGTTTGTAGACATACAAATTGCTGTCCAGCTTATCCGTTCACTGGAGCCCTGCATGGACACGGGTTTCTGTAAGTGTGCTGAAGTTTAATGCTTGTTTGTACTCTGCCAGTGATAGGTTTGATTAGCTGTAGCTTAGCATCAGTTGTGATTACCTGAAGAGAGCAGAGTTTTTGAAAATTGATTGTACGTGACTTTTTAATGTAAGTAAAATATCTTAAGGAAAATATAAGAAAAACATGACTTCCTGTGCTTTTGTGGAAAATGTATCTAACCCAAATCTCCAATTATAAGTTCCTTGAAAGAAGTGGCCAAAATTCTTCTGTTTTTCTTCTGTTAAGAAAACTCTGGCCAGGCCTGTAATCCCAGCACTTTGGGAGGTTGAGGCAGGTGGATCACCTGAGGTCAGGAGTTCAAGACCAGCCTGCCCAACATGGTGAAACCCCGTCTCTACTAAAAATACAAAAATTAGCTGGGTGTGGTGCCAGGCGCCTGTAATCCCAGCTACTCGGAAGGCTGAGGCAGGAGAATTTCTTGAACCCGGGAGGCGGAAGTTGCAGTGAGCCAAGATCGTGCCACTGCACTCCAGCCTGGGCGACAGAGCGAGACTCTGTCTCAAAAAAAAAAAAAAAAAAAAAAAAAACCAAACAAACTCTGCCCAGTTTCCTTATTTTAAATGGATACAATAACAGAAAATAATAGAATCTACTTCAAAGAAAAGTACTGTCCCTCACGTGCACCAGAAAAATAGGACAAAGGAGCAGAGATGCTATTAGAACCCAGCCAGGGCATGGCAGAGGGCATGGACCCCCCACTGGCTTCACACAGGACTCACAGGAGGCTGCAGGGCAGAGGCCATTCTTAAGCCTCCCCCTGAAGGATGACACTGAGGTCCACACAGGCAGGAAAGGAGCTGAAGGAACACTGTGAGCAGAAGGATCTGTGTGAACGAAGGCTTGGGGATGAACCAGGTTGCTGTGTTCTTGACAGTACATGCAGTGGGAGTCAAGCTCAGAGTGTACAGGCCGGGCGCGGTGGCTCATGCTTGTAATCTCAGTAGTTTGGGAGGTCCAGGTGGGAGGATGGCTTGAGCCCAGCAGTTTGAGACCAGCCTGGGCAACATAGGGAGTCCCTTTCTCTGCAAAAAAAAATTTAAAAAATTAGCGAGGCAATATGGCTTATGCTTGTAATCCCAGCTATTCGAGGCTGAGGCAGGGGAGGATCACTTGAGCCCGGGAGTTTGAGGCCACAGTGAACTATGATTGCACCATTGCACTCCAGCCTGGGTGACAGAGAGAGACCCTGTCTTCCAAAAAAAAAAAGGAAAAAAAACCATCCTGGCTAACACAGTGAAACCCCATCTCTACTAAAAATACAGAAAATTAGCCGGGCGAGGTGGTGGGCACCTGTAGTCCCAGCTACTCGGGAGGCTGAGGCAAGAGAATGGCGTGAACCACGGGGGGCGGAGCCTGCAGTGAGCCGAGATCGCGCCACTGCACTCCAGCCTGGGCGACAGCGAGACTCTGTCTCAAAAAAAATAAAAAATAAAAAAAAGAAAAAGTAGAGGGAGTCTGTGGGCAGAACCCAGAGAGGCGGGGCCTTATTTTTGGCATCTTGACGTCATGTCCCAAGGAATGGCAGGGGAGTTGGACACCATGGAAGGACTTGAAAACAGAGCAGTAATATGACCACATGTGAATTAAAAAGTTTGTTTTAATGGTCCAGCTGAGCCCCACCCCGTCCCTAGCTGTGGTGTGTAATTTTGCATTAGGAAACTATATGGTACAAATGTATGCAGTTATCAATGCAAACGTGGGGAAAAATGGTTTTGAGTTGGAGAGTGGAGGGACCGGTTAGGGGAGAAATAGCCAGAGAGATGACGAGAGACACAGATGGGTTGGAGAGGGGTACTCTAGAATCCTGCAGAGGCCAAGTATGTGACGGGCTGGAGTGAGGGGACTTGGGTGACATCGGGTTTTGGACAGCAGTGTATAGGTCCGAGAGATGAACTATAGGGCAGGCTTGGGGAGGAAATGATTCAGTTCCATTTTCGAGGGTCTCAGGTGTCCGAGTTGAAGCCAGGTTTGGGAGCCCGAGGGGATAGTGGGGACAGTGTGGGGCGGGGTTGGCTGGGGAGCGCCGAGGCAGTGGTGACACTTAGGGCCACTGAGGTGCACTGAGGTGGCGGCGCCAGGGAGGAATGAAGACAGGGCCAAGGGAGTCTCAGAAGTCCAGGGGAGGAGTGTTTTAGGAAGGACTCCATCCACATGCTTCGGAGACAGCATGGGGTGAGGATGGGGGGAGACCATTTCAGGTGCAACGCTGCAGGGCTCATTGTGTGCCTGTGCAAGGTGCCTTCCGTGCAGGGCTGGGGATTAGCAAGACAAATCGTATTAGGCAAGTAACTGTGATGTCTCACAGTTGTGTTAACGCTTCTGGACCTTCCTACTTTTCGTTCTTGGTTCCTTGGGGTCCCCGAGTAACTTAGTGAGGACGTGGGAGGCGAGAGGAAAGTGGTTCGGTTCTAAAGAGGAACTCATAGTTTGGTCTAATAATACTTGGAATGAGGCCAGCCTGCTTTCCATTCCTCTATTTGTCGATGCCCCTACATATGAAAAGTGGAATTGTTTTTGCTGAACTCCACCAAGATTGAATTGATGAACTAATTAATCTTAAAAAATAGTTTTGTTAACTATTCCAAATGCGAAATTCACCATAGGGCCTAAAATAAATCACTCTTGGGATAAGTCTTTCAATTAAAAATATAAAATATGATCCCTGATGGAAGTAGTGTTTCTATTTATTGCTATCGTGTGTTTCATCATTATTGTACAGATATTTTCTCTAGGTATAATGAAACCTTAGCAGGCTTTTTATGACTGTCTGCCAAGACCGGCTGAAGTTGAGGTGCAGGATGAATTTCGGCGTGTCGTTGGTCTTTCCACCCTGGAGTCAGCTGTGCATTGAGGTCTTTTGCAATGTGACAAATGCTGTCAAGACAAAATCATTTTTTTTGTTATTGTTGTTTTACTTGTTTTTTTTTTTTTTTTTTGAGACAGAGTCTCACTCTTTCGCCCAGGCCGGACTGCAGTGGCGCTATCTCGGCTCACTGCAAGCTCCGCCTCCTGGGTTCAAGCCGTTCTCCTGCCTCAGCCTCCCGAGTAGCTGGGACTACAGGCGCCCGCCACCGTGCCTGGCTAATTTTTTGTATTTTTAGTAGAGACGGGGTTTCATCATGTTAGCCAGGATGGTCTCGATCTCCTGACCTCGTGATCTGCCTGCCTTGGCTTCCCAAAGTGCTGGGATTACGGGCGTGAGCCACCGCACCTGGCCGACAAAATCATTTTTATTTCCAAAGTTATTTTAGGAGAAATTTTATTTTTAAGAAGTCAATAAGGTTGTATGTTTGTCATCTTTTGATTGGAGTTTTTGAGGAAATTAAGATTAGTCAATAGCATGAACAAATACCCAGTTAGCAGAATTGAATTTTGTGTTGGCTCCATCGCCTTCCTGAAAGCCGTGATGGTTTCACGCAGCCCTGGGAGGAGATGCCAAGCATGAGTCACTCCTCTTCCAGCTGCAGTGAAAGCTGCCATTGGACCCGAAATGTCACTGGCACTTCTCGTTATTTACCTTTTTGTCACTTTCCTGATCAAAACCAGACTCATTCCCAGAAAACCCAAAGAATCCGTATCTGGCAGAGGAGCAGGAGTGGGAAAAACTGCATGGGTCCCTGGGGACCAAGTCAGGCCCTCCCCGGAGCCTCCGGCGTTCTTACTTTGTCCACTTTGCCCCTGAGCATGGTGCTGCCTACCAGTGACTTCAGTATCGACTAGGATTTTATCTCTTTGAGTCTGCCGGTGAGGACAAATGTGCCCTAATGGCAGTAAAGCTGGGTAAGGATCCAAAACAAAGCCAGCTTCCCTCTGTGTAACTGTATCATGGCTGATTCTGAAGTGTGGTAGACATGCAGGATGTTGGAGACAGATCAGAGATTTATCTTTTTCGATTTCAGGTGGAGGGGTGTAGATTACTGGAGGAGAAGTAAAACAGGGATATCATACTCTTTCACGTTTAGACCTGAGCTATTGAGAGAGCCAGAGGTTTCCTGCGAAGTCCTTTTTAGTCCATGGTCCTGAGTTCATCTCCCTGTGAAGTACATTGAACTGGGTTGCTTCATTTTTCTTTTTTTTTTTTTCTTTTTTAATCTACCCCAACATTTTAGTAAAGGGAGGATAACTCTAGGACAGCTAAGCATATACAACATATTGGGAAGATAGTCATTGCGTTGTCCCTGGGGAACAGTGTGTGTAGCCGGACCCTGAACCACACTTTTCACCTCTGTCAAGAGGATGGAGGTTGTAGTGCAGGAGAAAAATCGAGTGAGTAATTCCAGTGGAGTGTTTCCGCAGAGATTCGTAGGCGTCAGCTGGAGGAGGGAAGCGCGTGGTACCCAGTTTAGCATCTGCATTGGTTGCTCCCTCTGAAGCAGAGCCTGTTCCATCCCAGCGCGATTTGAGGTCCCTGTCTCAGGACAGTGGGATCAGAATAGGTGGGGTTGCGGGGGGAGCATGTGAGGTTCCTCAAGGTTAAGATGACTGTTCAGGTAGAGGGCAGAGTGAGCCGTGTCTCTGTTTGTCACGCTCTGCAGGGCTGGCAGGATCTACGCATTGTGTATCTTTCAGTGTTCTCACTTTCAGTATTTGAGTAAATGAGATGGAGTTACTGCTCTGTTCTGATTGGGTAGTGCCTGCTGGGAAGAACTGCCCCTGAAGCCATCGGGGCCTGGGTGTGCCTTGGGGAAGAGGTGGCACCTCCATAATTTGTCGTTGGCCCAATTCTACGTCAAGCAGCCCAGGTGCCGACTCCAGATCAGCGGCTTAGTTTTCCTGAGGGACAGACCGCAGCCATATCAGCTACCAAACAAAGAAAATCTAAAATATGAAACAATACTCTCAAATTAAGTAAGTTGTCTTCAGAACAGCCATGTGTGAGCTCGCCACTGTACACAAAGCAGGTGGCTTTTCTTCCTCTGAGAAACTCCATGGAGGGCTGATCTTAGTGTTCAGTCACCTGATGGTGATATCCCCGGGTATACAAGGCCGCAGCTTCCCAGACAGATCATGAAATTTGAATGCAAAAATTAACAAAACATTCAAGTATGTAAATCAGCGTATGATTCATGGGGATGCCAGCGCTCCTCCGCTGAAGTATTTCAGAGCTTACGTTCTCGATGATCACGTGTTGCTCTCTCCCTTGTTCTCCTTGCTTCCTAATCAATCCTGACCATCACACCATTTTTAAAAAGGATACCAAGTGCTGAGAGAGTTCCTAGGGAAAAGTGGCATTCTCTGAGGTGCGCAGGACCCAGATCACTTAGGGCTTATTGATTTTTATGATTAGTACTTAGGTCGCTGCTAAAAGCAGATGGGTTTCCAATACATTTCTGAAACCTAAGAGGCCCTTCCTCCACAATCCATCTTCAAGAGCAGTGGAGAACTCACTGTCCCCATTTCGCTGATCAGGCAATTAGTAAAGAAAACTTGCCAGGCGCGTTGGCTCACGCCTGTAATCTCAGCACTTTGGGAGGCCGAGGCGGGCGGATCACCTGAGGTCAGGAGTTCGAGACCAGTCTGACCAACATGGAGGAAACACCCCCTCCATCTCTACTAAAAATACAAAATTAGCCGGGCATGGTGGCGCATGCCTGTAATCCGAACTACTCAGGAGTCTAAGGCAGGAGAATCGCTTGAACCCAGGAGGTGGAGGTTGCGGTGAGCCGAGATTGCGCCAATGAAACTCAGTCTCAAAAAAAAAAAACCTCGAGTTAATCATTAGGATTATTCATCTGTGCAGCACTAGCTCAAACTCATATTGCACACGATTATTAAACTCCAGTGGTAAAGAAGTCAGTGATTATCAGGGGATCAAAGGGAACTTAAAGCATTTAAAAGATTTACATCTCATCTCTTATCAGTTTTAGTACAAGCAACATTTGGGGTTTATTTCTTCCCTAGATAGGGCTGAAGTTAAAAGTGCTTTGATGGTATCACTATTTTTATGGCTCACCATGAATTTTGGAATGGTCTTTTAATCTATCAACTGATGAAATGTCTTTAATGGGAATTTACAAATAAGTTGAGAATACAATAAAATTTGATAATTCAGAGACTTCCATCATTGAGAATTTGTAATTATTTGACTTGGGTTTGACTGTAATTTATCTTTAATATCTATTTAAAATGAGAGATTTGGTAATATTTACTGTTATGCACTATATGTGAGTCAGTGGAAACACAGTCTGGGAGTAGAGAGAAGAGACACCCTCTGACTATAGAGTTGTTCGTGGGTTTCTGTGGAGAACTGAGTGAAAAAGGGTATCTTGAGGCAAAAGAGCAGAAGTGGTCTCAAAGCAGAACCGAAGGGAGAATTGCAGAAGGAATACGTCTGTATTCTGTGGGAGGCAACAGGATGCAGAGTAGAAAACATGTTAGGACAGAGCTTAATGGGAGACTGTAAACTGCAGTATGGAGGGGCTGTCCAAATGTGTGTGGGGGGGTATGATTATTATTGTTGGAGAAATTAATAAAATAAGCAGGATGACAAGTAGAAGAAAAGTGCTGATCGGGCATGGTGGCTCACACCTGTAATGCCAGTACTTTGGGAGACCAAGGAAGGAGGATTGCTTGATGCTGGGAGTTTGAGTATGGGCAACATAGTGACATCCCGTCTCTACAAAAGTAGTAAAAAGATTAGCCTCATGTGGTGGCATGTAGCTGCAGTCCCCACTGCTATGGAGGCTGAGGCGGGAGAATTGCTTGAGTCTAAGAGTTAGAGGTTACATGCGCTATGATGGCGCACCCCTGCACTCCAGCCTGGGTGACAGAAACTCTGTCTCTTAAAATAGAAAAAAAAAGTGCTGATGTAATCAAGCTTATATTCAAAGGAGCTTTAGTAATATATAACAGTTTTTTTTCTTGAGTATCTGTAATTTTTTTTTGTTTGGTTAATTGAATAACTTGAAACAAAATTGCCAATTTTGTCTTTACTAGGGCCGGTGGGAAAGTCAGCAGGATGTATCCCAAACCACAGTTTCCAGAGGAATAGCTCCTGCCCCCGCCCTCTCTGTTTCTCCCCAAAATAACCATTCTCCAGATCCAGGTAAGTTATCTTTTCACTTGTCAATTACTGTCAGAAATCTGAGCATCTTTCAGAAAGTTTAAATTAGAATTTCCTGCCAGGCAGCCACTGTTCTGCTAGATAATGTCCATCGAGTTGTTTCATTTCTCCTCTTAACAGGTTGAGTTCCATTGGCTCTGGAATGTTGGATTGATCTTGCATTGCTCTGATATATACCGCCTGATCATGATGTGTTAGCCGTACATTGCTGGAATCTCTTTGCACCTCTTTTTTAAGGACTTTTGTGTATGTGCTCTATAGTAAATATCTGTAATGTTTTATCTTCTCATCTTCATGTCTTTGTTAGGTTTTGTTATGATTGCATTGGCTTCATAAAACGACTTGGGAAATGTTTCTCCTCATTTTTTTTTTCTGGGAGAGTTTATGTAAGATTAGTATTACCTCTTCCTTAAATGTTTCATGAAATTCCGTAGTTACATGATCCGGGCCTGGAATCCTCTTTGTGGGGAGATTTTAAATTATGACTTGAGTTTCTTTTTTTTTTTTTTTTTGAGACAGAGTCTTGCTCTGTCACCCAGGCTGGAGTCCAGTAGTGCAATCTCGGCTCACTGCAACCTGCCCCTCCCAGGTTCAAGTGATTCTCCTGCCTCAGCCCCCCAAGTAGCTGGGATTACAGGCGCCCACCACCACGCCTGGCTAATTTTTGCATTTTTAGTAGAGATGGGGTTTCACCACGTTGGCCAGGCTGGTCTCAAACTCCTGATCTTAGGTGATCTGTCTGCCTCAGCCTCCCAAAGTGCTGGGATTACAGGCGTGAGCTACTGCACCCGGCAAGTTTATTTAGTATGGGAATATTTAGATCTTTGTGTCTCCTTTTGAGTCACCTATCATAGGTTATATTTTTTTCAAGGAGTTTCTTAGTTTATCTAGATTATTAAGTTTATTTTCATAAACATCACTTACTTTTTTTTTTTTTTTTTTTTGAGATGGAGTCTGACTCTGTCGCCCAGGCTGGAGTGCAGTGGTGCGATCTCGGCTCACTGCAACCTTTGCCTCCTGGGTTCAAGTGATTCTCCTGCTTCAGCCTCCTAAGTAGCTGGGACTGCAGGCACGTGCCACCATGCCAAGCTAATTTTTTGTATTTTTAGTAGAGACGGAGTTTCACCATGTTAGCCAGGTTGGTCTCTATCTCCTGACCTTGTGATCTGCCGGCCTTGGCCTCCCAAAGTGCTGGGATTACAGGCATGAGCCATCGCACCTGGCCACTTTACCTTATTTTTTAAATACTTATAGGATCTCTTGTGATGTTCCTTCTTTTTATTCTGATACTGATAATTTGTATTATCTGTTTTGAATACTTTTCTGACAGGTTTATCATATATATTAATCTCAGAACCAGTTTTTGGCTTTTTCTATTGCAATTGATTTTTTAAATTTTTCTGCATTTCACATATTTTGGTATGTTGTGCTTTCATTTTCATTCTATTCAGAGTATTTTAAAATTTCCCTCTGATTGCTTCTTTGATCCATGACTTATCAACTAGCATTAATTCTTTTTTATTTTTGGGGGTAATCTGTATTCCAGATTGTGTTCTATCTTGGTTAATATTCTATGTGCACTATTGTGTTTGGGGACATGATGTTCTATGTATATCTAATTAGGTCACTGTGGTTTATTGCCTTGTTCAAATCCTCTGGATCTTTGCTGATTTGGTGGAGGCCTATTCCATCAGTTCTTGAGAGGGCATTAGATATCCAAATATAATTGTGAAAATTATATGTGTTTCCCTTTATACCAGTTTTTACTTCATTCATTTAGAAGCTCTGATAATTAGCTTCTAATTATTTAAGATTGTTATATCTTCCTGATATAACACATTTAAGATTGTTATATCTTCCTGATAGAGTGGCCTATCATGAAATGTCCCTTTTGTCTCTGGGAATACTCTTACCTTGAAATCTCTCTTACCTATCATTTATATATAACTGCATCAAATTTATTTACTGTTTGCACGATGTATCTTTTTCTTGGCTTTTAAAATTTTAGCCTGTGTTTGTCTTTAAATTAAAAGCGATTGCCTTGTAGACAACATTTGGTTGGGTCCAGTTATTTCCCCCTGAATCTCATCTCGTAGTTCCTGCCCTTCAATCGGCATGCTTCACGAACCCTTCCATTGCCTCCCATTCTGGTCCGCCATATTTTTATTGGTTTTCTGCTTGGCCATTCTGTTTTTTGTTTCACTGTAACTCCTTATTTACCTTCTTTTGGGTTAATAAACAAAAATTAGTATCTCATTTTATTTCCTCTTTTTGCTTTTTTGGACACCTGTATTTGTT
Source organism: Homo sapiens (assembly GCF_000001405.40). Classification (NCBI taxonomy): domain Eukaryota; kingdom Metazoa; phylum Chordata; class Mammalia; order Primates; family Hominidae; genus Homo; species Homo sapiens. The sequence continues at coordinate 29,096,816 of NC_000008.11, read as the reverse complement.
TGCTAAAGTCTTTGCTCAGAAACCCTACTTGGCATCCTTAACTTATCAAATCGCTTAGAGTTCATATGACGTCACCCCTCACCTCACAAATACAGGAACCATGCAACAGTGTAAGTCATTGACCTGTTCCTCTGGGCCCCTCATTTTGTACTGTTGTTTCATCTTCTACATATATAGGTATTCAAACCTCACTTTATGACGTTATTCTTTTTGCTTTAAAATAGCCACCTGTAGGCCGGGTGCGGTAGCTCCCACCTGTAGCCCTAGCACTTTGGGAGGCCTAGGTGTGGGTTAGTTGAGACCAGCCTGGGCAACATGGCAAAACCCCATCTCCACAAAAAAATACAAAAATCAGCTGAGCGTGGTGGTACACACTTGTAGTCCCTCTACTCAGGAGGCTGAAGTGGGAGAATTACCTGAACCTGGGAGGTTGAGGCTGCAGTGAGGCACAATTGCATCACTGTACTCAGGTCTAGGCGACAGAGTGAGATCCTTTCTCAAAAAAAAAAAAAAAAAAAAAAAAGAAAAGCTTGGGCTGGGTGCAGTGGCTTACGCCTGTAATCCCAGCACTTTGGGAGGCCAAGGCAGGGGGGATCACCTGAGGTCAGGAGTTCAAGACCAGCCTGGCCAACATGGGGAAACCCCTGTCTCTACTAAAAACACAAAAATTAGCCAGGTGTGGTGGCAGGTACCTGTAGTCCCAGCTCCTCCGGAGGCTGAGGCAGGAGAATCACTTGAACCTGGGAGGCAGAGGCTGCAGTGAGCCAAGATCACGCCATCGCACTCCAGTCTGGGTGACAGAGTGAGACTCTGTCTTAAAAAAAAAAAAACAAAAAACAAACAAAAAAAAACACTACTTGTCTTTTGAGAGAATACAGAAAAAATGGATAATCTTTTATGTTTTGTTTTTTGTTTCGTTTTGTTTTGTTTTTTTCAGATTATTTCTGGCAGTATCCAGTCTTTCCTGAAGGTCTTATTTTAATCTGATTTTATTTCTTTTTAGCCTGAAGAATATTCTGTAGTTTTGTTTTGTTTTGTTTTGTTTTTTTGAGATGAAGTTTTGCTCTTGTCGCCCAGGCTGGAGTGCAGTGGCCTGATGTTGGCTCACCACAACCTCTGCCTCCCGGGTTTAAGTGATTCTCCTGCCTCAGCCTCCCAAGTAGCTGGGATTACAGGCATGTGCCACCACGCCTGGCCAATTTTTGTATTTTTAGTAGAGATGGGGTTTCTCCATGTTGGTCAGGCTGGTCTCGAACTCCAGGCCTCAGGTGATCCACCCGCCTCGGCCTCCCAAAGTGCTGGGATTACAGGCGTGAGCCACCGCACCCAGCCTAGTATTTCTTAAGAGTACAGTCCTCCTGGAGAAAAATGCTCTCCTTTTTTGAAAGTATCTTTATTTCACTGTTTTGTTTTGTTGTTGTTTTAAGAATATTTTCACTGGATAGAGAACTCTGAGTTGGAGGTTTTTTCTTTTAGCACTTCAAAGATGTTTCCTCATCTCCAGCTCCTTCTTTTCTGCTGAGAATTCAGCCATCATTTGTCACCTCCCACTCAGTGTGGTATCTTTGTTTGGTTCACCTACTTTCAGAAGTTTCTCTTTATCTTTGTGGTAACTGTACTATGATTTGCTTAGTTATCATTTTCTTAGTATTTAACTTGCTTATCAAGTTATTGGATCCGTAAATTGATGTTTTTCAGCAATCGTGAGAAATGTTTAGACATTATTCATTAAAACTTTTCCCCCATCCTTTTCTCTCTGCTCTTTCTGAGAATCTAATTACTCATAGGTTAGATTGTTTAATATTGTCCTACAGGTCACAGAGGCTCTGTTCTTTTTTTTTTTTTTAATCTTTTTATTTTTTCTAGTTGGATAATTTTTTTCTGTGATTTCCAGGGCTCTGTTAAGCACATCCAGGGAATTTTTTCATTTCAGTCATTGTTTTTTTTTCAGTTCTAGAATTTCCATTTGCTGCTGCTTTTCTAGTTTTAATTTCTCCGCTGATGTTCCTGGTCTGTGCACTTGTCAAGACTGTATTCTCCTTTGCATCTTTGGACTTGGTTAAGAAAGCTGCCTTAAAGTCGTTGTCTGTTAAATCCAGTATCTAGACATCTCATGGTCTATTTTTATTGATTCCTTTGTTGACCGTGGGTCATATTTAATGTTTTACCAAATGTATTTGTATATATCCATGTGATTCATACCCCAGTCAAAATATAGGACATTGACATGACTCCAGTTAATTCCCATTCCCTGTGGTCAGCCAGTGTTCTGACGACTACTTCTCTAGATTACTTCTGCAGTTTCATAAATGGGGCCATATGATGTATGTCCTTTTTGTGTCTGTCTCTTTTGCTTACCATACGTGTTAAATTTTCCCAGATTGTTGATTGCATTAGTCATTTATTTTTTATTGGTGAGAAATACTTCACGACCATGCATTGTGTTTGTTGAAGAAACTAGGTTCTTGTAGAGTAGACTGGCACAGTAGGCCAGGTTCTTGCACAGCAGATTCTGTTCATTCTTACTTTTCCTGTTGTGTTCCCGTGAGACTGTTGAAACGCAATTCTGTCCCCTGTATTGCCTGTGAACTGGTAGGTAGAGCTAGATCCTTGATTCGATTCAGCTGATTTGAGAAGGATGCATGTGGTAGGGTGGGTGGGTGTGGATGTGTGGTCGGGAGGTTGGAGACACATAATGTCTGATGGTCTCATTTAGTGATATGTGCGGCCTTTGATTCATTACTGGCTAGATTTTTACTTAATGAGGGATTGTCCTTACTCTAGAATGTTAGTTTAATTTGATACAGAACTCTAGATTGTAATTTTTTTCCTCATCTTTGAAATAATTGTATATTTTTGGATCTTTATTCATCTTAACCCTATTTTATTTTCTGTCTCCTCTCTTATTTTTCTCATCCTTGTTTTTGTCTTGCTGTAAATAATTGGACTTTTCTAAACTGAGGTATGATGTATCTCTCGGCTCGGTATAGCCATCTCTTTGCTTTTTTATTTTTCAGTGGTCGCCCTCATGATTACAATGTACATCTTTAACTTTTTGCCGTATACTTACACTTAATATTCTACTGCTTTATGTAAAATGTAGAAACCTTACAGCTGTATCCATCCATTTACCAACTGAATTGCCAGTAAGTTTGGAATCCTTTCAGGGTTAGTGTGGAGAAGAGATCTGGGGGGAGTTGTGTGCATCTGTTGAGGCAAATGTATTCCTTAAGGTGACTTGCTTGTTCATTTCTAAATGTTGTGTGAATACGGCTTTTTATCACTTATGACTTGGGATTAGATTTTACTATAAATTAATAGGGGGAAGAAGTCTTAGTATATCATAAGTATACCTGTCTGTACCTCTGATCCCAGTCTTTGGAAATTAACAGCAGGTAAGAACGTAAGTTGTTCAGGGCGTCTCTCCCTGACTTTTAACAAACAACTCAAACACTACCCTTTACCCTTTTCCCAAAAGGTCAGTTTCATCATCTTCCTTCAGTAGTTATGAAAAATTAGATTGAATAAGACATAGTCCCTGACTTCAAAGAGCTTAAAGTCTAGACAAAGAGCTATACATCTGTGTCATTGGCAGTGTGACTTAAAAACCAATCCCATTTTATTCTAGGGCAGAAGTGAATGCTTGTGCCAATTAGTGACAGGATAGAGGTGAATTACTGTTCTGATGCTGATAGGAACACTGCATACTAGAGCATTTTGGCAGCACCCCAGTTACTGCTATTTAATTGAAAAAGAGACATTACTATGTTTGAGGGAAATTATGTAAACTACAATAATACTGTGTTTCTCTAATATTTTTTAAGGATACCTTTGGTTTTTGTTAGATTTGCTGACAAGTGATGTCTGTCAAATGTACAGGAAAGAAGATGTCTATGTAATTGTATTTGTTTTATCTTTTTCCCCTGTAATATGGGCAGGACTCAGTAACCTTGCAGCATCCTACTTGAATCCTGTCAAATCCTTCGTGCCGCAAATGCCAAAGCTCCTCAAGTCTCTCTTTCCCGTCCGCGATGAGAAGAGGGGCAAGCGGCCGTCTCCCCTCGCACACCAGGTAAAAAGCACCGAGAAAACAGCTGTGAACGTTTTTCTAATAAAGCGGTGCTCTGTGTTGCGCCAAAGCTGGAGGTGGAGGTGCGGCCTCTGGGTTGGGGCTAAACTGGGTTTTTAAACCCAGAAACAGCTGTCGGTCTTTTCTCCGCCACTCTCTTCAGAGATAACAGAGCTGTTTAAACTTACGGACACACTCCTTCCTTTCTGCTTTTAAGAAGTGCCAAGGACACTGCTAATGTGATGTATGGTAATAACACTTAGAGCAGCGGTAGTAAAATTTATGAAGTGCACTTAGCATTGTTTGTGTATTGCCAAGTAGAAAATGTAATTCTATTTTTATTTTTTGATTTCATTTGTTTTTTCAAACAATTTTATATCATGAGTGCCCTTCCCTCTCAACCTCTGTTTTCTCTGCTGTGGATAACCTGTTCTTTCACTGAAAAGTGATCACCTGTCTTATATCCTTTTCTCTTAAAACTCTTTACCCAGCTCTAGGGTAAGTGTTAGAGCAAATGCGAAAAGGTTTTCCAAACAATCAGGAAGCTGCTCTTATGCAATAGTGAATGGGAACCCCATTGGAAATGCAATTTCCAGCGTTATATAGGTGTTAACTCAGCAGAAAATGATAAATGAGGATTTATTTATACTCATTCAAAAACACATACAGGGCAAGTTCTGTTGTCCAAATAGGTCTTTTGACATCAGCTTCTTCACGTTCTTCTAAACATTCAAGTTGCAGTAATCCAGGTGAATCGTCTGAGACTTAACTAAAGAATTTTCTAAGTGTATGAATGCATATTCAGGGGAGAAGGAATTAGTTTTATCAGGCTGCCATGCAGATATGTAATTTTTAAAAATCTAGCTTTATATAAGCATATAAATAAGCATACACATACAGTAGATGAAACAATTAAAACCAAGATTTTACAGCTGTTTAAATTGTATTTAGACACATGGTGGGGCTTGAGAGTTACTGAAATGAATCTATGACTGCAGGAGCCAAGTCCTGTGGGGACCGAGGTAGGCAGTGATTATTTTTCCCAGTGCTTTTTTTCCCCAGAGATCCACCAGAACTGAACCAGTGGGTCATTATTTTGTACGTTATTCAGTTCTAAACTTCTGCATCATTGTTTCACAAAGTGTGATTCATGAACTGTCAGATTTAGGAGCTGTTTTAAAAAATAGTTTCTCAGCCTGCGCTGGGAACCCATAGCTAACTTGGAGAGACCTTGTAATCTGCATTTATAAGTGCCTGTCTGTGGTGATTCTTATTTTTATTCAGTGAAGTCTGCTATCCAGTGTTTTCAGTTGCTGTTTGGTGAAGGCGGAGTCATGTAGGTTGAAGGAAATTGGAATCACGTTGGAAGTCACGGAGTCAGCCTGCCATCATTACTATTCTCCTTTAAAGCTATTTTCAGTTTTCCATGTAGCAAGTCACATCACCTGCTACCTGTAGAACTTACTTATGCTCTTACTGTTTTGGCAACGAGTGATTAGCTCTCTCTGGAAGTGAGAGGAACAACAGTGTGTTAGAAACAAATGTAGTGATTGGAGAATAACTATAATGCCCAGGTTAGAGGTTACCTTGAAATATATAGAAGATTTCATAAGCAATTTTTATTCATTTACTCCAGTCTGTTCATTTATTGTTTGAGCACATATGAGCAAAGGTTTGGGAAAACTGGCCTCATACAAATATTTTGTATTTCATAAAAATATAAAATATATGGCCGAGTGCAGTGGCTCACACCTATAACCCCAGCCCTCAGGGAGGCCAAGGCAGGTGGCTCACCTGAGGTCAGGAATTTGAGACCAGCCTGGCCAACATGGCGAAACCCTGTCTTTACTACAAAAATTAGCCAGGCGTGCTCCTGTAGTCATAGCTACACAGGAGGCTATGAGAATTAGAATGAGGCTATGAGGCATGAGAATCGCTTGAACGCGGGAGGCAGAGGTTGCAGTGAGCCAAGATCATGCCACTGCATTCCAGCCTGGGTGACAGAGTGAGACTCTGTCTCAAAGTAAATAAATAAAAATAAAAATACATAAAGTATATAAATCTAAAACTGGTCTTGATGAAGATACCTGGTAGTAAAGCCAGAACATTCCAGTTGGTTTGTGAGAACTCTGCTCCTTGGAAGGCATTTCCCTTTTCTCAGGGTGGCCAGGGAGCTCCCCCTTGCCCACACCGCCTTGTCCTCATCCTGCAGACTTGGCGTCAACATAATGCTGGAAACACTTACATCTCCAGGCTTCAGTGCAACTTCCTTCGCCTGACTTCCCTTCCCTCGGTCCGCGATCCACTCCTGGGACTGTAGATTCCATCAAGTCTTTACATCCAGTGCCCAGAGCTCCAACGGGGGTGTTCTTTTTTGTTTTTAAACCTGTTTCCTTCCATGCATAAATCTCATTGAGTTCCGTGGCTTTAGCTGTTTAAACAGAGTAGCCAGAATGATCTTTCACAGCCTCACAGTCGTCAGTGGTGTGACACCTTCCAGTGTCTCCCACTGAAAGGAGTGAAATGTGAATTTCTCACTGTGGCTCACAGTGCCCTGCAGTGCCTGTACCCCGGCCTTGAATCTTCGTTCTTCTTTATTCGCTCACCAGTACTAAGCCAGATAAGCTGCCTTTTTAGCCTATAAGCATGTGAAGCGCCTTCAGTCTAAGAGCTCTGGCGCTGGCCCTGCCACCCACCCAGGCTGCTCTTCCCAAAGGCCTCCCGTAGAACATTCAGGAAAGGCCACTCTGAGGAAGGACGTCTGAGTCTAGAGTGGGCTTTGTTGAACAGCCACACCAGAACAGCTTCCACCATACATGCAGGCACTACATTACCATTTCTTTCTTTTTTTTTTTTTTTTTTGAGACAGAGTCTTGCTCTGTTGCCCAGGCTGGAGTGCAATCTTGGCTCACTGCAACCTCCACTTCCTGGGTTCAAGGGATTCTTCTGCCTCCTCCTCCTGAGTAGCTGGGATTACAGGCACCTGCCACCACGCTTGGCTGATTTTTGTATTTTTAGTAGAGACGGGGTTTCACCATGTTGGCAAGGCTGGTCTCGAACTCCTAACCTCAAATGATCTACCCGCCTCAGCCTCCCAAAGTGCTGGGATTATAGGCTTGAGCCACCACACCTGGCCCATTTCTGACCTTTTTATCGGGAGTTATTGTTTGGTTTATATGTTTATCAATTATCCCTCTCCACAATATTCCCTGAGGGCAAGGCTTGTTGTGCCAGAATGGTGCCTGGTACATAGAAGATGCAAAATGTCTATTGTTTGACATGTGAACAGATTATAATAATATTATTTTAGAGACAGGGTCTTGGTATGTCGCCCAGTCTGGAGTGCAGTGGTGCGATGATAGCTCACTGCAGCGTTGAACTCCTGGGCTCAGGGAATCCTCCACCCTCAGTCTCCCAAGGAGCTAGGACTACAAGTGCGCTCCATCACGCCCAGCTAACTTTTTAAATATTTTTATTTTTAGAGACAGAGTCTCGCTGTGTTGCCCAGGTTGGTCTTGAACTCCTGGGCTCAAGTCCTCCCGTCTGGTATCCCAAGTGGCTGGGATTATAGGCGTGAGCCACCATGCCCAGACTGTAATATTAGATTGTGGGTCCCAAGTGCTACTCAGTGGTAGACAGGACTGTGTTTACAGCTTAGAGGTGAAAGAAGCATGGCTGAGTGGGGATTAGAGGGATGAAGACATATTTAAGAACCTTCTTTTCCTAGGTTGGTGGAAGTGCTAAAGAACATTTCCAAAGGAGAGAGAAATCTTAGCTTTTCATTTTGGATTTAGTTGATCAGAGACGCTCTTGGTTGTCTCATTTTCACTGACCATCTCTACTAAAGCTCTGTGAGAAATAAATTAGAATTATAGATGATAATGTCAAGAAAACTTTTTCTTACTTGGGTCACACTTCAGGGTACAACAAGTGAAGCATACTTTAAATATGCTTTGAATATGCTTTATGCTTTCACTTGTTGTACTCTGAAGTGTGTTTCTTCTCTGAAAAAGGGCATTTTTAGTGCCTGTGGAATTGCAAATAACAGGAAGAAGAAAAATGCTGTATTGGCTAGACTCCTTTAGTGTTCCTCATTTTTTTAAAATAGTAATCTTTGTTATAATGGAGTTCCATGCACTTGAAAATCAGATTTGTGATTTTCACAATTTTCACAAACTTCACTAGAATGTGAAGTTTGGACTTCTAAAACAATCTCTACTCCCCCTCCTGGGGGTTCTACAGGAACAAGATAATCAACCAGTCTTTGCCTCAGAGTTTGTTCTTACCAGGAAGTAAAGGGAGTGGGGAGGATTGTATATGTGAGCCACCCTGCCCAGCAAGACCCTATTTTTAAGGTGTTTAGATTAGCAGATATTCTTTAAGTAAGCATCTTTAATCCTTCATGGGCACTTGAAAAAAGAATAACCATCATTTTGGATGAAGTGAGTATTACAGCCTTTAAAATATATAATTTTTTTTTTTAAGATGGAGTCTCCCTCTGTCGCCCAGGCTGGAGTACAGTGGTGCGATCTCAGCTCACTGCAACCTCTGCTTCTCAGGTTCAAGTGATTCTCCTGCCTCAGCTTCCCGAGTAGCTGGGATTACAGGCGCCCGCCACCATGCCCCGCAAATTTTTGTATTTTTAGTACAGACAGAGTTTCACCATGTTGGCCAGGATGGTCTCGATCTCTTGATGTCGTGATCCGCCTGCGTCAGCCTCCCAAAGTGCTGGGATTACAGGCGTGAACCACTGCGCCCAGCCAAAATATATATGTATAATCTTCTTATATACATATTTGAATAAGTTTACTATTATGTAGAAGTTTTTTTTTTTAATTTATTTTTTGTGACAAGGTCTCGCTCTGTTGCCCAGGCTGGAGTGCAGTGGCGTGATGATAGCTCTCTTAGAATTTTTGTTCTCTCAGACCTCCCCCATCTTAACAGCTCTAGATGAGTCTCCCACATCTCATCTGGGAAACGCTTCGTCATTCTACAGTTGTCTCGCCAGGGTGCTTCCTAAAGTGAGGAGTCCAGAAATGAGAAGAGTTCCCCCTGGGCTTGCAAATGCTGGCAGTGTTTCCTTTCTCGTCTAAATGGTGGCCTCTACCGACGCAGCGTGGAACTGCGCTTGGGTGGGCTTGCTTTTGAAAGGTGTTAGCTCATTGTGCTGTTGGTCAGGTAACATCACCAGGTTTTTTGTCTGTTGATACTCTTGTCACTGTACTACTTCTCTTTTATTATGTGGTCTAATTGATGTGTGAAAATAATGAGGAACTTCAGATTCATTCCTAGAATTTTTTATCTTTGATGTTGTTTTAACATTCCCAGGATATCAAGATCTTTCTGAGTAATTTTTTAAATAATGCATACATTCTGGCTGTCCACACACTTCTAAAGCTGTAATCTCTCTGCGTTTGAGACTATTGAAATATTGAACATAATAAGGCCTAAGGCAGGGCTCTGTACCTGGAAGTAGACATCACTTGTCAAGCCGCAGAGTGACAGACCAACACATTTCATTTCCAGGTAGCAGGTAACTACCTTCTCCACTCCACACTTCTCCCTCTTTCTACCAAAGAGTTTGTGGGAGACTGTGTTATATACATTATGGAAATAAAGTCGCCCTGCAGCCAGGGCCATCCTCTGTGTCACCAATCAAGTAAGCCTGAAGCAGAGTGGATGTTGATGACGGTGGCTGGACTGCCCTGCGCACACACTGGCGTGGCTACGGCTCTGCGTGAGGCATCCAGTGCTGGACTTAGCAGCACCTTAAAGAAATACACAAGTACCCGGAACTTTCCTCTCTGTTTTGAGTCTTGTGCTTTATTTTTATTTACTAGTGCCTGTTAGTGCACCAATTTCAATAGTCTTTGACCATTAAATGATTGTAAAATAAGCAGTATCAGATATTTAAATGTTTAGATAACATCAAGATAAAGTCCAGAAAAATACAGGCCCATTCATATGCCTAAAAGGAATCTGGATCAATAGTACAATATAGGAAGGGGGAAATAGTGATACTAATATGGCTTAAAGACTTAGATAGTCAACATCGCTTAAGGGTTATAATGTGAAACAGCACAAAAACAAAACACCCCGAATGGTTTGGGGATCGACATGGAAACCAAGCAAGTCATGTTTAATAACACACTTCCTGAAACCGTTTGTCTCCCATTTCCCACCTGTCATGAAAGAGACAAACTGCTTTTTTATTTTATTTTATTATTTGAGACCAGGTCTTGCTTATCACTCAGGCTGGAGTGCAGTGGTGCAATGATCGCTTACTGCCGCCTTGAACTCCTTGGCTCAGGTGATCCTCTAACCTCAGCCTCCCAAGTAGCTGGGACTAAAGGTATGTGAGATGATGCCTGGTTGAGACAGGTCTCAAACTCCTGGCCTCAAGTAATCCTCCGGCTTAGTCACCCACATATGTTTTTATTCCAGTTTAGCTTGGAGACTTAAAACTTCTCTGAACAGTTGTAATAATGCAGAAACTCACACTATCCTATCTAAACAAAACCCCAGCCCCCACCCTGGGCTCTCTTTGATATTATTAGATGACACTTAGATTACTGTACTTGGTTCTGGATTTATTACTACTAGAAATGCAGTGACCAGTTGGAATTGTTTCAGAGAATAACATCAAAAATGATTTATGAGGAAGGATTAAAGGAGTTATTTATGGCTTCACCAAACAATGACTAAGAGAGCTGACTATATAAGCATTCAAGGGATACCAGCACCAAGGAGGGGAAGGATTGTTAGGGATGGTTTTGCTAAAGCAGTGGAGGGTCCTAGGGCCATAGAAATGAAATTAACAGAGAGAATGGTGACAGCTGACAGTGGGAAAATGGTTTATAGATAGCAAGGTACTCTTTTTTTTTTTTTTTTTTTTTTTGTTACGGGCTCTTGTTCTGTCACCCAGGCTGGAGTGCAATGGTGCTATCACAGCACACTGTGGCCTCAACCTCTTGGGCTCAAGGGATCCTCCCATCCCAGCCTGGCTCCCTTTAAAAAAAAAAAAAAAAAAAAAAAAAAAAAAGAAGAGTATTTCTGTTACTTAAAAACAGGAAGTTAGACTGGGTGCTGTGGCTCACACCTTTATCTCAGCACTTTGGGAGGCCAAGGCAGGCAGATCACTTGAGCTCAGGAGTTCGAGACCAGCCTGGGCAACATAACAAGACCCCTGTCTCTACTAAAAATTAAAAAAAAAAATATGTGGGTGTGGTGACACACACCTGTCTCAAAAATAAAATAAAAACAGAAAGTTTATGAGGATATAAAATAATCCAGGTAAGGACTGAGGAATAGAATGGGTCCTGTTTTTACCAGTCATTCCTTATATTTTGTTATGTTAAGTGGAAAAGAGGTACACAAGTTGTGTAGTGAAGGAATGATTATTATCAAAAAATACTTTTCATTAGAGTGTCCTTCACATTTTCAGACAAGAATGTTCAGTTCCCTCCCTCATGCAAAGATACACAGACCCATAACTGCAGAGAAGCTTTAATGAAAACCTGGATGCTTATTAACCTGTTCTTTGGAATCAGCAGGTTCTCAGGTGAAGATGTTATTATTTTCTTGTTACTTTTTCTTAATATTGTTTATCAAATGGAAACGGAAAGGTTCCTGGATCTTTTTTTGTAAGACAAAAGTCAATAGTTTATTCAGAAAGTTTAAAAACAAAGATATTCGTATAATTTACAAGATCTTTTGGTTTGAACATATTCATAAGGACTTATGTTTCTCATTTTTATGGAGATTTGTTTTTGTTTGTAGTCAATTTCTGTCTGAGTTCCAGAAATGCAAAAATACTGCACTGAAAGAGGTGGCAGCTGACAAAATTGCTGTCTTTGACCTTCTGATGCAAGTTTAGTAACTAATCTGGAAAATAATGAACTGCAATTAATGAAATCTGTACTCATATTCAAGTGTGTTTCTCAGACAGCACATAAAATAATTGAAGGAACTTCCTGCTCTCTAATTAGTTAGATTGAATTAATTTGGCATAATAGCTTTTTTTCATGTATCTAGAAGTTTGTGTTCAGATGAAGCTATTTATGTACTTCAAAGTTAGGAACTGTAAATGGCGTCTTTGATGAATCTGGAGAATTAAAGGGTTAATGGTCAGATTTAATTTCCACTATCAAAAGCACAGTCACAATGCCGGCCTGTCTTGATTTATGTGTCTGTCCCTTTTGGTTAGGGCTGCCTTATCAACAGCAGGGATATTTTTCTCCTATTTCAACATAGCCTCACGTGTGGTAGGTAGATAAAGGCTTGTGTAGAAAGAGCACCCCTCTGCCCATCTCTGATGCTAATTGAAAAGGTGTCTGTATAATTATCCATCTTCCATTACTGTGATTCTTCCTTATATAAAACAGGGAGAAACAAGCACAAATACTAATTCTTGCCTTGTACACAAGGATGATGTTTTGAGCTAACATACTTCTTTGATTAAATGAATTATATAAACACGTATCCTTGTGTCTCAAGTAAAGGTTCAACATCCTAACTAAAAGAAGAAAACACGGTCGGGTGCGGTGGCTCACGCTTGTAATCCCAGCACTTTGGGAGGCCGAGGTGGGCGGATCATGACGTCAGGAGTTTGAGACCAGCCTGGCCATCGCAGTGAAACCCCATCTCTACTGAAAGAAATACAAAAATTAGCTGGGCGTGGTGGTGGGCGCCTGTAATCCCAGCCACTGGGGAGGGTGAGGCAGGGGAATCGCTTGAACCCTGGAGGCGGAGGTTGCAGTGAGCCGAGATTGAACCACCACACTCCAGCCTGGGTGACAGAGCGCAACTCCGTCTTAAAAAACAAACAAACAAAAAACACATCTAGGCCTTGTTCCCAGCCTTCATTTTTCTTAAACTTTCAGGTTATTTAAAAAATAACATATATGAGCATTTTCTCTGTAGTTTAATACCACCCATCTTAAACAGCTATAGATATAGTGTGCTGTATTTCACTTGTTCTGGAGTTAACAAAGAGTTTTTAAAAAAAAATTCAGGGCAACTGATTTCTGTTCAGTTTAGGGAGGAGTTTTTAGGCACTCCTGTCATTGTTAAAAGACTCTTATCACTCTTTTAGTTTTCCAGAATCACAGCATTTTGCTGTCTAGCCTTGCCCCATAAATTTGTAGGTAATATAGTGGACATACTTAGAGATGTCAGAGTTGTCTTCACAATCAGGTTTAGTAGCTGATCTGAAAAATAATGAAATGTAACTAAAATTCCCTTCAGCAAGTAAGAGGATTTCTGAGGCAGTAAAGAAGTCGATTGAAGAGGTGCATCTGCTAGCAATTTTTTAGGAATGGGGTTCATTTTATTCTCTAGACCGAGTGTTGCCATACTTTATTTTATAAAGGAACAGATTGTAAATATTTTAGGATTTGCATGCCATGTGGTCTCTGTCAAAACTAGCTATAGACAGTATTAAACAAATGAGTCTGGCTGTGTTCCAGTAAAACTTGATAACCTGAAATTTGAATTTTACATAATTTTTATGTTATGAAATATTCTTTTGATTTGTTTCAGTCATTAAGAATGTAAAAGCCATTTCTTATTTCTTAGCGCATATTAAGCTGGCGACAAGCTGGATGAAGGCTTTTTTTTTTAGACAGGGTCTTGCTCTGTTGCCCAGGCTGGAGTGCAGTGGTGTGATCATGGCTCATTGCAGCTTTGACCTCCTGGGCTCAAGTGATTCTCCCATCTCAGCCTCCCAAGTAGCTGAGACTACAGGTGTACACCGCCATGGCTGGCTAATTTTTAAATTTTGATCTTGTAGAGACGGGGTCTCCCTATGTCACACCGGCTGGTCTTGAATTGCTGTGCTCAAGCAATCCTCCTGCCTCAGCCTCCGGAAGTGCTGGGATTATGTGTGTGAACCACTCTGCCCAACAAGACCCTATTTTTAAAGTTTTCAGATTAGCAAACATTCTTTAAGCATCCTTAATCCTTCATGGACACTTGAAAAACTAGTAACTCTTTTTGGATGAAGTGAGCATTCTATCTTTTAAAATATATGTGTAGAATTTTCTTATATGAACGCTTAAATCAGTTTTAAGTATTATGTAGAAGTTTTATTTTTTTTTAATTTATTTTTTCTGACAAGGTCTTGCTCTGTTGCCCAGGCTGGAGTGCAGTGATGTGATCATAGCTCACTGCAGCTTCGAACTCCTGGGCGCAAGTCCTCCTGTCTCAGCCTCTCGAGTAGCTGGGACCACAGGAGTGTGCTACCATGCCTGGCTAATTAAAAACTTTTTTTTTGTAAAAATGAGGCCTTGGTATGTTGCCCAGGCTGTTATGTGGAAGTTTGTAAAGTAAACTGGCTAGATACTAAAAATCAGAAGCGATATCTTTTCCAGTAACTCTGGAAATACTAGTATTTAAGATTTTATTTATATAGTACTTAGAATAAGTTAGACTATAATACATATCTAATGTCTTATAGACCATGTGAATGGTGTCATTCACTTATAGGCAGTGATAAAATAATTTACTTGTTGATAGGAAAAATAGGCCTTTTAATTGTTTTGTGTAACTGAAATTAAATAGGAATATAAATGTTAGACCTTGAGTGCCTAGTTTTGAGGAGCACAGGGACTAGTTTTGCTCACACTGCACCCCCAGTGCCTACCACAGTCTTTAGAATGTAGTAGGTACCTGGTACATATTTGCGAATGAGTAAATAAATGAAATCTTAGGTTCTTTGTTTGAAAGAAAGTGGAATTCATCTTGGAATGACTTTGGGACTGATTCAGTTAATTTGAAACTTGTGATTTCTAGATCAGATGAAATTATTGACTGTTTAAACATGTACTTTTAGTAAGCCAACTTAGAAATATCCAGGAAGACCAGACACAAAATTCCAATGAAGTACTTTACAAATGTGTCGAGAGCTTCCAGCATACCTGGCACCACACCAGGAATTTTAATGTGCCATCTCAACAACACGACTGAGTTAGACAAGCACCATGCAATAGATACATAATGCGAGCCATGTATGCAAGTTACAATTTCCTAGTAGCCACGTTTAAGGAAGTAAAAAGAATACAGGTCAGATTAATTTTAATAACATTTGTTTAACCTAGTGTATTGAAAATACTGTCATATCAACTGTAGTATAAAAAAAGGTTGAGATATTCCCATCCTTCTTTCTGTACAAAGTCCTTGAAATCAGGTGTGTATTTTACATTTCTAGCACATTGCAATTCAGACACTAAAGTTCCGTCGGAAATACTTGATCTGCATTTAGAATTCATAAAATTTATGGTTGAAAAAGCAGACCCACATGCCGAGGCTGTTCTAAACATACTTAAAAGCATTTCAGTGTTTAAGGTTATGCTTTATTAATTAAAATAAAAAATGGACTTTCTGAGTCACATTAGCCTCATTCTCAGTGCTGGGTCACCACCAGTGGCTGGTGGCTGCCATGTCAGGGCTGCTGCCCTGTTGGGGAAATGGGGAGGGTGCACACCTGTCTCAGGTTACAGAGCCTCAGGAGTGGCAGAACTGAGCTTTCCGTTGAGAAAGCACGGTTAAATGCTCACGTGTGACTGTAAGAGATTTCACTGACAGTGATTAAGAGTAACCAAGTCATTGTATTTGTGGAATGAATCAATCAGTAGAGCGTTTGCAGGAGGGACGGATCGAGCCGCAGAAATACACCATGCAGGACCTGCCAGCGTTTCCCTGTCTGCTGCAGTGGGAAACCCTGGCAGCTGCAAGGTGGCGAGCGACATGGGACATGGTCACTTTTGTTTTTCGGAAAGCTCCCTCCAGCTGTAGTTTGGAAAGTGGATTTGAAGAGAATGGAGTTAGAAGACGCTATTCGAGTGCGGGTAGAATCCTCAGCAGGGATTATCATGTGGGTCAGAAACCCATGGTTGCCTTCTGGTGTTGAGTCCTTCGAGGCACTGCTTGGAGGGGCATGTGGCAGGCAGGGGCACAGTGGCTCGGGCGGGGGTCGGCAGCCACCAGTCCGCTTCCCTGGTGACACCGCTTAGAGAACTCATGTAGATGGGATCATCCCCTTGCAGATAGGTGTGGAAGCCCAGAGGTGATCAGGTTTTTACACAAAAGTTAGAATGCCAAGCCATGCATTTAAAATAACTATACCTGCCAGATGGACAAAAGTGCTGGTGCCGTTATGGCTCACATATTCTATCCACATCACCCTGTCAGGGTCTGGAGCCTCCAGGCGCACAGGGTGGTCACTGAAGGCCTCACATGCCGGAGGCTGGTTCACAGGCTTCAGGCCAGGGCTGGACACGTTCTCCCCGCCCGCCTCCCGGAACTCTTCGTTTTCCTCTCTTCCAGGCCCCTGGTCAGGACAACCTTAGAAAAGTGTTTCTATTGATTAGATTATTGCTGAGGCTTAATGTTTGGGTTGGTTTTTTTTTTTTTTTTTTTTTTGAGACTGGGTCTCACTCTGTCACCCAGGGTGAGTGAGTGGCATGATCATGGCTTACTGCAGCCTCGACCTTCTGGGCTCAAGCAATTCTCAGCTCCCAAGTAGTTCGGACTATAGGTGTGCACCACCACGCCCAGCTAATTTAATCTTTGTAGAGATGGAGTTTTTCCATGTTTTCCAGGCTGGTCTCGAACTCCTAGGCTCAAGTGATCTTCCTGCCTCAGCCTCCCAAAGTGGTGGGATTGCAGGTGCGAGAGCCACTGCACAATGTGTCTGATTTGTATCCATTGTATGTTACTTTTATCAGAACATTTTTGGAGGTTAGCAGGTGTTTCCTTATATGCCTTAGCTCTGCTTCCTTTTGTTTCTCAGGTTTTTCACGCTTCAGCAGCAGGAAAATGAAAGATTGGCTACTAACTATTTGTAACAAAAATAAATCTTACATATCTTGTATATTCCACTAAAAAGTAATTTTCTATACTTGGATTTAAATCATTGGTTAGTGTTTAAAACAAGACTTAGAGGATTGTATTAGTTTAAGCACCATTAAAAAATGACATTTAAGAATTTCTGAAATTCAGGGTAAGGGGTGATTGTTAGCCATGAAAGATTTATTTTCAAACAATAAAAAATATGCATCAGAAAATTCAATGTTAGGGAAGTTCTGAAGTGATTATTTTTTTGTTTCAACTGGGACCTCTTTTCCCCTTTACCTCCCCGATGCCCACATTTCAGAGTCTGTTCTTTCCCACATTCCTATGTAACTGTACAATTTAGTCTTCTTTATGTCACTTGCTAAGTAATGTATGCATTTGTTCATTCAACAAACACTGAGCTACTGTTTTATGTAAGGAAATACAGGGATGAATGAGCTGTAGTCTGTCTCCTTCCAAGAGCCTGAAGTTTAGAGAAGCCTGTTTAGAGCCACAAAAGCAGATGAAGAGACAGTGCAGGGTGATGTAGATACCGTCATGTGTGAGTGTCTGCGGATGACACAGCGAAGCCGGTGGGCGCTGCTCCCTGCAGTTGCAGGAGAATTCGATCATGCATGAGCAGAGACTTAGAAATGAATCGGTATTCACTAGATGGAACACGATTCCACGGGGGCGGAGTGGCGTGAGGAAGGTTCTGGAAAAGCCATCCATTGAGGGAATTCTGAATGGAAAAGCCGTCCATTGAGGGAATTCTGAGTGGCCTAGTAGAGCAAGCAAAGCAAGGTGTGTCCCCTTGGAGATTGTATATGTCATGTCAAGGGGTTAATTTTATTCTTCTTGGCAGAGGGGTCTCCAAAACAGCTTTTATTCCAAGTTTTAAAATTCTGACCTCATCTCCCATGTGTTCATGTAGAATGTGAAAGCCAGAGTTAAAACACAGGGCAATATGATGAGAGCAGTGACTGGCACCTTTTCCCTGGAATATTTCTAAGCCGTTCTGTTGCCTGTAAGCTACTCATCTGTTCAGTTTCAGCAACGCTCAGTAGACAGGGTGATTGCAGGTTCAGCCAGCACTTGAGAACTTAGTCCTTTTCCATCTCTGTCACTCACTTACAGGGCAATGTGAATACATTTAACCATTAGGTAAACGCTCTCTGAGCCTCGGTTTCTGTAGTGTGAAATGTAGATAATTATACTCATATTCACTTGCCTCATGGGACTTCTCCTTAATATTTATAGCTGCAAAATACTTCACAGTCATTTTTATTAATAGTTACCAGATGTGTTGTAAGGATTAATGAACTTATGATCTGAAATGTTTTGAGCCCCTGAAATAGGAGGTGACTGCCTGCACAGGGGAGATGTAGAAGAGCATAAAGGTGCAAACAGACACACTTGAAAACTTCAGCTATTACGTGTGAAGGATGAGCACACGGTTATGATTTCAGTATTCTTGGTGGATGTATTTGGCATCCTTAAAAAGGTTGCTGAACTCATACCCAAGGCCTGTGCCAAAAGCCCCCTTCATGTGGCGTTCACACCCGTTCTATTTATGACCCTTTCCTCCTCTGAATCCTCTCTCTTTTTTTTTTTTTTTGAGATGGAGTTTTGCTATTGTTGGCCAGGCTGGAGTGATGCAATGGCACTATCTTGGCTCACTGCAACCTCCACCTCCCAGGTTCAAGCAATTCTCCTGCCTCAGCCTCCCGAGTAGCTGGGATTACAGGCATCTGCCACCATGCCCTGCTAATTTTTTTTTTTTTTTTTTGGATTTTAGTAGAGACACGGTTTCACCATGTTGGCCAGGCTGGTCCCAAACTCCTGACCTCAGGTGATCCTCCTGCTGCGGCCTCCCAAACTGCTGGGATTATAGGCGTGAACCACCGTGCCTGGCCTCCTCTCTGCTTTTGAAGCTTCCACTCCACTGTCACCTTCCTTGATTTTAGTGATTTGCTTATGTGTTCCCCACCAATCAGGTTGCCCATCTGTTGAGAGCAAAGCCCATGCCTCTGATGCTGATGTTGCCTGAGGCACCTGGTGCCACGCCCCCCGCATGGTAGGACCTGGTGCAGTCTCTGTTGAGCTGAACTTTTTTACATGGAGAGTGAGAACCAAAGTGGCAGTCAGTCGAGTCCCTGAATCCATTTCAGCAAATATTTAATAAGCATCTATCTACTGGGTTTTTCTAATCACACTGGGTCCTGAAGGAAAGTGTAACTTGTTTGCATGTTCTATTTCAGAGGGCAGGAATCATGTGATTTTAGAAAAGGTTTCATGTTAGGCGCTTAACATCCCATCCTTGGGGTATTTGCATTTTTAGGCTTTAAGGGGAATAAACTTCACCTTTGTGGAAACAGTTGTTCCCCAATCTTGTCCACTTTAGGTAAGATGTAGTGAAGAATGCAAGTATTTTGGAGTTTGAGAAATGTTTTTTCTGCTTTTGTCATGAAATATACCCTTGAACACCTTCCCATTTGTGGGGACGTTAAATACTATAGGCAGAAAAATGAAGATACGAGCCCTGGCATGCGAGGACTGCGTGGCAGTGTGGGACGCGTGCTTGAGCCTCACTTTCTTCTCTGGGAGATGGCGGTAGGCGGGGCCGTGGAGAGCAGTAGTGGGACAGAAGGAGCTGAGTGCTGGGAGGGGCGCAGAGGGGAGACTGTTCTGGTCAAGGAATTGAGGTGGAGGCTGAAGGTCTTGTTCTTCAGGCCTTGTCATGTGCAATGGCCTAACTGCCACCAGGGGACCCTCCCTCATTCTGTCCCATTGGCTGCTCACATAATCTTTAATGCACCCTGGTCCTAGCTGTCCTGGGCCTCAGACCACCCCAGGAACTCCCTAGTGGTTGCAGTGTAAAGTACACATTCCTTTTGTTCATTTCCTTGGTCCTTCCACCTTATTTTCTTTTTTTCTTCTTTGACACAGGGTCTTGCTTTGTTGCCCAGGGTGGAGTGTGGTGGTGTGATCATAGCTCACTGCAGCCTCCAACTCCTGGGCTTAAGTGATTCTCCTGCCTCAGCCTCCTGAGGAGCTGGGACTGCAGGTGTGCACCACCACATCTGGCTCCAGTCCTTCCAGGTCTTTAAGCCTGATCGCTGCGTTTCCTCTCGAGTCCTCTCCACTGCACCTTTTCTCAAATCCTGCCAGTGCCCCCTTACCTTCTGTGGAATCAATTCCCTCTTATACTTTTCTTCCAAAAGCAGCCCCAAGGCACGAGTGGTCATAGTGGTGCCCTCAGGTGAAGCGAGGCTATTCCATGCTTGTAAACATGGTGAGCACCCTGCTGAGCGGGCTGGCTTCTTCGGGACTCTTCTCCCTACAGCTGGAGTCCAGGCTCCCCAGTAGGAAGGAAGGCCTGGGCGGTGTGGCTCGCGCCTGCAGGCTCTGTCTAGAAGGCCTGACTCCATCGAGGCCTCAAGTGCCCAGACGCACAAGAGCCAAAGCACCAGGACTGCCGAGGGCTGGGAGAAGGGAGGTGGGAGACGTGGAGTCCACATCTCTGGGCAGTTAAAGTTCAGTAACCGAGCAGCCACCAGCTGTGCCCTGTGGACCCAACAAGAAAGAAGCCCTACCCGCGGCTGTCCTGGCAGAATGGAGCCCTCATGAGAGCCCAGCATGGGAGGCCAGGCCTGGTTCCTGCAGTCGGGTAGGGGGAGGGGGAGGGGCAGAAGTGGCATGTTCCCAGCTTCTTCTGGGATGAGCACATCTGCTCGGCTGCTTCTGTGTCCCACAGCCACTCCGCAGCAACAGAATGATGCTCTGGTTCCTTCTCTCCCCGAGGCTTCCCTTTTCCTGGCTCTGATGATTCTTAACTCTGTCTCTTTAATGTTCCCTGGCCCATGTGTCCACAAGTAACCAGGCCCTTTCCTGTGGCTCTTACCTCCTCCCCCTGCTCTGTCACTGGAGTTGCATTACTGATCTGCCTCTTTGGACTTTAAATATTCTTCCGGTCATGTTGTGTCCCCACCCGGACAGTGTCTCTGGCCTTCAGCTGTCTTCTTGCTTTGCTCAGGACTCAGTGGGGACCCCCTTCCTCTCCTGAGTAGGGTTAGTTTCCGATGCCCAGGGCCTTCTGCAGACCTGTGCCTGCCATCTTGGGCTCTGGGTTTGTGCTCCAGCCAGCCTGGCCTCCTTCCTCCTCCCCTCCTGTGACTACACTCCTTCCTCTCCCCAGCCATCAGAGCCTGGCATGGCTTTCACCTCCTGCCGGAAGTCTTTCTGTATCTTTCCTGTCTCATAATGCTTGTCTGTACAGGCCCAGTCCTCGGTTCACATGTGCATATGTGATTGGAGGGAGGGAGAGAGCGTCGTGTGTGTAAGTGCACCATGTGTGTTGGTGATCTTGGCATGTGGCCTGTTTCCCTGGCTGGGGGAGGAGCCCCTTGCTGGGTCCCTTGTTCCTTGGAGGGTGTGGAGCCCCTCACACTCGCACACCTGATGGGCCGATTCCCCTCGGGCAGGTCCTGGCCCTCCAGCCTGTGCAGCGGAAACCTTTCTGCTACCCCTGTTCTGTCCTCTCGACCCCTGACCTGCACACTTGCCTCCTCAGCCCGTGCCCCGCATCATGGTGCAGTCAGCCAGCCCGGACATCAGGGTGACCAGGATGGAGGAGGTGAGTCTGTTGGGTCACGGGTGGCCACCCCACCTACAGCGAGCAGGTGGCCCTGATGCCGAAACTGTTGAGTCCACACCCACAGTTTTTGATGTTAGCATTCCTGTTTTGGTAATTAGTTATAATATAGGTCACTGCCTTCTCCCTCTCTATTTTCCTTGTTATACTTTTCTATTTTCAACTTGTTAATCATATGATTGCTAAACTTTTAGGTGCTTGACTGCTAATGTAGTCTGCTGCCTTAATAGCCCACAGCTAGGCAGAGGAGATTTCTATAAACAGAACAATCTCCTTCTTCTAAATGTTTGCTTAATTCTCAGTTTTACATTTCATTCTGATTCATGATATCAGCGTGAAAAGACGAATGCTAAGCTGTGGAGAAAATAGTCTCTTATAATCTCCCACAGATCAACAGCACTTCTAATCTTATGAATAGCAAATCTATTTTCTCCCACTGCGCTTTCATTCTCTTAGGAAATGCTGTATCTTCTTAGGAAAATTTTCTTTATTAAAACAACAGCAACAGAGGCACAATCATTAGAAAGAATATTCAGATCTCCGTGAATTTACTTCTATCTGAATGACCTTTTTACCCCAGTGCACACTGGGCATTCACGAATTTGCTGTGGCCGGGATCGGGGTGCCCCCTCCCCTGGGAATGGTGCCGGTCTCTTCTCTGAGGCAGGTTTGAGTGTCCCTGGTCAGCAGGATGGTCAGAGCAAGCCCCTTGCCAGTGAAGGCAGCAGCTTCTGTAGCTCATCATGGTGGTTTTCCAAGCTTGGGCTTTTGCAGAAGTCTCCAGAAATGTCTTCTTCAGTGGCAAGGGTATAATCCATAGATGGCATCTGGGTTTCAACTCACAAATCAACTCCAGTCAAGTGGGGATGGGGCCTGGAGTGCCAGTCTGTGCTTTCCACCATCCTGCTCCCTGCTTTGTTGACTCTGCAGCTCTGCCCCCAGTGCCTGCCTTTTCACTTAGTGCAGCCTTGGATGAGGGCTTTCCCCTCTGGAGGCCTGCTGTAGAATAATGCCATGATCCTTCCAGCCCAGCCCAAGCCAGTGTCTTACATGGAAGCCAATGGGATGATGATACTTGCAAATCTGAGGCATGCAGCTGGCCTCATCCTGGGAGAGCCTGGCCTGGGGAAGTGACAGTGGCTGGCCTTACCCGGGGTGGGGGCGGGGAACAGAAGCCATTTCAGGACCCTGGTTACCGTTCAGATTCCCGGCTCTCATAGTTTTGCGTATTCTCCCCTGTTGGGTCAGTGATATTAAAACTAAAATAGAAGAGAATAAATAAAACATGGACAATGTGCAAAGGAAGAATGATTGAAGGATTGCCTAATCTTTTAGAGTATTTATGCTGGTGACAGTTATTGATCTATTGGATTGAGTAAATTTTGCAGCCTAGAGATTCACCACAAAAATGGGCTGTTAATCTCAAGAGGTGCCATTAATTTCCTACCCTGAAAGTGTGGTTGGTGGGGAAAAGAGGGCCCCTGGAAACGGGAATATAAAGGACAGTTCCTGGGAAAACGCATGATTTATCAAGCTGCTGAGGTAAGCCAAGTAACTGTAAGAGACGTATAGATCTCAGCCGCTTCCCCATTCAAATAAATCCCGTATTTCAAATGGAAAATGACCATTCCTGTAATATAAATAATTTTTCCATAAATATCGGAAAACATATTTCTTCTGGATAGCAGTGCTCTCCACCCCACCAATCTCATTCCCTGTTCCTGCCTTCTCCTTTTCTTCGGTCACTGTGAATAGGAATAGAAAGATGATCTGGCAGCCTCTTCACATGGCTTCAGTTATAGATGAAAGAATGCCCCAGAAACAATAGGATTTGGGCAAGCGGTGGCTGCTCTCCCCCATGAGATGTGGGCTTTGAGTGTGTGTGTGTCCTCTGCCTGGGTGACTCAGACAGAGTGACCGACATGAGGAGAGCTGCTGGCCTCACTTGGTGGCTTCTCCCTGGGGGCTGCTTCCTGGCCTCTCTCCAGGGTCCGAGGCCCCCCCAGCCCCTGACATGGCACCTGCTTTCCATAGCAGCCAGAGCAGCAGCCTTGGAGAGAAAGGGCCACGGCCCACAGGGAGCCTTTGTCCCCTCCTCATCCCCCTCCTCGTCCCCCTCCTCGTCCCCCTCCTCGTCCCCCTCCTCGTCCCCCTCCTCGTCCCCCTCCTCATACCCCTCCTCGTACCCCTCCTCGTCCCCCTGCTGCCTTGCTCGGGATGCCCAGCCAGGCTGCAGGCCCGTGGCTCCTTGTTGGTGCCTGAGCTGGCCAGGCTGTGCTGAGTGTGTTCCGGTCCTCCGATGAGATCATTGTTTAGGTTTTGCCGGACAAAAAAGTGCTCTTCTGGTCTCTTTAGTGACTCAGTCTCTTCGTGAGGTTGGGGGTGGGCAGGGGCTTTGTCTCCATGGGAGGAAAGCTAACTAGCCCTAGCAGGGTTTTAGCGTGCACCTACTGTGTGCTGCCCTCTGTGGCGAGGGGCCTTGGTCTTTGTAGCGTGCTGGCCCTGCATGGCAGGCCCTGGATTCTATTTTGTATGAAAGGTAAAAAGTAGATGGGGCAGGGGCTGTGGCCATGGTCAGTGCTCTTGAGCCTGGGCACACAGCACAGGGCCTGCGGGGTGCACTGTCGGCCCCTCAACCTTTATCACTTTGGAAGCCAGGGCCATGCAGCCCTAAGTGGCAGAACCAGTGTGGGAACCAGGGCCTGGCCGGGTCCCAGCCATGTTCTTTATTTATTTATTTTGTCGAAACGGGGTCTCACTATGTTGCCCAGGCTGTTCTTGAACTCCTGGGCTCAAGCGATCTTCCGTCTTGCCCTCCATAAGCACTGGGGTTACAGGCTGAGCCACTGCCCCTGGCCTCATGCTCTTTTCCAAGTCAAAGCTGCCTGCTTGGTTCGTGTTGGAAAGTTTTCTGTTCTCAGCCCCTGCTTCCCCGTCCTGCTGCAGGCTCAGCCGGAGATGGGCC
Organism: Homo sapiens; assembly: GCF_000001405.40. Lineage (NCBI taxonomy): Eukaryota > Metazoa > Chordata > Mammalia > Primates > Hominidae > Homo > Homo sapiens. Next base: position 29,072,297 of record NC_000008.11, on the reverse strand, counting down.
CTGACGTGCTGGTGCAGACGATGGGGGCCCCGGCCTTGAAGATCTGCGACAAACCTGCCAAAGTGCCTTCCCCACCGCCTGTCATAGCTGTCACAGCGGTCACCCCGGCTCCGGAGGCACAGGACGGGCCCCCCAGCCCCCTGAGTGAAGCCTCTAGCGGGTACTTCTCCCACAGCGTCTCCACCGCGACCCTGTCGGACGCCCTGGGCCCCGGCCTGGACGCTGCGGCCCCGCCGGGGTCCATGCCCACCGCCCCTGAGGCCGAGCCCGAGGCGCCCATCAGCCACCCCCCACCGCCCACGGCCGTCCCCGCCGAGGAGCCCCCTGGCCCCCAGCAGCTCGTGAGCCCCGGTCGGGAGCGCCCCGACCTCGAGGCCCCGGCGCCCGGCTCCCCGTTCCGCGTCCGGAGGGTGCGGGCCTCGGAGTTGCGCTCCTTCTCGCGCATGCTGGCTGGGGACCCCGGCTGCTCCCCGGGGGCCGAGGGGAATGCGCCGGCCCCGGGCGCCGGGGGACAGGCCCTGGCCTCTGATTCCGAGGAAGCTGACGAGGTCCCGGAGTGGCTCCGAGAGGGCGAGTTCGTCACCGTGGGCGCCCACAAAACGGGCGTGGTGAGATACGTGGGGCCTGCCGACTTCCAAGAGGGCACGTGGGTCGGCGTGGAGCTCGACCTGCCCTCAGGTGGGTACCGGGCACTCCGGGCTCCAGGGTGGTGCCGGGGGTCTGGGGAAGCAGGAACGTGGCCGGCCTGGGAGGGGACAGGGTCCGGGCAGGAGAGGGAGGGGCCGGGAGGCAGCGGCTTGGCTGAAGCTGCGGGAGCGGCTGGGCCTGCAGGGGTGAGGCTGGGGGCAGGGCTAGTCCCTGGAGACGACATGGAAAATTCCTGATGATTTTGGCTACAAAGATCCTGTACCCATCCCCCCATCGCCATGGCTGTTCCCGCTTTTGTTCCGGTCTCCCCTGCCCTCTGCACTCCCTGGGCTCTGCTTTCTCATCCTTCACCTTAGAGCATCTCCCCTTTGCCGTTCCAGGAGGCTCTTCCTCACCCCATCCGGACACATCTCGCTGGCCTCTGACTCGCCCTCATTTGGCAGTTTTGCCAGTTTCCATTTCATAGATTCAGCAAAAGAACCATTCTCCCGCCACCCAGCCCAGGCCTGGGTCCAGATGGAGAAGGGTCTGTTCCCGCACGAGGCGGGCCGGTTGTGCCTTAGTGGCTGGCCTGCACCTATGCTTCCACAAGGCACTCCCCAGGGCCCCCAGGGCCTGTCACCTCCTACCTGAGGCTGCAGGACTGGGGCTGTGCATCCTTGGTCACCACTGCTCACTGTCCTGGGAGGCGGTCACCCCAGGCCCTGGCCACATTCATTTAGCCAGTCCCTGCCAGACAATGGCCAGTGTCCGAGTGCTGGCTGTGTAGGGCCTGTGCGGGGGGGTGGCAGTGTGGGCACATGGCCTCTGCAGAGGTAAGGGAGGTGCAGGGGGCCGTCTGCAGCTCGGCTGCCCTCCATATCACCCTCTCCTTCCCCCGCAGGTAAGAATGACGGTTCCATCGGCGGGAAGCAGTACTTCAGGTGTAACCCTGGCTACGGGCTGCTGGTCAGGCCCAGCCGGGTCCGCAGGGCCACGGGCCCTGTGCGGCGGCGCAGCACAGGACTCCGGCTGGGTGCCCCCGAGGCCCGCCGGAGCGCCACCCTCTCGGGCTCCGCCACCAACCTGGCCTCGCTGACAGCTGCCCTGGCCAAGGCCGACAGGAGCCACAAGAACCCTGAGAACCGGAAATCCTGGGCCAGCTGAGCCGCTGCCTTAGGGCGAACTTTTCTGGGGGTGCCCGGCCCCTTTTGAGCCCTGCCAGTGACAGCCCTGAGGAGCCAGGAGCCCGGTGGCCCCTTCCCCAGGGGCAGGGCGATGAATGCTTTTTGCACGACACAGGGCTGGTGACCTCCCTGGGCCTCTGGAAGCTTTGTTTCTTCTGTACCCGGGTAAAGTGGGGGCCTCAACTGTGCCTCCTCAGGTGGATGGAAGGTTCTGGGTGCCCGCAGGGGCTGGGGGATGCTAGGACTGAGACCCTGGGTGGTGCAGCGCCTGGTGATCTTGCTGTGTGCCTGTGCCTGGGGCCTTATGTTGCTCTTTCTATCATTTCCATTCTGGTGGCCCCACTAATGTCTTAACCTAAACCATAATTGTAACCAGTGCCTTTCCTCCCCACTGGAGGGCAAGCCCCCCCACCCACCCAGGATGTCCTGGCTCACTCCGCAAGCCCCCCAGCCTCCCACCCTGGTCCCAGTTTCCCGCAAAGTGCCTCTGGGGGACCCCCCAGCCTCCCACCCTGGTCCCAGGTTCCACAAGTGCCTCTGGAGGGCCCTGGGCTCTGGCAGATGGTCCTGGTGCCCCAGACGGGGGCCGAGGGCCTGAGCCCCCCCATCCCTCCTCTGCCAGGGTTTCTTAGCGGTTTCTCTGTGGATGTTTTGGCATCTTTAGACACCTGGAAAGTCTCTTATGTTTGCCGTTTATTCCCTTCACAGAAGGCTTGGAATGTATTTATTTATATTTATTTTTTCAAAATCCGAAATCATTTGCGAGCCGCAATCGTCGTCTGCCTGTGTGGGGGGGCCCAGGGCCTGCCTTGCACGTTGCAGCCTCTCTGGCCATTGCAGAGCTGCTGGCCTCCTGCCCAGGTGGAGGGTCCTGGGGACGGCAGAGGATAAAGCCCCCTCCTCACATCCCTCTATTGCGGATCCACAGTGGCCTTACTCTTAACTTGGATGAGAGCAAAAACCTGGGAGAATGATGTGCTTCTGTAGTCGGTGACAAAGGAAGAGGCATTGCTACTTTATTTGGTGCACTTTTGGTTTCTAGGAAGGTCTTTGGGTCATTTTAACTTCTCGGCAACTCCCAGACTCTCAGAGTGTGGGGCTGGGGCCTGGCGGCTGGGCTGGTGCAGGGAGTGTGCTGGTTAGTCTCCAGACCCTCACAGCAGCCACGCCCCCAGGCCCACCGTGCATGGTGTGGGCGGGACAGCCGGAAGCTTCCGGGGTGGCCTCCACCTCCTGGCTGGGGCACTTATGCTCCCAGAGCCTTTGGTGCCAGGTTTGTGGGATGGGGGTTAGCGTCTATGTGTGGAAGGCCACCAATCTAGGGACAGGAGTCCTGGGTCAAGATTCACACAGCCACCCTTGGAGCTGGTTTCTAGTTCTCACATTTAGTCAACATCTAGAAAGCGCTGCGGAAGGCTCTGGTTCTCTAGGGACTTGAAGGCGCCAACAGAGTAGTCTCCATGGTGGGCCTGTCCCAGCCCTGGCTGCGAGGACAGGTTGTCTTTCTCTCCCCAGTTGGCGAGGGACACGAAGGCTGCGGCCGGGCTGGCAGAGGGCCCGGCCCCTGGGGGGAGGCACTCCTCCAGGGCTCTCCCTGTCCTTAGCCGATTTTGAGGGAACCCTGTGGCACCTGTCCCTGGATGAAGAGCTGTCACCTCTGCCTTGCCCTTTAACTCAACCCGCTTCCCAGCACAGCGGCTTTCTTTTTAAAACCTGTTTCACTGAGAAGTTTGTTTTTGGGTCCGCTGGTGTCACTATGGCCTGGGTGAGAGGCCAGCACTGCTGCTGCCCTGAGGGGAAACGCCTGGGCCGTGTAGTGGGGACGCTCTGGGAATGGTGGCGGACGGGCAGCGTGGGTGGGACCTGGCACTTCGTGGTGGCTGAGCCATCCACCCAGCAGCGGCCTCCTGTAGCACCATCTTGGGAAAGTCCTGGGGGACGTGTGTGTCGTGCTTTTTACCATCGGTTTGACTTACAGTGGAGTAGAACGAGCCAGAGTTCCTGACTTGAGCAGGTGGATTTGGGCCCAGGCCCTGTTCACTCTTGCTTCTCGGTGCGGACTAATGTCAGCTTGTGGCTGGGAAAGAGGGATGTGCAGTGACGTGGTCACCAAGGCAGTGAGCCCCGCTGACCCCGGGCCAGCACTTGGCAGGCAGGAGGTGCGGTCTCCAGAGTGGTGGGCCAGGGCGGGCTGGCCTCCGTCTTCTATCTTCTTTTCTTGCCTCCCTGACCAGCAGACTCACCTCCCAAGAACGCCTGCCCGCCCACCCGCCTTAGGACTCCCGATGCGCTCCTGGAAGGCCCCAGGAGTGGCACCTTAGTGTGGGTCGGCCCGCAGATGGCACCCAAGGCCGGGAAGGGCAGTAACTGCACACGCGGCGCTGTCAGAGATGGGGGTGGGGGATGCTTCTGGGGGCCCTGCCTCCCCATTGTGTGCCCAGAACATCCCTGGCCCCACCCCGCCACTTCCCTCGGGCCCTTATGAAGGACTGAGGCTCCAGGGTGAGAAGGCTCACTTCTGCCCCGGGCACTGCGTCCAGCAGCAGAGGGGACAGGGGGCAGGTGTGTGACTGGGTTCCTGGGTACCCAGGCCTGACCAGAGGGAGCGGGAGGGCAGAGGTGAGGAGGGGGAAGATGTTTCTGGGCCTACCAAGGTTCAACAAGAGAACGGAGCTGGGAATGTGACTGCTGGAGCCTGAGAGGTGGAGGAGTTCTGATCCCCCGTTACTTCCTAGCATTTTCTCCTCTTGCCTTAAAAGTTCCCTGTATGTGAAACGGGAAGTCCTGAGAGTGTGTGTTGGTGGCTGTGCGCACGCACACAAGACGGGAGTCACCCTGTGCTTCCTGCCCAAGATACTGACCCATTGAACCCCCAAAGCATCTTTCTCTCCACAAAGTCCGTGGTGCCTTCCTGGTGGGCTGCAGACACTAATGGTGTTGGGGGGTCTTGGAACAGCTTCTCTATGTGTGGATTCGTGTAAATGCGAAGAGTTCACATATAAAGAAGTGACTTTGATTCTGTGATTATATTGATTTGGTACACAGTAAATGGGAGTTTAAAAAATCCAAAGACTCTAATGACTTGTAAAGACTCTAATGATTTGTATCATGTAATGAACTAAACCACCTGTAATTTTGTACCGTATGTGTCTTTCCATCAAATGACCAACAGCTTCTCAATAAAACCAGACCATTTCTCACCTGCATCATGTCTGAGGCCAGTCTTGTTGCTTCTCCTTCCCCTCACCCCAACATAGGGTTTTGGGGCTCCTGGCAGGCCATCCTGTCATGGTGTGGCCTTGTTCTCAGCAAAGGTGGTGCGGGGCTTTTCCAGACTGAGACTGGGAGGAGGAGGATCAGGGAACAGCAGCAGGCCGTGCTCGCCTCCCCAGCCCATGGACTTCAGAGGCTGAACTCTTCATGATTTGGACTTAAGAGCCCAGGAGGCCCCCCGGTTCTGAGTCATCTTTCCTTGTTTGGACTTCAGCCCCTTACTGAAGCCAGGAACCATGGAAACTTTCTGGGGCCCTTCGACCCCAGGTAAGTGGTGCTACTGGGAGACAGGTGACCTGGTAGGGACTCTCCTTGGCTCTCAGGCATGACTCCACTGTCTGCTGTGACCTTCGTGTTGGTCCCCACACTGGACCTCCCCTCTCCCCTCAAACTGGGGTGAGAGGACTTCTTTCCCCTGCTGCAGAGGTGGGCAGCCTCTGGCGGGGGGAGGGGTTCTGTAACGAGGTGTTTTGGGAAGCTGGGGATCATGGTTGTGGGGCTGACATTGGTGTTGCCTGGCCCTGCTCTCTGATGAGGCCTGCATTCTGCAGCCACCCCGCCCAGCTGTGCCCAGCGTGGGCCTAGAATGGTACCGAGGATGCTGGGTCCAGCCTTCGAGCCCGGGAAGATGACTTGGCTTCCTTCCATTCGCCAGTAGATTCCCACTCAGCCACAAGGCCCCAGTCCAGTACCAGTGAGGGATGCCGGCAGCCAGTGCACATTCCCACAAGGACGCAGAGGTGCTTGTGGCCCCATGTAAAGCTTTTCTTGCTATGCCAGCGAATCAGTTGGCCCTTGGATATGAAATACACTTGCAAGTGGAGGGCTCAGCCACTCTGAGGGCTGACCAGAGCTGTCCATCAGCCAGCACAGCCGGGCAGGGCTGGTTTACATTCCTCAGTGCAGAAGAATGCTTGGAGACAAGCGCTGCCGAATAATGACAGGAATTTGGCAGCAGGAGATGCCCTGCTCTGAATGAGGCAGGACTCTGAACATAGTATTGATATAGCACCTCGAGTGGATCTTATTTTTCAAGCTACTACTATCTTGCAACTCAATGAGATGTCTTTTGCTTGCCCAAGGCTGTGTGGTTTTTTCAGCGTTGCCCAGACCCTGAAATGGGCTCTAATGGATGTCACACCCAGTTCATTCCTTCCACTCACTGTCAGTCACTTAACTAACATTCACATACCCTGTGCCTATCCTCATGGAGTGTACAGAAGCAAGCTGTCATGATGGGTGCCATGGTAGGGTGGCACTGATGCACCCAGGAGGGCCTGGGGGGTTGAGGGTGTTGGCCCTAGAGTGCTCTGAGGACACAGGGCAGTCGGGAGATGTCTGGGCTATGTGGTACACATGGAGAAGGGTTGGGTGGGCTGTGGGAAGGTTGGTTCACCAGCGCTTCTGCTTAAGCAGAAATAGCAATCTGGGGCGAAGAAAGGGGAACATGGGTGGGGATGTCCTCAGGGCTGGCCCCTACCCTCACACCCCAACCCCGAACCCCTCCCCGCCTCTACTTGGCAACTTCAACAGCGTTTGCGGCAGCTGAAAATTTTGCATAATCTTTTCTCGTGATGCATGTGAAGACACACCCTTTGTGTCTTAGGTTTCCTGAGAAGGGAGAGGGAGGCCGGGGCACCTTGTCCTCGAGTCCTGCTTAAGAATTTGATGCCAACAAATGGAAGCCTTTAGAGAAAACCAGTAATGAAAGCTTGGCTTTATTTACTGTGTTGTGTTTTTTATTTACTGCTGAAGGTGCGGCCCCAAGAGAGACAGAGCTCTTTTAAGAAAATGAGGCTCAGGGCGTGGCCTGGAATGGAAGAGAAAAGCTGCATGGGCTTCAGCTGCTCGGCGTAAGTCAGAGGCTGCACTCCCAGTGCGGGGAGAGCTCCTAGGATCCTGATGGTTTTAGGGGCGGCCAGATCTTTGTGATCGTGTAGCTTGAAGATGGTGGGGAGAAGGCAGGCCGGGTGGGCATGTGCCATATTGAGGGTGCAGTCTGGGGACTCCCGGAAGGCACAGCCTCTCCTGGTGTCATCTAGACATGTGCCAAACACAGGCTGGAGGGTCAGGGAGTGGGACGTATAGAGGGGCTTTCCTGGCTCGGTGTTGCCCTCTTACTCAGGTGGCATGCAGCAGTCCGCAGGAGACTTCTCCAGTCATTGTAAACGCACAAAGGGACCAGTGTTCAAAATGGAACACTTCTCTTTGTTTGGGTCGGTCACTTCCCAAATGATCACTTTGATCCAAAGAAATCCCAGTCAGTCTGTATTCAGTTATACATTTTATTCTCTAATAGGTACAATACTAAAATAAACACAAATTAAAAAAAAGTTTTATTAAAACAAAACTGTACAAAAAAGCAGTATACTACATTTTAATTACAGAACAGTCTACTGTCCAAAAGGCACTAATCCAGAATAGGAGATACAATGATACAGGACTCATTTGAACTATTTTATTCAAAACAATAGAGCGCTTGTTTCTTTGACCATTTACATCTAGAAACAAGGGCTTTTTGCTACAGCCATTACACATTGTTATAAATATGAGTCCTACGGGTGAAGGTGCAGTATCACTCTCCCTAGAGGAGGTTCCCATTAGTGGGACCACTGTGGAGCTCAGAGGCGGATGGCGCAGTGGGTGGGGCCTGGGACCTGCCACATGGTTGGCCCGTCAGCCCCTGGACACCCGGAGCTTGTCTTTCAGCCTGGCCTCTGGTGGTTGGTTTCTGGCCATTACTGGCAGCCACTTTCACCCCCTCTTGTGTTTTAGCACCGGCAAAGTGGGTTCTGAGAAGCTCCAGGTAACTGGGGCTGGAGGTGTGGGGGATGAAGCGTCAGCAGCGGGGAGGCATTGTGGTAACCTGATCTGAAGAAAGGCAGCAACTACTCGGAAGAGGGAGACGAAGCCCAGGGACAGCCAATGAGCTGGGCTCTACAGCCAGGCAGAGCCACCTGCTGCTTTCTGGGCAAACTTCTGGCCCCAGAATATGAGGGTCTGTTCCAAAGTTCAGAGAGATCCTGTGTCCCTTCCTGGTGACCCAGAAGTGACATCGGATCATCTTTTGTCTTGGAAGCTGATTTTTACAAGTGGAATTTTGCTTCCCAGAGGGAAGTCAACATACAGTGACCAGCCTGAAGTGGGGGAGCCCTTTCCCTCCCTCAGTCCCACCCCAGGAGTACAAGTGGCTCCAGGCCCCAGGTCCCACCACACCACGTACGGGAGCCGAACTCTGTTGGCTTACCTGTGTTTGGTGGCCAAGACACCTCTAAGCCCCATGTTTATTCTTTAATGGCCTCTGGACCTCAGGAAGAGAGATACTGCAGCTTTCCAAACAGTGTCATACACATATAAGACAAAGACAGGCATCTGATGTTAACAAAAATAAGTAACAAAGAAATAGGATTAAACCAAATCTCTTCTCACAGCATCCTATACTACATCCTCCTTCTGCTTAGCAGAAAATTGTACGTACACAAAAATACAAATACACAATTTTGTAGAACAGTCTGATTTTAATATATTTATATATATTTATATTTATACGAGTGGCAGGTTAGTTCATTATATAGAGCTTTTTGCACTTTTGGCTCATATGCAACAAGGCTTATAAATTCAGCTTCAGCTTTCATTCAGGTTTTATAGCTTTTGAACAATTGTTTTCACATTTAAAGCAGCATCCAATTTGCACTAGGAGTTTGTGGTGATTATAGGAAAGACAAGGTCAGGAGGTTATCGAAGGGGCAGGGCGGGGGGGATACATTCCAGTGTGTGTGGTGATGGACGGAGGATGCCGTGGGATAGAGCTTACCATGATGACCCCTTGAGGTAGACTGAACACCTTACAGCAGACTCAAGACACAGGTGTGACTCGCCCTCAGGGACACATGGTGCACAAGATGGACAGGGACCAGAGGAGACGCCAAGGGGAAACATGAAGACTAACACACACAGCAGCCGAGGCAGGGAGGAGCGCGCTGCCCCCACACCCGTGTGGCAGGGATCCCGCATGGCCCATCTTAGAAACTCAACTATTTGGTGGATGCTAAACACTTCACTTCAGGCAATCCCAAGGCATTTGCTCCAGGGTATCCGATGAGATTACAGCTGTTAAGCTTGCTTTCCATTTCATAACTTGCTGTGCAGCTAGTTACCACCCCCATGCTGAAGAGTAAAGCAAAGCTGCCGTGGTTCGGCAGTGGAATCCACCCCCAGCACTCTGCTCGCACTGGAGCGTTCAAGTCCGGTTATGTGAGAACAGACTAGGACTCTCTTGCTGCCTCTAATTGCATTTCACTGTCACCCTCCCCAGTGCTCTGCACTCTCACTTACATTCATCTCTTCCCTAGATAATTACAACTAGGGTAATCAACAAGCACTTGGTAGAACCTGCAAAAAATAGCATCTGGAGAACTGAGGGACGACGAACTGCCAAGGGTCCGGTTTGGTTTACATGCTACAGAAAAGCCTCATTCTCATGATCACCACAGCACTGTTCTCCCATTCGATCACCTTCGTCAGCCTGCCTTCCCTTCTCTGTCAGGTCACAATTCCATTCCACTGGCAAGTTTGCCCATGTGTCAAATATGAATACCCAGTGTTTGGGTTATTACATTGTCTGAACAAAAATGCTGGATTATTAATGAAAATAAAGTGCCTGGGTATGGATTGTTCCATGATGCAAAACCTTTTAATGCACCAACAAATCATCTCAGCGCTGCTTAGTGATGTGATTTGAACAGACTGCAGTCACAAAATAATCTGTCGTACACCCATCACAGAATAAAGGCCCCGTATTTAGGTCAGACTTAAATTATTTTTTAAAAAAGAAACAAATACTCTCACACTCATTTCCAAAGACACACTTGGGATCTGAACGCCTGATTGCTGGCTTTCCCAAGCCCTCCCGAGCAGACACCCTGATCCCTCTAGTCTAGGCAGAGAGGGCTCGGAAAGGCAGCTGGGGCTCCGGTGGCTCACGCTGGCAGGTGAGTCAGCAGGCTCATGAGCTAGGATGATTCGACGCTTCGCCCTCTTGGATGTGGACACATTTCCAACTCCTACCAAAGCCAGAGCTGGAATGCTGCTCTGAGGCTGTCTTGCTCTCCTGTCTTCTTAGTGGCTACTGAGATTTCCCTAAGCAGACTCTTAAATTCTCTATGAACCAAGACCAAACCACATAAACAGAAACGGCCCTAAAGAAAGAAACGCTGGAAAACAGTGACGAAGCCAGCCTGATATGGCTGTGAAGCGATCTCTCCCGCTAGCTTGTCCTTGCCTTGTTCTGCCTGCAGAACGCCAGGGACACTGGAGAGGGGCAGCCGCCCTGTGCCCACCCTCAAGGGCCAGTGCAGGGTGGGGAGGGATGGGGACAGGGCATAGGCCGACTCTCTGGCAGGTTCCAGAGGTCTGTATCTTGCTTAGGCACTTAAAAAACATAAACAAAAATTTATCCTTGAAAAGTACTGCATACCCAACGTGACCATGGCCGTGGAAGGCAGGGCGAGCCCGGGGGGGAGATCATAGAAGGCTGTGGGCTCTTCCAGGGGAGGCAATGATGACGCACATGGTGTCTCTCGGCAGGGGGAGTGTCCTGCCTTGCAGCCAGGGTGTGTCTGAAGACGCCAGTGCTGTGATGGCTCAGGGACCGCAGACTCGGCCCAGCAGAGGCCTTCCTGTGACCGTGCTCTACAGCCCCCCGGGAAGTGGCTAGAAGAGGCAGGGATGGGGAGGCTCCTAGGGCCTGATCTAGACGCCCGCCATGGGTCGGGGAGGCACAGGCTGCACACACTTGCTTTCTAGAGTCACCATGAGGCAACTACTAGGAAAAGAGGAGGCCCTTCCGAGTGCTCCGGCAAAACTGAGGGGCAGTCGGGACGCCCTGCCCAAGCTCCCAGTGCTTCGAAAGAAAAGCTCCACTCCCCCACATCCAGAACTTTGGTTTTGGTTTCATGGTGCCCATTTTCAGAGATGCAGTATTAAGGGGATCACCGATTCTAACATAATGAAATGTGGTTTTCAAGGCAAAAAACAATGCTGCTTGAAAGCAGCCACCGCTGAGCACGTGTCTTCCTGCAGCCCACTCTTCTAACTCTGTGCCTGCCCGCCGTGAATCTGGTTTAAGAACAAAAGAGTTCAATGCAACATCACCAGAGTGGCTGCTGCTTACATTAGTATAACACTAATGTCATTCTGTGTTCGGGCTTAATAGCTCCAACGAATGATGACGTGGAAAAATGACTCTCACGAGTTTACGCTGGGATCTTAGTTCCAGTAACGGAAGAAAAGGAGAGGTTTCTGTGCTCAAAGGAAGCCACAAAACATGACTGAAATTGAGACTCAGCCCGAAGTGACAGGAAGTTGAAAAAGTCTTAAAGGGAAGAAGGAATAAGCCTTGAAACACAAATTCTGTGACTTGTCACTGCCACAGACACTGGTTTGTGAGAGCCATGAGTTCCTTCCGAGGGAGGAATCAAACTGCTCCCATTCCAAAATCCCAATGGCACCCCAGCCACCACCAGATGCAAAATCTGGACCGATAACAAAATGCAAGGCACATATACCTTTTCTCTTTCAAATTAAGGAGGCTTTTTGGGGATTGGAGGTTGGATAATAACGTAACTGTGTACCTATTACAGGTACAGAGGATCCAGGGAGACTCTCACGAGGACCAGTCCACAGCTGTGGCCTTGCTTCTGAGGTGGTTCCAAGATGCCCACGACGGGGCAGAGCAGATCAGAAGAGAAAGACCATGAGAGAGCCAACCCCTAGAGGACCACTTACGTTTGACGGAAAAGAGGTAGACAAGGGAAGGAGGGAAGAAATGTGGAACTTTAGTTAGCTGAGTCCTCAGGTCAGCTTGGTACCCATGTCCCTTGTTCAATGTCCCTGACAAGTTACCACAGTTCCACGTGAAATGTGGCAGGACAGGAACCAGACCTCTACCTCAAAGGAGCTCATGCCTTTGCTGGATTCTGGGTTCTAGAAAGTTCTTACGCTGACCCCAAATCAAGATATGTCTCCAGCAACTGTTATTTCTTGGCAGTCAGGGCCCATGAGGAGGCAGGGAGGCCTGAGGCAGAGCAGACACTGATCTAATTCCAGAACCCCAGACCCCCGGTTTCTAGAGAGGAGGAGGGGCCAGCTGAGCAAGATGCTCCTGAACACAGCAGGAGCCCCGAAGGAACGGCCAGGGTAGCGCTACAAGAGCTGGAGAGAGAAGATGGGAAGTGCAAGAGGGTTTCCTGGTCTCTGCCTTGGCTAACTGCAGGCAAGGGGTGCCGGAGTTCAAGTTCCCCTCGGCCACACAGGCTTCCCACCCTGTCAACCACTGCGGCACCTCCCTGCACTCCTGTCATCATCACTGACCAGGGAGGAAGACTCTGGAGGGGCCCTCACGTCCAGACCCTCACGGAGGGAGTTCAGCTCACAGAGGCGGGGGCGATGCCACAGTGCGCCTGGGAGGCTACCTGGCACTGCTGCGTGAGAAAGCAAACCAGGTTAGTGTTCAGAGAGGGCAGACCATCCTATGTGGTCTGTTCTTTGAAGATGAACGTCCTACTGAAATGAAAGAAATGAGGGGAGACTTGCCTTGCCAAGGGCAAGGTGACTTGCTTGGTGTCGGGTCATGAGGCAGCACACATGTCCAGCACGGTGCCCAGCACACAGTACGTGCTCAGAAAACATGGGCTGTATTGACTTTGAGGTGGTTGGGAGACCTGTGCATTTGTCTCTGTAGTATTATGATTTACAATGGTGGCATCTTTAGTTTCCTATAAGAATAACTAACTTCTGGGGTTTTTGTTCAAAAACCACATATTTCATGGGTAAGCACTGTCTCAATTTTCACTGATTTTGGTAAGCTGAGTTACGGAAAAGGGTGGGCGCTGCTGGTAAAGGAATATATGGTTGGGGTTTTCTGAATCACCAGAGTGGCCTGCAGAAGCATTTGGGAAGGGAGGTGTCTCTCCAACTTCAGTTCTTTTGAAGTAGCACCATCCCTGAAGCAGCACCTCTAATACCTTGATCCCTAAGACAGGGGCTCCATTAGAAGGTTTTAACTGTGGTGTTAATTGTGTTTTCTTTGAGTGTAGGTGGATCATCAGAATGTTCTGCTGACGGTTTTAATGCATGTCTCACAAATCATAGAATTAGACTCATCCAGTCAGCTCTTACCATCTCTAAGCTTAAGACGGATTCTAAATTCTAATGGAGACAGTCATATTTTAGCAGCTGGGAAAATAGGAAAAGGAATGCTCTACTCTTTGAGGTCATAAATCTACAATCATTCCAGTTGTCATAAAGATAGGATCCCAAAGAAAACAGTTTCAACAACTGCATGCATGGATCTTGAATGCCGGTGTGCAAGGGCTGGGTGGGAATGAGGTTGCTTTCAGAGCCTATACGAGGAGGAATACTGAGGGAATACTAGACATTTCTTTGTAGGTATTTTGTGGGGAATGAAAAGATAAGATTCCCAAGCCCTAAGAGCCTTTCCCTAAATTCTCTAGGTGTGTGTATTTTCAGGGAAGAGGAAAATTTTAAATCAGCAGCCTACTTCAGCATTCTCATGAAACTGAATTGCAACTAGCATTTCAACTAGGTTAGGATTCCTTTTGGTATGTGGAGGGGGAAAGATCTGTACAAAGAGAAGCAGCAAAATATGAAAAAAGGCCAGAGCTGTATTCTCCCCAGTGGCTAGCCTAACCAACCCCGGAGTGTCCAGACCTAGAAAAGAAAAGGCTAACGGTCCTGGGCTCACCCAGCACAAGTGCGAGCCTCAAGGGCACGAAACAGCTTACAAAAGGCCATTTGGCACTATGTCTGGTGCTGGTATTCTTGTAGACTCATTCTTGATCATATAATTGAAAAAAGACCTCTGCAAGTGATGGGGGAGAAAAAACAAACCCACATTCTAGGGAAAGGTGAGTTGGTGACTCAGCAGCTCCTGTCTAGTGTGACACTTCTGGAGAAGAGTAGGGGGCCATGGTCAGGGACTGTGTACGGCATCAAGCCCACATGATGTCCCGTGCAACAGGGAGCATGGAAGAGACAGGAGGAAGAGCGGGAGGGAGAGAACATGGACTTGAGTGCCGGGGAGATGCTCACACTGGCACAGCAGAACAGTGGGGAAGACTCAGGGCAACGGCAACGGCGGGAGTGGGGCAGCTGCCGAGTAAGGGGTGTGAGAGGAGCGTACAGACACGTGTCCCGTGCTCCAGTAGCTTTAGAATGTCGTGAATAGTACTCCATTCACGCCTCCACCTGTTTAAAGCCTGTGTTAGTTATATGTGTCCTGTCATGTTGTCTGCTTTGAGTCTTAGGATTCAATGAGGAAACCTCGATTCAATTTTCTGTAAACTTCTGTTTGGGAAATGCTTTCTGATAGTGACGGCAATGGAAATATCAAGCAACCAAGGGAAATCTGAAGATCCCAGAGAGCCCAGCAAGCAGCAACATCCTCGAGTTAGGCAAGCAAGGGCCCGGAGCTGGCCAGACCATGGGCTGGAATGCAGTGGGGGCCGGTCAGAGGGGCTTCTTCTGGGGTCCTGACTGTGGTTTCTGCCAGAGGTGGAGCAAGTTGGAACTGGATGTTGAGTGAAGTTTCAAAGAACTTAGAAGTCAAATGGGGAACAATAATCAAAGGCTTCCATTTTGAAGCTGAAACAACTCCAAATTCTGCTGTTTCACTTAGGGGAGAACACGAGCACCATGTCATTATTTTAGTTTATGGAGCTGCTGTTCCAAATGTTCTTGGGAGCATTAGTGCTAAGAGGGAACAGGGGATGGGAGCGCTGCCATTTCCAATCACATAAAAGACAGAAATTCTTTTAATTATGACCATGCCAATCTACATCCTGCTAAAACAGCTAATTACATGTCAGGAGGACACTCAGTCATTCAGAACAATTGCCATTATATTTTTATATATTCATTCTATGCCACCCCCCTCAATTACCATGGTTACAGTTTGAAAAGATTCAGTCCAACCTTCATTTGATCACAGCACACCAATGTGAATTTGAGAGTTAATTATGGCTATACAGAGCCACTCTTACTTAAAATGAAAATGGAGTCGAGGGAGCCGGCATCCCAAGACTTCTCAAGTGCGAGTCGGGGGGTACATGCCCACGCCAGCCACACCGACCAACTGGAGGGCAGCCGAGCAGGCACGGACACAGCTGTCCAGACCAGGGCCAACCAACCTGCAAACCTGCCACGTGAAAGGAGTGTCAGGAGAGGAGAAAGGCACAGCTCCCCTGCAGCTGCACCCCTCTGGGTGCAGTTACGGGGCTGGCTGATGAGACAGACAATGGGTGTGGCATGTGGGTAGTAAACTGTCTCATGGTGTAAAAATGCTTGTCACATTTCATGTGAACAGAATCAACTAAAAAGTTCTGCCACAAATGTCATAGGAAGAATGACAAAAAAGAGGTTCAGTGATCCGCGTGCCTATAATCCCGAGGCATCTACGTCACTGAGATAAGAAAGGGCAGCCGGCATATCTTCCCTCCCACCCCTCATGTATCTCTTCCCATCTTGATTTAAAACAAAGCCAGTGTTAGAGGAGACTGGAGTTTTCAGATTGTTGGCTTTCTTTTTGCTGCCATTTCTATTCCTCACCAAGAAAGAATAATAAAGCTAATACTGAAACTTCCAATTTACAAGCTTCCAGGTTTGAAAATACATAGATATGAACGAAGTTACCTTTCAGAGATGAGTCAACCACTGGCCCTGCAAGATCACAAGACAGTAGCTTATCACTTTCAATTTATAAGTGGAATGGAGAACAGCCTTTCCAAACATAACCTGTGAGAGGAGTTTCTGTAATCAGAAAACTGACTTGTTGGCTTGTATCCGAGAAGCCTTTCCTATCACCTTAGTATGATAGTTCTCTGGAGAGCTGTGAGGAAATCTTTCTTTTAAAGTGGCGGTCATCTTTGAAACCAAGCATGCATAAGGAAGTAGAGCACAGTACAGGAAAAGAAAGGCCCTCTGCTCTGATCACACACCACCACAACATCCTGACAGATGACCTGGCCATGCACAGCTGCCTCTCCAGGAAAATCTTCCACTCTCATCAGGGAACACTGGACTGGATAACTCAGGTATTCCTAGGTGAAGTAAGTCAGACAATATGGAAATGAAGAAATAAAAAGAGGGCTTTCAGGGCACACAGCTCAGTTTGCCAAATTCAACATGGCTACAACTGATCCCCAAATCCTGAGTAAACACCCTTGCTATTTAATAAGCACAAGCAAAAAAAAAAAAAAAAAAAAAAAATGGAATGCCTTATATGTGTCATTCCCACCCCTGCCCCAGGACATCCCCCCACCCCATCCCACACTCCCCAAAGATACCACCAGCAGGAGCTGGGCAATATGCCCAACTTTCACTTGGGAAATCCTGACAAATCAATCCGGCTCAGTAAAGCTATAAATGGATTTGGCTGGTCTCAACACAGCCCCAATGAATACAGTAGTAAAACATTACTAATAATCACAACAAAATGACAAAATCTATCATCACTCTGACATGATTCAGATCACAGAGATTAACACAGAAACCAACACACAATGGTGAGGGCCAGGGTTCTTCAATGTAGTGTGCTACTGAGCACGGGATCATCAACAAGAAAAATTATTGCCTAAGAATCTGTTGGGACACACTGGGGAGAAAATACTCTGGTCGTTCTCTGAACAACAAAAGACAAAAAACAATTTTAAAAGGCAGAGCCACAAATTAAATGGGAAGACTGCTTGTAACCAAACCCTTCTGAAGACCAGAGAGTAAAGACTTAAGAGTTCACGTTTGTAGGAAGGGGAAGGGAAGGAAGGAGGGAGGGAGAACATCTGTGGGAAAGAGATCATTTCCACTGTTGAGGGCAGAGATGATGAGGCTGGTCAGTGGAATACGTAGCTGGTCAAGACAGGGAGGAGTGTCTGTGTTAAGAGATGGACCACATCCAGCTTTTCCCTGCTGTCACAAGATTAGAAAATTCCAGCAAAGAAGTCAGCTGAAGGCCTAGTCAGAGGGAAACAGAAGAGGAGCTATTCACAGGATGAGGCTGGAGACTCTTGATTCAATGAGTCTGTTTGTACTTGGTGCCTGATGGTTGATATCCAAGGGAGAAGTTTCTAAAGCCAATATTTCTTAAAGACAAATGTTAAACAGGCAGAAAGGAAATAATAACTATATTGGTGAATTCTTCAGTCATCTCCTTTGAGGTAAAATATATCTGGATACATGGACCTAACATAGGTGGTGGTGACCACTGAACTGGCTGCCACCATAAATCTACCAAGAACTAGAGAACTGGATGTGTACACCTCTGCCTTAATGATTTTCCTCGTCTCTGCCCCAGGTTCCTTCTTCCTGTGATGGGCCATGGGAATGTGAATATGGGGGTGGGGTGGGAAGACTGCCCTTGTGAGTGACAGGGGTGGGGACTGTCCAGAGTCATAAGTGAGTGGAAGGCAACTACATTTATTAACCACTTAAAGGATTGTGATTTTGATTGTGAAGAAAATTGCTCTAAGGGCACTCCAACATTACAGACTTTGTTGAAACAAATCAAAACATTTGGAACTGAATAGCACTGAAGGGCTCAGATAAGAATGCAGGGTGTTGCCCTCCCCAGCCTTCATCCACTGTTAGGGTTATCAACAGATGGGCAGAGATCTCATCAAGATGACCCATTTTAAAAGGTCCCTGTGTCAGTGCTTTTAAAGTTTGGAAAGTTTACCCATCTGACCATAGTAATTCAATTAAGGTGTCTTTAAAGAAATAACAAATTATATGAATACCTGTTGGCAAGTTCCCCCACACCCCACTTCAAAAGACCTTTGAAAGTCCTCCTCGACAGGAAGGAACAGCCCCTGCGGGAGTCCCCTGGGGCCTGAAGGAGAGAGTGAAGTACAACGGGAGGGGCGGAACAACCAAGAAGCATACAGTGTGAGTTTTTAGAGCCTGGCTGCTTTCCCTTCAGTAATACGGAAGTTTAGGGTTTCTATTTTAATTCCACCTCTAAAACCTGAAAAAGCCTAAGAGAGAAATATACTACCTAAAGACACTAGAAATAAATATAACAGTAGCAGCGCCACACACCATTACAAGAACCAAGGTGGCCTGGACAAAATGGCAGAATTGAACTTGGTGACAAACAGAAAACTAACAGGTTTAAATCTAGGCCCAAAGGAAGTAAATTCTCACTCTTGGTGAAAAAGCAAAAGTGACATGTAAGGCAGTGGGTCTTCAGAGCAGCCAGCGGTCTTCTCCAATGACAAGAACAACTGTGGGTGGAAGATGCCTTCCTCCTGTTCCCACTGAGCTCTCCAGGACATTCTCCTGCAGTGGTAGAAATATTCTTTCAGTTTTACCACATTGCCATATAGGGTCTGGTACTGCCCTTCATGGATGCGAACTTGCCTTTATTCTCTGAAGCTTTTTTTCTCCCTTAAAGGTGTTAAAACAATGAAACCTTTGAGTGCATCCACGGCAATCTTTGTATTTCTTTAGAAACTGCAGCTGTCTTAACAGTTTGAGTCAGTCTGTTCCTTTAAAAAGACCAGCAAGTACAAATGATACTAGCAATCCCATGATAAAGAAGCTATCAATTATAATAATCCCCTTACAATCAATCATGGATGTGGCTTGTCAGAGCGGATTTTTTCTCTGTCTCCTTGTACTTTCTGATTCAATTGAGAATAAGCGTCAAAATTCCACAAAAATGGGACTATGTTACATTTCCTCTAAGCAAAATAAAAGGAAAGGAAGAGAACGTAATCTCCTAATTGAAATAAAAAGATAAACCAAAAAAGAATATGAGTCGGTGGGGGGGGGGCGGTGGGAGGCTCATTCCTGAGAATAACAAATGCTACTCTTGAATTTGTTGGTTCAAGTAATACAGTAAAACAGAAGAGACGGCTCCACTTCACTTCAATGCTTGGAAGCTGAAAAAAGTACATATATTTTTTCCCCCTGAAATCCATGGACAAAAGTGGGACCAGGCCCTGCATATAGCTCTTTAAAGTCACAGACATATATAAGGTGGCACTTTCATGCCCTCTCAAAGACTTTCCTCACACTCACATAAGCAGGATTAACAGATAAGGAAATGATGCAGTCAGCGTGTGCCTTAAGTGGAAGGAAACCAACTACAAACTGGCGGATATTCAGTATCTCCTGAATGAGAAAGGGAAAACTGAGGAAGGTCATTCAGTCTCTCTCTCTCACAGTTTTAAGTTGAATACATTTGGTGGAGGAGGATGGGTGAAGAGGTAAGGAAATGGCACCTTCCTTTTATCTTAGAAATTGTTTTCAGGTAACGGACAAAAAGAAGCCGTGCTTAACATCCAGCCCCACATGCCCCTTTAAACAAGGCTTCATTATACATAGGAGAGATGGAGCGAGGCAGAAAATCCACAGCAGTTGTGCCTCTTTCAGGCGCACCCTGTGCTGCTACATTGAAGGCTCTTTCCTCTTACCCACAGTGACAGTGTGTCATTTAATCGGGATGCCAAGAGATCATTTTCATACAAGGCCAGCAGATGTAATTTTCTTTGATGCATGAATAGTTCATCATTTTGCTACTAGATGACAAGGTGATCACAGGGTGACTTTAGAATGCAAGTTCACTGTTTGGTATTTTGAGTTCTCAAAATGAAAAAAAGATTTATCAAATATAAATATCTTTAAAAAGTAACAAAAGTGCTACATATGTGATCAAGGAAAAAAATTCCATTAGTTACTGCCGCTTAAAGTAGATTAAACTTTACAAATATTACCACATCCATTATCAATATGGCTTCCAATTATTAAATAAATTGCCTGTAGCAATACAGCTTTTCACACCTCTCCAAGGACAGAGTAAAGAGAACAGCAAAGCAGTCCCATCGTGTTCTCATACAGCCACAATGTGAGTAGGAAACGTCCCCTGCTTTTCTCTGCTCCTATCTGGGCAAGTGTCTGCATCTGTGATAAGCAGCACAACCCCACTATGAAGTCCTCTAGTGACCTCTCAGAGTGAGGGGGCTTCCGTTTAATGGATACAAACACTGCAAGTTTTTTCACTCATTTTTGACCTTAGCTCCATCCTTGAAAGACTTTTTTGGTAGCAGGGAAAGGGGACACTGACAGGAGGCAAAGCAACTTCCACGATGACCTCCAAAACTTTTCCAGGCAGGCACTGCTAACTGTGCCGTGGAATGTACAGTGGTTCTGAAAACTGGACTTAGCATCCATTAGACATTCAGCTCATATTTTTTTTTTCCAATGCTCTCAAGCTGGGTTTTTTTTTTTTTTTTTTTTAATGACTTTTGGTTTTTGTCTTTGTTTTTAATCATGGTCCCAAAGGCAGAAGGCAGTATTTTATCTACTAAGTCACACAGCTTGTGAGAGGAAAGGATGTCTGTGTCAGGCATGTTAACTTCAAACAAAATCTGAGATCGGCTTTTTCCATTGACATTCTTAGCACAGCACCCAAAGAAGTATAATCTAGCCACAGTGTGGCTATAATGAGGCACGGCTTATTGCAGCTGGAAATCAATTATCCTCACGCTGAGGTGGGGATTCTAGTGTTCCTTTGACTCTGTGGATACTCCCCAAATGGTGTCTGTCATTCCTGTGCCACGACCTCAGCTTGCATCCTATCAGTCTTGGGGAAGGAAAAGGGAGTACAGACTAGTGTTACAAGAATCTAAAGGTACCCAAGATTTTACACGTAGTCTAATATTTGAGAACTGAGGGCTATCTAAATACCTGGAAGCACTTTCTTGGAATGCTAAGACGGAGCAGCAAGATTTTCTAGCCTCGGGGGCTGGGAGAGGGAAGTTTGGTTGGTTGGTTGGTTATTATTTACTGGGAGTTAATACTGAGAGAGTATATGCAAAGGCTGAGGGCACCATGCCATCTTCACAGAACAAGACCCTAACAGCTACCTGACATACAAGAAACTGCAAGTTATACTGTAAGAACACATGTTAAGGACCGAGGAAAGTCTGCTAAGGTGCTACGTCTAAACTAAGTTAACTTGTCATGTTTAACCTCCCTGATCAGTCATCATCCAGGGCCTCTGTCTTGATTTCGTTGGCTCCTTGTCGGGCCAATGCCAAGATAGTGTGGTTGACTGCTGCCATTTCCACAGCTAATGAGATGGGGTCTTGGTGGTCACTATGGCTCGTACTGTCATCCTAGATGTGCAGAAATAAGAAATGTTATTAGTGGATTGGAAGAATTCTTTAGTCACAGAGAGACATGCTGGGGCAAGGGGAGGCAGAACATTCGTGGGAGGAAACTGGGGGAGGGGCTCATGATAAAATAGAGGTAAATTGTATTTAAGTAGACACTGAATGGATATAGGTCCAAAGATTTTCAGTTGATAATCTTATGATTCAACAAGTAAAAAGCACAAAAAATGTTTTTCATCACTGAGAATTCTATTCATTCTATTAATAAGATTGCTGGTGATGATGATCAAACCTGCAGTGATTGATATAAAACCAACAATTTGGATCTTTCTGTTTGTAACAAATATAGCACTAATCACTGAAGGCCATACTAGTGAGCTATTAAATTCCAGATTGCTGCTCTTACAAATAGATTATTAGAATTCATGGTCCCTCTCTGAACTGAGAAAACTAGACAGAACTTACAATTACATCTTACAGATAAAAAATGCATTTTTGTAAAAAAAGAAAAAAAGAATTCTCCATTACAACAGGACACATGTCACTGCCAGAAACGGCTACGGGAGAAAGGGGAGGAAGGTGTCGAGCTCTCCTGCTGCAGGCAGCTGTGCAAGGGGAGCGGCAGGCGTCTTACCTAGAACTAGTGTGAAGCTGTCCTCCCCGCGCAGCTCAATGTGTTAAACAATAAAGCTGTGAAGGAAGCTGGCATTGCAGGATGTACGTCAGGCACTGAAGATGGTGTTACAAATAAGGGGTATGTTTCTCACCTGTCATCTTCAGGGGAACTCCGTATCAAAGAGCTTTGGAAAGGGTAAGTCCCTTAAGGAAAAAAACAAACAAAACATGGAATGTGCTGCCCTTAGGGCATCTGTAAAAAAAGATGGAAATGATCCATCTATGTGGGTAGACTGAAAAGAGGAATGTTTCCGAACAGAAAGACTTACAGAATATTCTCTTGGGGCTATTAACTAGAGTCCTAAATGGGAAAAAATGGTAGTTCTTCAGAAGTGTGGACATCATTGTTTCCTTCTGATGTTCACAGATTAGTTTTTAGAATTTACAAAGGGATCAGCACACACTTGCATGCATTCTAGGTGTGTGGTAAACAGAGGCTATTAAAGAACACATTGGACTATATGAGCTGGCTGAGGAGCAAGAAAAAAGCACAGACCCCAGAAAAATGAGCAGAAGTTTTCTTGCTGTGGTCTAGGGGAAGGTACCATGCGTTCTCTGCATATTCCAAATGGAAATTTAAATCCTATCAAAATTTTAATGAAATCTGTCAACATCTATGTGGGGGTCGAGGAGGGACTCCCACAGTCTTAGTTACTGAATTACTCCACGCAGTGGCTACAATTAAATACATTTTCCCCAAAAGCAATGCAGAATAAATCAGGGCGAGGTGAAGAGTCATGCAGGTATTGCACTTATGAGAGGATGCATGTGTCAGTGTGCCAGAGACTCTGGAAGAACCACTCCTTTGGGCAGGAGGGTTCCCACTGCAGTGGGGCCAGAGTGAGTGGGGCCTTCCATCGTGCCCTGCGTCGGTACGTGTTTAGGCATGGGGTCCAGCTGCCCCTAGTATTTCTCAAACACTGAGTGTGTGTCGTGAATGGTGTAACTTGCTTGTTTGGATCAGATCCTCCTCTCTTCTTCTACCTTCTCTGCTTCTCTGCCTCCCTCTGAACTTCTTCCCTCCTCCTCCTCCCCATTGCGTACTTGCCAAGTATCCTGTTGTATGACAATAAATCCATGTGGGTGAATAACGATCTCTCACAAATTCAACAGGACAACTGAATCTTACCACATTCCTTTCAAATTACATGAAATCTAACTAGACACAGGAGCAGAGTGGAGGGACAGTGACTGTTTCCCCTCCCCCACCCCATCAGCCACACCCAAGGAACTAAGCTGTCCCACTATACCCCCTGCTCAGGCACCAAGAACCTCGCCCAGCTGCGCAGGGGCTCACCTGCTCAGAGTAGTCATTCCCGTCGACATCATCACTGTTTGAGTGGCCTCCTGGACTCTGCACATCTATCCCATGACTCTCCAGGATTGCTGCTTCTTCGAAAAAAGCAAATAGATCCCTAAATTATCTGTTACCTTATCACAATGGCTGAAACACTGAATGAATTTTTGTGCTAAGGAAATTAATTAGAATGTAATTAAACAAGAACCTGTATTTCTCTACATTTGTTTCTTTTAGACTGTAAGATGGATGAAATTCAACTGCATGTAGGTCAGGGGAGGCACACATTTGCCATTCTGGGGTCTCTGCTGCTGTGCATGTTAGGTGCTTCATAAATACTTGCTAACTAACTAAACAGTCTTCCTATCTTGGGGTTCTATAGAGCATATGAGAACTGTACTGATGAATAAAAAGTGTATTTACAAAGGAAGGAAATGAAATGCATTCTATGCCCATACCACGCTCAATGCGCCCGATCTCGTCTGATCTTGGAAGCTAAGCAGGGTCAGGCCTGGTTAGTACTTGGATGGAAGAAATGAAATGCAATTTTAGAAGCTAAAAACCAACATCCCACCTGACTCACCAACTTAAATTTCTTATTCTTATTTATTACTGTTACAGTTTTGAATGGGAACAAATCCTTTATTTCTTCCTTTTTCAGTTGTATTCGTAGTTCCCTCTAGGGCACTTTTGGCATTTTTGTTTTCTCTGTTCAGCTTTATTGAAATATAATTAATAAAAATTGTATATATTTATGGTGTACAAGGTGATGTTTTGATATGTGTATATATACATAAATGATTACATCAAGAATCCATATTTCTTAAATGCTCTTTATCTCTGCCTTTTGCTGCGTTCCTTGTCTATTAAGTCTCTTTCATTCCAAACCATTAATCAATTGTTTCCTAATATTTAAGTCATAGTCCAGTAATAATGAAGAAATTCTGGGTATTACATTCCCTTTCTCAAGATCTTACAAGTATCTTTCAAATGTACCACAGGAGTAATCAATTGCTCAGGGGCCATGTCTAATTCTATATTCTAGAACTTTAAGAAGAATGAGTTTTATAAATAATAATGTCATTACCATTACACTACAAATAGTGTAAATAATACTAACTGTGGTTTATTAAAAACACAATGAAAGACATTAGGGCAACTTTTGTTAGGCTTAGAAGTTAGGATCCGGCACGGTGGCTCACACCTGTAATCCCAGCATTTTGGGAGGCCGAGGCGGACGGATCACCTGAGGTCGGGAGTTCGAGACCAGCCTGACCAACATAGAGACACCCCATCTCTACTAAAAATACAAAATTAGCCAGGTGTGGTGGCACATGCCTATAATCCCAGCTACTCGGGAGGCTGAGGCAGGAGAACCACTTGAACCCAGGAGGCAGAGGTTGCAGTCAGCCAACATCGCGCCACTGCACTCCAGCCTGGGCAACAAGAGTGAAACTCCGTCTCAAAAAAAAAAAAAAAAAAAAGAGAAGTTAGGATCCTTTAGACTTGCAGTTTCTAAACTGAAGTTAATCTTAATATAAACATGACGTTCACAACTGCTGCACAAGAGAAAAGCAGCCTCACTGATACATTACCAATATTGGCTCTCCTCTTGATCTCCTTCCTTCTGTTAGCAAACCAATTATATACTTTCAGGGAGGTAACTCTTTCCAGATCTGACAGCTTTTTGCCTGTGAATACATGCAATAAAATTCAGATAATCTATATCTGGGATCCAAGAATAAACTAGTTTTAAGGGCTAATATTTTTATTTTGTTGCTTTTGATTACGTTTATTGCCAAAACTACAGATGCAGAGGGATTTTTAAAGTATTACCTGGTACCATGTACACACCCCAATTACTGAATGAATAAATATGTAAATGAATACAAAAACAACAACTAGTAACACAACATGCTTCAATTCGGAAAGCCATACATAATATTAGAGAATTCCACAAAGTCAGTTGGCTAGGGTGTCAGATCCACGTCCATGTGACAGTACTATGGGGGCTTCATTTAATTACCATTATTGTATCAGAATAAGATATTCTTTTTTTATTTTTTTGAGAAAGGGTCTCATTCTCTTACCCAGGCTGGAATGCGGTGGTGCAATTATAGCTCACTGCAGCCTTGACCTCCTGGGCTCAAGTGCTCCTCCCACCTCAGCCCCCCAGGTAGCTGGGACTACAGGCCCAGGCCACCATACCAGGCTAACTTTTGTGGTTTTTGTAGAGATGGGGTCTCGCCATTGTTGCCCAGGGTAGCCTCCAACTCCTGGGCTCAGGCGATCTGCCCACCTTGGCCTCCCAAAATATTGGGATTACAAGCGTGAGCCACCACAACAACCCAAGATAAGTTATTCTTTATCAAGTATCCAGACAACAGAAATTTACTTACATCTTTAAGGCCTTATGTTAACTAATTACCTGCTGTCTTAGGACAGAGGATATTATACATGTTTTCTTGAAGGCTGAAGGCCGCTATGACTATCCATTACTGTAACTGGTTTGGACTACATAGCACAATTCAAGTTGCATTTTAGATTTACCATCTTTGAAGTCCAATGTGATTTTTTATGGATAGTAACCATGCTTGCCAATACAGACCCCCCTGTAACATTTCCTCCTCACCTTTCCTTTTGTTTTTCGGCTATTAATCCACAGTGGGTGAAGAAACCAGAAAGCAGGTTTGTTAGGGCCTTGATGATACGGGGGCAAAATGTTCCAGGGAGAGTTCAAGTTTCTGCACAGCTTTAGGGCTGGGACTTTTGGCATGTTTGAAACAGGGTACAGATTCCTTTCACTTGTGTGTCACTGGAGCAGTTTGTAGGGTCTACATTGCTAGAAGTCTGGCTTCTGGGTGAGGGAGAATGAAGGTCTGCTTAATTTCTATAAAACATTGATACTTTTGTATGTAGCCTTTAGGCCAATCAAAATAACTGGCCACATGGAAATCAACTGGATCTGTTAACTGAAAATGGTTTATGTTTAACAAAATCTGTAAAATGTGAAATAATATTTTAGCACAAGGAAGAAAATACATTTGAAATATTTAAGTGGGTTTGTTGACTTTGGAACAACAGGACTTCAAAATGGTACTGCCCTAAATTTTTCTTAGCTAAGTAGAAGTCATCTCAATGTGGAAAGGAGATAGAAACTAACTACAAAAAGAATTCTTTCCCCAAAGAGAAATATAGCATTTTACAATTTATAACAATTGTTTTAAAAAATTCTATCTTAATCTTATATTGACAAAGCTTGCTTAAATATTTAAAACTTTAACATTATTTCATAATATCTTTTAGCTAAATTCTTAGAAAAGGAAATCTACACATTAAAAAAATAGTAATTTCAAGGTCTCATATCTCATGTAGGGTCACTCCTTGAAAACTCTCCTATGTGAGCATTTGATTTTGAGTACCATAAAAACATCCCTCAGAAGTACTGTGTGAGCAGGACAGGGCACTGGCCACCTGCGGAAGGATGGCACAGACTGAGCCGGGAGCACCATGCCAAGGCACGCATAAGATTAAGTGTCCTAGATGCCAACCTGTAACCAAGCGCTGTGCTGCACCGCAGAGCAAGGCTGTGCCTGCGACCTTACCTGGCTTCTGTATAACTGCATTGCAAGCGTTTGCAATTTCTTCCCTCTTTGCTTCATCTGGGTATTGATTCTCATTGAAGTAACTGCAGAGGCAACCGATACAGACACAAAGTTTTTATTTTTCAAACATACTCTCATTAAAACACTAACTCACTGAAAAATATATTCTGTAAGATGCCACACTCAAGTGTCTAGGTCCAGGCTGTCAAATGGAATGTTCTGTGAGAGTAGAATCTTTTATGCTGTCCAGTATGGTAGCCACAACTCACAAATGGCTACTGAGCACTTGAAAGGAGGCTAATGTCAGGGATGGAATTTGAATTTTATTTAATTTTAACTAATTTAAATTTGAATACCTCCATGTGACTAGTGGCTATTATATGGGACAAAACAGGTCTACATACTGCTGTGCTTCATTAAAAGATGTCATTGATATGGAAGTTATTTTTGATATGTGTGACTGATTCAAGTCACAGAGTTATATTATTTAGGCACTGGTAACAATAGGACTTTTTTTTATTGTCTAATTGTTTGTAGTAGAAAAAATTGGAAATTACCCAAGTATCCATCAGTAGAATGGCAGAACAAATTATGGGATATCTATACTTATATGTAGCTATTTAAAACTAGTAGGAAAAAATAAGTTAGAGTTCTGTCCACTGACCCAGAGGGATGTTTATGACATATTTCTAAGTGAGGAAAACTATCCGCAGAATAATATTGAAAACACCATTATTTTCAATATTGGTATTATACCAATAATAATATGAAAATACCATTACAGAATTTAAAAATTCCTATGTGTACGTAAGTTTGCATAGATGAAAGCTGGAAGACTACACAGTAAGCTTAAATACCAGTTACTGATTTGTGGGGAGGGGGCTTAGTGGGAGGAGTTTAAACATTTTCTTTTTCATTTGTTAAAAAAGTATGTATTACTTTTGCACTTTTTAAAGTACGATAGTACTTTAAAAAATAAATTTACTGAACCCATCCTTAGAATTCTCAGACCCATCAGACTGCATGTGGGAACAGAATGCTTATTAGTGCTACTTTTTCAGTCACCCATGAGTTTAAAAAAAGAAAAGGAGAACTTTCATGGTTTCAACTTGGAAACTTCCAATCAGGAAATGGGCCCCTGTCAAATTCTAGCACCTACCATTTATTCAGGGGTTTCCCTTTCCCTGTAATCCAGCCTTTCTTATGCCTTCAGCACTCCTGTCTGCATTGGTGGAAATGCCATCCTATTGTGAATAGCACTGGAGGCCCCAGCCCTTCCTGAGGATCACCTGCAAACCCAGCTCCTAACACTACTCCCTCCTCTCACTGCCCACTCCTCCTTGGAGGGCATGGCTTCACTGCCAGTTATTTATTTATTTAACCTCATCTGATGCAGTCCTGACTCACAGCAGCTGCCCCCACCTAACCACCTTTTTCTTCTGTAAAACTTAAGTCATAGAGCTATATCCTCCCAGTCTTGTCAACTACCACCCTCCACCATGGTCTTCTGCTTTATTTGAGCATCTCTTCCTGCATGATTTTCTCCTATCATTTCTGGGACTCCAGTGTTCATACGGAGGATTTTTCCAAGTCACTACCCTCATAATTGCTTCACTTTCACATTTCTAATGGCTTTTGTCTCTGCCCTATGCCTATTTACTTAGGCTGAGATGCTTTGGATTAACTCTGAGAACTAACAGCATGGCTGTCACCTAGGAGCCAGTTAGAATGGCAGAATCTCAGACCCCACCTCAGACTTACTAAATCAGAATCTGAATTTTAACAAGATTTCCAGGTGACCTAAATGCACAGGTCGTAACTTCTGAGATGTACTGGATGAGTTCATTTACACAAAATATACAAAAACGAAAAGCAGATACTAAGTACCTAATATGTGCTTGTCACTGTGGGTAAAGAAAGATGATATAGTTTCTGACTCTGAAGTGTTCACAGTCTACTACAGAGAGACATGTAAGTCAATATCCTGTGGTGAAATGCCATAGGATGTATGGACAGAGCACTGAGGCAGCATGGATGAAGGCGTGTTCAGTGTTGTTGGCAGGAGCCTGGAAAGGCGTCACTGAGGAGTGCCATCTGAGTTAGGTCTAGAGAATGCACAGGAGGTTGCAAGGCAGAGAAGAGGAGGAAGAGCGTTTTATATAAAAGGGAACAGCATGTGCAAAGGCAAAATGGTAGATAAAAGCTTTTGAGGACTCTGGGCATAGAGAAGAGTTAAATGTGGCTAGAACATGGGGCTTGTACAAAGCAATGATGAGATACTGGCCTGGAAAGGTGGGATGGGGCCAGCTTGTGAAGACCCTTGTCTGTTCCTTAAGAAGACTTCATACTGAAATAAACGGGGTGCCTTAGAGGTTTCCAAGATACACAGAGATATACTCCCATCTGTTTTCTAGAAAGACAACACTTTATCTTCAAGGCTTAACCCTTGGAATTCTACCTCCATGATCTTAAATTCTGAAATTCCCCAGTCAACTTTGTATTTACCTATGCCTCCTCTTCAAAATAGTTTGTTCTTCACTTTCTTTATTATCTCTAACTGCTTAATCCCCCCACCCATCAGTTACAAAAACAAAAACAATCTCTGTTTATCTTTCCTCTTTGGGCTTCACCTCTCATTTCTTAGCCTGAACTCCATGGCATGCGAAATCAGCAACTTCCCTTAGGAGAAACTAGATTGTTTAGCTTTTCTGTCCTTCCACCATACCTGTCCAGCCAATCTCCTACCCTGCAGAAAGCAACTTCCATTTATTTTCTTCCATCCTTCTCTCAGGGGACCAAGTGTTCCTGGACAAAGTCATAAAATAGGGCCAATTGGTTTTTTTAATAAATCCACATTTTTCAACCTTAACTGGAACCCTCATTTCTGTTGGGAATTCTATTGGTCTTTTCTAACCAATTGCCTTTCATATCCCATCTCCTGCCCCACTTACCTGAAAACTTTACACTCTCTTACCCCAAGCCCTCAAACTGACCACTGTCACTTTTTGCAGATGACCTTGCTTTCTCTCTTATGAAGATGGAGATTATTTAATATGAGTTAATTGCTTGGCTTCTCAACTTGTACACTGTTCTGAGCATTACTCATTCATCTTATGGCAGAGGAAGATGCATGCATTCTCCTCCTCTTCAAGGTCAACTTCTCCGCTTTTGTCTTTGACCTCATTCCCCTTCCTTTCATTTTCTCAACTCTCCTTTCTTTCCTGCATATCTCATCTTTTCCCTGTGCCCATACAGTGATCTTAGTTCACTGTTTTTATAATACATATTTCTTCATTATTGTGATCTCCGAAGTCAGGATGCATTTTATAATTGGTGGTGTTTTGTCTCCCTTACTGGTACGTCAACTAAGGTGTGTCTTACAATCAAGGCCTTCTTAGATTTGATGGGATACAGTAGTTGCTAAGACCTACGGGTTCCTTTTAAGCCATAGCTCTTTGGCCAGTGCACCTCATTGTGACAACTTTTCTTCCAAGTGACTGCAAAGCCTGTGATGACACTGTACCCCCTCCAATGCCTGATTAATATTCCTAAAGCACATCTCTAGTCACTATCCTGTTCAGAAATTCTCAAAGGTTTATTATAGAGGTGTTCAAAGTCCCCCCGCAAACAACCTCTACATCTTTATCTGCTACTCCCATATATGCATGCTACCACCCAGGAAAATGGAATAACTCTGTAAACTCCTTGCATCTCTGTGCCTTTCTCTTGCAAGTATATCAGCTTTTTGCCTCCCCCACCCCGCAGTGCAAATCTTATCCATCTTTCAGGGTACAGCTCAAATATCACCTCTTGGCCAATCAAAGGTATTTTTTTTGCCCTATGAATCCCACCGCACTTCATCTGTTCCTCTCTTACATATCTTTCATCTTGTATTATAGTTATCACTGTATACATCTGTCTTCTACTACACTGAAAACCACCTGATGCCAGGGTACAAGTCTGAATCATCCTCACACGCGCTCCCCACTAATGATAGTGTTGACGAGCCAATAATGATAGACAAAGGCACCACCAACCCAGTGTGGGGGCCTCCAAAAGAAATGGATCTCACAGTAAATGAACTGCTAACAAGAGAAGGCAAAGAGGTATTGCAAAACGGATCTTGAAGGATACGTACTAAGGGGTTAGCAATGACTATCTCCAAGAAGCAAGAGTGTTGGGGATGGGGGCAAAAACAGGAAAATACTGGTGGCAATTAAGAATGATTTTCACTTTTTCTTGGAGAAATAAGAAAAAATTTTAAAAAAAATGACATTCTGCCTTATATGCTTCTCTGTTGAATTTCTGAAATAAACACATGCTATTTTTATAAATTACTTTTTAAGAAGAGAACTTGGGGGAGACAGTACAATATTTAAGAACTCGTTTAATGATCAATACAATTCTGTAACTATTTATGTTTGGAAAGTGTATTTGGACCAGCTAGAAAATATTAGGATTGTGATTTCTGTTCTTGTAACAAATAGATAAAGCCATGCTATCTCTGGAAGCTAAACTAGAATTCGCGATTATTCATGGTATACATAATTTTTGTACTGAGTTAAAAAGGTTTAAAATTAATTAAATTTAATTAAAGATTAAAATTAATCTGTATTTTTAGGATCTAACCATATAAAATAAAGAAGACCAGAGTAAAAAAGGAAATCAGTAACTTTCTCCAAATCAAAGGCTAAAGAAAATAAGAATTGATTCAATATGGTTTTAAATCTCTAAGCCTGGTAACTAATTAATCCTTTCTTCTCTATTAAAGACCTGTTATTTTTGTAATTAAAAAATGTAGGCCTATTAAAAAATATGAATTGTCATTGAAACATGCTACTCTAGCTGGAGGTGTATACAAAGGACTGTTAGCACAACTTTCTTCTTTCTCTATTTCTGTAATGTTTCAATGTTTAAAAAATATTAATTCAAGATATACAGTATAATCTAAACTGATAAAATGACATTTATAGTACCTCATGGTAAATATTTAAGTTTAAAAAGTAATAAGATTTTTTTACTGCAAAACTCTTAAAACTTTTTTGTGAGAAAAGACACACAATATTGATATAAGTAGAAGAGTTTTTTGAAGATAAAGGTAGACCAGGAAATAAAATAGCAAACAACTATGTATTACATGACTATGCATAAGGCATTGTACTTGAGGGGTATGAGTAATTTCAAAATATGGGCCTTGATTATGGTTCGAGAAGAAGATATAAAAAAGCTAAATAATAAAAGGAGCCAAAACATAACTGACAAAATGCATCTATCTTCTAATTAAGTATAAAACAACATGTTAAATTCAGAAAAGAGTGATATCTCTGTGGACTGGGCTGATCTGGGAAAGCTCATTGAATTAGGCAGGCTTCTGAGGGGTGCACAGGCTGCAGGCATTGGAGAGGCAAAGGCAACATTAACAGTAAAGACGAAAATATGAAGGCATAAAAACTTAAGACATACTTGAAAAACAGAAGGCAACTAGTGATGTGATCTGATTACACTATAGGGCTTACATAAGGGTGGTCATACACCCTGGTTTGCCTGAGATAGTGCTGTTATCTTGGATTATTAACAAATCCCATCTTAATCCCCCAGAGTGTCCTGCTTTGGACAATAAATTATGTGGCCACCCTAGGACCACACTACATTATGTACATATCTGAATTTAATGTAAACTAAAATCCTCTGAGTCTTTTTCACATGTGCTCTGACAAGGAGGACATAGTAGTTGCTCAGAAAAAAGGAAGCATCAAGAGGAAGATGGCTATGGTTTCTATCTACTCACAAAAGGAGGTATTTAAGCCCAAAAAAATATGCTTGGCATATAATAGACAGTAAGTATCTAATCAACAGATGGTTGAATAAATGAATACATTAGGGAATAAATGAATGGGAAAAGGAAACAAAGGTGATAACAGAAAACAGTGGTTTCAGTTAAGACTTTTGGTAAAACCCAGACTATCTCAGGAGAAAGTGAGGATTTCACCATTTTGTACAATTATCTTCTCTAAGTACATTTGGTGGTTTGGCCTAAGATATTTTTATTTGTGTTTATTTTTGATATTTGTGTTTATTTCTGAGCTATATATAACCAAAATGAGCTGCCAACGAAGTCGGGAAATAGATCTAATAACTTTGATTTTGAATATACTGAATTAATCATTCATTTTAATCACCTAATAATGTTGAGTCCTAGTTTATACCGGGCAATTGGCTAAATGGTGGCAAAGGTGAACCAGACAAAGCTTCCCCAAGTAGTCACCAGGAGATACAGGTATGTAAAGAAGATATTATGAAGTACTGTAAAAGAAATTATATTAGTTTTATGAATACAGTACTGCAGTAGCAGAGAGGAGTGTATACTTGGGCAGGGTCTTGAAGAAAGAGCAAGGGTTTTCAGGGCAGAGAGGGCGGGTACAGGGAAATGCTGTCAGGCAGAGGAAACAACACCATGTCCAAAGGCAGTGAAAGAGTCATGAAAGAGCTTACAATGTTCCAAAAATGGGAAGGAGTTTAGTGTGGCTAGAATACACAGTGTATGACAGGGGGTTGTGAAAGGTTGGGTCCAGATTTTAAAGGGTATGGAGTTAACTTTCTAGGCAACTGGGAGCTGTAATTTAAAGCAGAGGTATTCTAAGATCAAACTTATTTTTGTAGGGCAATATCTCTGCTGATATTAGAGGCAGAAGCCAGTTAGGCAGCTGTGATGATGGCTGTGGAGAAGGCCTCAAATAGGCTGAGGCCTGGACATAGAAAGGAAAGGTGAGATTCAAGAGATGCTTTGGAATGGTGATAAAATGCATTCAAGACAGCCCTAGGAACAGTACACACTGTTATTAACCTTCCAGCATTTTAGATTATTTTGAAGGACTAGAAATTTCTGTTACCAAGTGGATAAACTGTAGGAGAACTTGGCTATTGGACTCTAAAGGGGACCTGTTTCTGAAATGAAACTCTGGAGCTCAAAACATACTTCTAGTCCATATAAAATGTATATAGCCCTAAACATTTTCTAAGACAAAACAGAAAAGAAGCATAAACAAAAGTCCACAGGTAGCAATAAAAAAATGATAAAATAAATCCAGAGGGCACTACACTTTTACAAAGGACACTGTCGGCTGAGTGATCAGTGAATGTCTTCACAGGGAGAAACCAAATGATCTTTTGCCAGACAATGACAACAAAGAATTAAAATGAAAAGTGGCAAAATAATTTATAAGAGATGAGAAACCATAAGCTAGTAACAAATGGAAATGTCCTTGAACCACTTTCATTTCAATAACACTGAAGTCTATAAAAATTGCAGCCAAATAATTCCTCCTTTTGTGTCTGCGTGAACATATAGAAAAGACAGAGACTGACTCTCCAAGCAAGGGATAATGCCATGTAAATGAACATGTTCTTCTGTGCCTTCATGTGAACTATCTCTGCTAAAGAGATATTCAAACCTCATCATTTCAGTTATCCAAAATAAGGTTTTAGGATTGCCAGACATTTCCCACTAACTACAATTCAGTGTGTATTTCTTCATCACCAAGTAAACTTACTGGGCAGTGGGCAGGAAAGGCCTGCTTTTAGAAGAAAGATTACTCTTTCAGAAGAAGGAAAAAAACCAGCTTTAAACATACTTAGAACCTAAGTCCCATCTCCTATTTGAGAGTATCTATGTGGTAAATGATCTCTGGAAATAAACAAAACAATTTACATATCCAACCACCAGGGACTGGGTACTAAATAAGAGGATATTCTTAAAATGGATTTAGTCAATGAAAATCATGTTTTCAAAGATCATATAAGTGAGAAAGTATAAAACTACATATCTGGCATAACCATCTTTTGTTTAAAAAGATATGTAGATGTATACATAATACACAGAAAAATGACTAAAATGAAATATGCCAAATGTTAACAATTACTATCTTTGGATGGTAGTATTAAGAGGTATTTTAATTTTCTTTATATTTTCCTGTGTATCCCTCAATTTTATATATTAAGCACGTGCTAATTTTATAATTTGGAAAAGCATTATTTGAAAATAAAGTTTGCTGTCTTAAAGTATCGGCAAAATGGAATTAGATTAAAATTATTCTTAAATAATAAACTTTAGCCTATCTTAATGCTAACTTTTAGCAACAAACCAATTTGCATTTTAAAAGTTTGTTTTGCAAACACACTGAGGTATAACAAACAAAAGATGTTCTTTACTAATGTATTTTTTACAGATGAGCTTATTTTTAACTCCACAGACTTAATAAAATAAATAATGGCTCTGTCCATATCAACCTTTCAGAAGGTGTGAGCACAAGCTAAAATATACATGAGTTTCTGTAAGTTTTCATGACTTTGCAGCATCTTAAGGTTTTAAAATAGAATAGCCCGTGAAAAGAGAAGAGTACTAAACGGAAAAATTAGTACTGGCCTAGGAAGTGATTCACATGAGAAAGTGAATTCTTGAAGCCTAATTTACAAATGCCTATGGAATCGCATAACACAGCTCATTACACCTGGATTTCGATGTAACAGAGTAGATCTGACAAAGAATCAAAGACCTTTAAGCTGAAAGCTTCTTTATTTTGCAGGGGAGGACATGAACTTTGCAAATGAGGAGCCAGAAAGAACTGACTTGCTCAAGGTCACATGACTTATAACTCAGGTTTCCTGACTTATTAGTTCACTGGCTCAGGAACAGCCACTACTCAGCTAAGACATGGTATTGTTTCGGACTTCATCTCACATATGTAATGAAAATCTCTGTGTCAATGAATCACCTAGACCAAGTTCCTGTTAATTTCACAAGAGTTCCTGGAAGCAAAGATGTGACGGTATCAGAAAGAAACTCATGATAGCCCAAGGACCACAGTTACATCTCATCTAGCCTTGCCTTTTCCTCTTTGGGAAAGGAAATCTAATTGCTCTGGAGACACAACCATAACACTGACCTTCCTTTTTTCCTGAGTAGAGGAGAATTAAATAAACCCTGGGACTTCTCACTTGAAACAGAACATCAACACCCATTAAAAGTCTGTCTACTGCACAGTTAACCTATCTTAGAAGAGTTAGTGCCTCTTCAGGCACTAGCAGAAAACAAAGCTTCCAAATCATTATCAGGATGGTAGGATGCTTTTCTTTACTTGTTTAAAAAAGAAAAAAAATCCATACATGAGAATAAGAATTATGGACACCATGTATGAAATGTGCCCTAACATAAAGTTTTTCTTTCCCCAGGCCCTTCACTGCAAAGACTCTATGTTTAAATGTTTCATTTACTTGCAGCATGCTAATTGCCACTAGACCCCACTTGCCAATTGATAAACAGGTGTCAAGCATAACACTGGATTTAGAAGGTGAGTTTTTAGTACACTTTATCCTATTACTGAGCTTTTGAAACAATACAGGCTATCACTTGTCCTAAAACATGCAGCCCTAAATGAAGTGCTTACCATATTAGAGGTTTGGTGTGAGTCTTATTACTATGTAACAATTGGTTTTCCTTTTAATGTGTATTATCTTTTAATCATGTCTATGAAGAACATGAAAAGAATGGAGATAATTTTCTAGAGGTGTCACACAAAAACAGTAAAACTGACAAATTCGAACCAACTTAAAGAAAAACTGAGAAACAGTATTTCTCCTGAAACATGTCTTTTGACTACCGCTGAATTTAGCAAGTATTTGCTTAGCTCTCCATTTTATTTAAATAATGAAGAAAAAGAACATGCACAAGAGGGCAGTGTTTGGTTTTGCTAGTCTGTGGATTTCCTAGTTTCCTAATGAAACGACCAAATGTGAGTGACAACTAAGGTCATACCAGCGGAAACCGTGGTACCTAAGTCCCATCTACTATTTGAGTAAACTGCACTTAACCAGTTCACAAACTCCTAGGGCAATGGCAGTAGTATACTCCTTCCTGCATTTGCTCCACTTTAGCTAGATGGCAGCTGCATCTTGCTTTCTCAGTTTTGTCAGCCTTCACTGGTAGGAGGTAGGTTTACCAAAGAGGTTTGTAAGGTGACCTAGAATTAAGTTTCTTATTCCTGGTGTACAAGGTGTCCCAAGGCAGGGAGACTATTCTTTTTTTTAAAAGTGCTGAATTATAAACTGGTCACTTACAAACCTGACACGACTGACCAATAATTATTATAACATGGAGATCAACAGAACAGGATTGATAAGGATCAATCCATTGTTTTTTTGCATGGTTTTTCTTATGATCAATACTATGCTTCTGCAAAATGACTACCTCTGACTAAAAGGCTATTGTCTGTATCTAAAATGAGAACTGGTCCTCCCAGGGATCAATCCAAATTCTTTCTCTCAACAAGCAGCAAACCAAGCATGGAGAATAGCATAGATTCTTTTAAGAATCAGAGGTGCACTGGTCTGGGATTATCTTGATATATCTCTGAAGGCGGAGGGAGAAACACAATACTTTGTACACATGGGTACTTATTACTTTTTCTTAAACCTAGACTTCTACTTCTTTTTTCTTAGGTTTGCTGCTGTTTTAGGTGGGAGTCAATCAAACTACCAGGATATAGATAAATGAGTCCTCAATTGCCTTTATTTATTTATTTATTTTATTTTGAGATGGAGTCTCACTCTGCTGCCCCGGCTGGAGTACAATGGCGCAATCTCAGCTCATGGCAACTTCCGCCTCCCGGGTTCAAGTGATTCTCCTGCCTCAGCCTCCCAAGTAGCTGGGATTACAGGCATGCACCACCATGCCTGGCTATTTTTCTGTATTTTTAGTAGAGACAGGGTTTCACCATGTTGGCCAGGCTGGTCTTGAACTCCTGACCTCCGGTCATCTACCTGCCTTGGCCTCCCAAAGTGCTGGATACAGGTGTGAGCCACCGTGCCTGGCCCTCAATTGCCTCTTGAAAAGCCAAATTAATTCTGATAACATTTGACCAAAAATTATGCTACTTATATTAATACTGACAGAGCTGGAAAGTTATCTTACCAATTGTATACAAGCTAAATAAATTTCTTCACAGTCACACTGCAGAGCAAAAATATTTTGATGACAAACCTAGTAAGATGATGACAATTACATAATAATGTCAAGAAGGACAGAAACATAGCTTAATCTGGCCTTTTAATTTCATGGACGACGTGTCAAAGTAGGAACCAATTAAATAGAATATTTGGATGAGACACTACTATAATCAGGACTCCTAGGTTTTCAAAGTATACTCTAAGACCACTTTTAGATGCCTCCTACCACTAAACTAACACAGTCCATTCAAGTTTCCTCAACCAAACTTGGATATTCACCAACAAGTTCAGATCCTACCAACTGAGATCTTCAAACACCAAACACATATATAAGCCTCTGTACATGTTGTGAATGTTTAGTATAACAATAATGATTTCTTAATGCCATTAAGGCCAGAACCACATTTGTCTTGTTAATTACTGTATTGCTCAGTTATCTATTACAATGATTGGTACAAAGTAGAAGCTCAATAAATATTTGCTTGAGTTTTTGAAGGCTCACTAGTTTTCTGTGAAGATTTTCCAATTCGTCTATAAGTTGATCTCCCTTGGTATTAATGTTTATAATATGATGCCTAGAATTCTGCTCTGGGATGAATCATATACTTAATTGGTCACTCATTATATACAACACCAGTATTTACCTAACTGTGCTTCATTTATTTGTAAACTGCGGCCACAGAACATTGTATGAGGAACGTGGGGTCTTTTGCCCTGTTTAATTGGCTTGGGGACTAGAGAAATAAGGGGTATGCCATTTGTACAAAATGAAACTGCTAGCAAAGCATCTCTATGAGGATAGAGAAAAATTTTAATCTGCCTCAAAAACATCATGATAATTTCTCTTCTGGCTATTTCTGTTTGACCAAAAAGGAACCAGGAAGTATAATTTGCCAATTTTAAAATACATTTAAGCACAGTTCATCTTCTTACTGGCTATGAGAAATGGATTGGGATAACTTTACCTGTCAATAAGTGGGAAAATTTTGTTGTTTTTTCCTCAAATAGTCTAATGGATTGAAATGAGGTCATGTCCAGGCTCCTGCTGTCTATTTAAATGTTAAGAACTGCCTTCTATTTGTAGAGAGATACAGGAGGTGTAGTTCATTATGTTCCACCCGAGTCATTCCATAAGGAGTATAAAAGAGGATAAACTTCTTTTAAAATACAACTTCCGGCATAATTAATCCCAAAATTTATAGTGTATTCTTCCAGCATGTTCTCTTAGAACAGCAATGACATCAGAAGAGACAGGAAGGAAGACCAGCTTGCCAGGGGTTGCGGTGGTGGCAAAACAGCCTAAGGGAGGGCAGAGTGCACGTTTTACATCCTCATTCATTATAGGCCAGGACAAACATCACATTTTAAAGGACTCAACTCTGCTCCCACAAAATGTTTTTTTAATGGATGAGAATGATATAATGTTCTAAGGAAAACAACACTGAGGCATTCAAAAGTAATTTTCCTGTTTTTTGAGTCATTTTGATTGGATCACTTTAAATCTTTTGATTATTATTATCAATCATCGAATTGATTTGAATGCCTTACGATTTTAACAAAATTAGAAAATACTGCACTACCGTATCTCCCACCTTGAGTCTAACATGTACGGTGGGGGAAAGAGGGTGGTAATATTTTCTAATTTTGTTAAAGTTATAGGATCTTCTTAAATATTCAATCAAGTTCAAGTGACACTCTGTAATATCAGACTTTACATACAGCACTATGCCAGCCTATAGACCAGCCGAGTATAACCAAACCCTAGCCCAAAGGAGCATAAAAACTGCACCACTGAAATACCAAGTCAACTTTACTTAGCAGATGGTGAAATAATTCATTCTGGCAAAGATATTGCCCAAATTTTCATCCTAGCAATGCACCTTTATAATAGAAGTCAGTTAAAGAAAAACTGAATTTTATAATTTTTGTTAACAATGTACCTGTGTAACACAAATCAGCAGGAAAAAAAAATTGATCAAAAGATTTTTTTTTTTTCTAATTGAAAATGACTGGAATTTCAAGATGTTTCCTTGATCATGTAGAAAGGAGAATCTTACTTAGGCTTCTGTCTTAAAGAAGGCTAGAAAGATTTTTCAAAACAGTTTCAATTTTTTAATTCCCAGGATGTTTTACAAATATTAACAGAAAATCCACCCCCCTCCTCCCACCCCCAAAAAAGTTTGAATCATTGGCATGAAAGAGTTACTACTTCTGTTTTATATCTGGGAGAAAAGTGGCACCAACAACCCCAAAAACTGATGAAGAAAAATGTTTTTTGGTTATTAAAAGAACTTACTTCACATAGATACAAATAGGATGCTTTGCGAAAGACAAATGTTGCAAATGTCGCAATGTAAGGTCATTCCCAATCTGGCTGCAACCTACTCACTCAGCCTCATTTCCCACCCAACTGAGCAGACACTCAGCAGCCTCATTTTTCCAGCCTCTGTGCCTTTGCACATGGTGCTCCCACTACTGGCCATGTCATTCTTCCTCTTCTCACCTCATTGAAACTGTACTGCTCTCCAGGACCCCACTCCACTGTCACCTCAGGGTTTCCTTTCCTTGCACCACTCTCCTGTGTCCTTATTGTACTTGGTACACATCTCTTGCATGACATTTTTAACCTGACTCCTCCAATGGACTGAGCCTGCCAGGGCTAGGAGCTAATCTTTCCACACTCCTCAGCACGGGGCACAGTGTTGAGGAGCAACACTATTAGAAAAGGTATGTTCCTAAAGCCATACCAAAGTACTCCTATTAGATAGGTATGGTTATTAAAGTCATTTATAATAAGCAATTTCCATAAGGACACATAGCTGGTGAGTAAGAGGGTAGGGCCTGGAGCACCAGTTGTTCTAACTCCAAAGTCTGTGTTTTTAACCACTATGTCATCAGAAAAAAAAAAAATGACAAGAAAAAAATGTACAGACTATTAAATATATAAGGTAAATTATTTATTTCTCTCAATATTTATCTTTGGATATTTATGGCTTTTTACGTTATTATAATAATATACTGTTTCTTCTTTTGCTTAACATTATTTCATTTATATTTTCTTCAAATTTACATAGGCCATATCTGTCATCTTACAATGATATTCTACTTAATAAATTCATCATCACTGACTTAGCCACTTGCTACAAAGCTATCAGAGTTGAATGTAAAGAAGCTGGAAAAACATTCGCTGAATTTCCTATCCAAATATAACCACCATCTTGGTCAGACACATGGGCTCTTTGATATGAGATATGAAGAAGATATCCTCAGCTAGTTCGCTCAATTCAGCAGCAACATAATAAAGAAGAAAATGAAATGTAAGTTCTTTTTGCAACTGTAAGGCACTGAAACAAGTTTTAGAGATAAACTGAAAAATAAAAGAAGGTGATTTCTTCTAAGCAGTAGGAAGGTGAGTTTTTAGTTTTCTCATTTATAAGGAAGAAGGAAGCAATTCTAACTACCTAGACTGATAAAAAGGTAGGTGAACAATAATTTCTTTCCATTTTCAGATTGCAGCAACCTCAAGATATTTCATTTCTATAATGCATAACCATAAAAACTGAGGGAACCACAATCCAAGCTGATTGCTAAACAAAGTATTAAGATAGATCATGAGAATATGCATTAAAACACAGTCCTGAAGAACTGCTCTTCTGCCAGAGCTTAGTTATGGACGTGATTTTGTTTTTTGAAGTTAGTCTGTTCATGTTGTTATACTAAGAATCAGTTATTTTCCAAAGATTTAATTCTAGGGTGGGAAATAATTTCTTATCCAAAGCCACAGAATCTCAGAGAAAACAAAGGCTCTACGCAAAAACAGGAAATTATTTAGAATCATAGAGTGATATAATTTTAATAACTTGAAGGACATTTTAAGAAATTACATAACATTTACTAATTGATTTTAAAAATAGGTTATTGACCGGCCGGGCGTTGTGGCTCACACCTGTAATCCCAGCAGTTTGGGAGGCCAAGGCAGGCGGATCACCTGAGGTTGGGAGTTCAAGACTAGCCTGACCAACATAGAGAAACCCCGTCTCTAATAAAAATACAAAATTAGCTGGGCCTGGGGTGGCACATGCCTGTAATCCCAGCTTCTCGGGAGGCTGAGGCAGGAGAATCACTTGAACCTGGGAGGCGGATGTTGCAGTGAGCTGAGATCACGCCATTGTACTCCAGCCTGGGCAACAAAAGCAAAACTCCGTCTCAAAAAAACAAAAGGTATTGACCAATTTGCTTTTTACATGAAAAAAAAAAAAAAAACTGGAACCTAATACTTTATTCAGAAAATATAAGATATGCTAAAGCATATACTTCAGTTTTACATTATAATCAACAAAACTAACAACAGAGTTGGAGGGTAGAGGGTGTGCTTAAAAGAAGTAAGTGTAAAAGAAAAGAAAAAGAAATAAACAGAAGTCTTTTTGGCAAACTAAAGTACCAGAAGGTAAGGAAGAGGAAGATACAGAAAGGAGTTTAGGAACAAAAGCAAAAAAAAAGATAATAATAGTAATAATAATAAGGGGGCCTAAGAGAAACAAGAAGTACAAAGAGAAGAAATTTGGGTTAAATGAAATAAGGACTTTTGTCTTCCTCATCTCTGTGTCCCAATTCTTAGTCTAAACCTTAGCAACCGTCAATAAATGTTTACCACATAAAAGTTAAGGAAGATAAAGGGCTGAGAAGTTCAATGAGTAGAATTATTCTTCAAATCATATTTTACGGTTCCCGTAACCGTAAGTTCTCAAAATAAGCAACTTAATCTCATTTATTCTGTGAATGTAACCAAGTTAATTAGTCTCTTTGAATTACAGGTTCTTGATCTAAACAACAAACTGAACTAGATGATCTTTAGGGTCACTTCCTTATTCTTTGCAGTAATGGTGACCAAATATAGGTAAATGAAATCAAACGAAGGCTCTCAGCTTACACCTGGACTGCTTAAATGGAATCAGTGGTCAGTAGATGCAATTTATATTTTTTTGTACAACAAGAGCAAAAGTCACTTATTGTTCACATGACACAAGCTGCTGTCCAAAGAAACATCCAGATAGGTTTTAATGTTTCAGAAGAGCAATATTAGAAAGGATTTATAAGTATTTCTGCTCTAATTATTTCTCTGGCTAGGTGTAATCTTACTGACATTAAAAGGGTCTCTAACTCCATAGATTTCTGCATAAGTGATATAAATATTGGAACATTATACAAAATAATGAAGGATATAAACAAAATAGCATCACTATCACAATGCCATAACAAACTGAGGATACTGCTAAGGAAGAAAAACATGATTATTTTTGCATTTTGCAAAGTAACAGGATTCTCTTCAAGAAGTAGAGTGTTTTTTTAATAGGCGGAAAATCCTACTAGAAGTTATTTCTTCATTTTTAAATGACAAGAAAGCCTCAAATTATATAAAGCAAACAAGAAGAAAAAATATACTAAATGAAAACATAGCTTCATGAAATGAGAGCAGAAGTGGAGAGAGCTTCCTGGGTAAATATTTAAAAAATCTCACTGTGGTTAATAAAGGTAATAAAAGAATAACAGGAA
The DNA here is from genome assembly GCF_000001405.40 of Homo sapiens. NCBI lineage: Eukaryota > Metazoa > Chordata > Mammalia > Primates > Hominidae > Homo > Homo sapiens. The sequence goes on along the minus strand of NC_000008.11, from coordinate 29,028,889 downwards.
GTGACACTAGGAAAATAGGGCAGGTTAATATTATTCAGAGATTGCTATAAAAGAGCACAGAAGAAACTGATCTTCCACAGTCACTTGAAGCTTGAACCTATGAGTCTCTTTTGTCATTATTTACACATATGAAAGTATTACTGCAGATCATCATATCATCACTCAGCATAGTTCAGAGTCAGAAGACTAGGAAAAGGAATGTTCTTTGCAGGTCAGGGTTTTGATGACTGGCAAAACACTAGGCAAGTTGCACTGCAGTTGTCTGAACCACACCCAGACTGCAGTTAAATATAGAATTTAGTTTCTGGAACTGTTAGTCTTAACCTTCACTGAAAAAATTAAAAGTAAAGAGGAGAAAGGAAAGAGACTGAAACCAAAGTCTATGTACTAATAAACTGTCCTGGGAAGAATTCCAAAATGCAGTGAAAACCAAGAAAATTAAATTACAGAAACCTCAAGCAATGTTCTAGAAATCGCTTTACAAGCTGATTTGTCTCTTCCATGCTAGTTCTCCCAGGATGTATAGCATCCTTGAATAAAATCCACTTGGTTACTAGAGATGCATGTCTCTAATTCAGATTTTATACATGTCAGGTTAACAGCAGTGACACCAAATTTAAAACTATGATATAATTTTGGTTCGTTATAGTATTGTGGTTGTGATGCTATTTTTGTTCATGAAGACACACTTTTATTCTAAGACCTCATTTTTAGATGCTTAAATTTGGGGGAAAGAGATACTCTCAAGCTAAAATTTTTAATGCTGATTCCTTGCCCGGGAGAATATTTTGGATTAATTTTTTAAAGCTGTTTTGGAGACTGACAGGGGTTAAAACAACAAAAACAAAATATTTTCTGTATAATTTCAGAGGGTTCTAGGCTTTACTAATGATTTTGTTTTATATTGCTCACTGAAGATGACCATGGACAGAATTTAATAACAAAAACACATTCAATATACTTATCCATAAGAAAAATAAAACACGCAATAGTTTTAATTACAAACACAAACAGAGATATTCATTTGCCTTCATTAGCATTTAATTTGCATGTTCCTGGATACACCCAAATACAGGGTCATCATTCAGCCACTTCGATTAAAAATTATAGCAATCAGTAACCTTTCCACACAAATTTGGCCCCCAAGCTGGTACTATTAACCACTATATTCTATTGCTTCTACCTATCACTGCTAGGTATTCTCACATTTATTCCTGCATCCAGTCAAAGCTTTTTTCCAAGTTGTTGCTTCTCTTTCCTTCTTGCTTAGTTGGGTTGAAAAACCTATAAGGAGATTTGGAGGCTTATTTTACCTTCCTCCCTTGAGACTAGAATAGGTGCAATAGCCAGGTCTTATTCTTTTGTGTCCCAGTCACATACACTAATGCTCCAGAGACACACCTGTTTCCAAAGATAAAGGAATATGTAGCCCAAAATGCTGAAAGATTAGTAAGGAAAGAGTACATTAGAAGTCACTCTCCTAGGCCATGAAGCCTTCAACACTTCTGACAAAAACCTTCTCTTCAGATCTACTCCTTTCACTCTTCTCACCCTTAAATGTATCTGTTCTTTCTATCCCTAGCACTTTGCCTCACAGCCCGTAAGTACTTCATTGAATGAATGAACAAATGGACAGTTAGGTTTGCAGAATCACGTTTGAGCATTGTAGAATCACATTATTTGCATATGCAGATATTTCAGACATACACTACAGATGACTTTTTTTCCCCTTGAGAATATGTAAACTACTTAAGGTAAGCCTAGGTTAGTGCTAACACACAGCAAATGCTTTATTAAAAAAAGAATAAATATTAGTCAATTATATATTTTATCCATTAAAATCTAGTCAGGTCCTCTTTAAAAACAACAAAATCCTTTTTAATTATAAAAATTTTAAACCCACACAAATATAATAAACCCACAACCCCCTACATACCAGCTTCAACAATTAACAACCATTTTGCCATTCTTGTTTCATCTTTTCCCTGTTATAATCCCCATATGCTCTTAAACAAATGGAAGGTTGTAACATATATTAATCTAGGGACATCAGACTTTAGAGTTAACGAAGCCCAAGTCCACAAATTAAAAACCATCAGTATATACCCAAATTAAAATAACATTCTTCTTAGTTAATAAGAACTCAAATCTGTGAATAGCACTGGCTAAACATCCACATGTGACTGGGACACTTGTTAGCTCTGTGGTCTTAGGAAGTTAGTTATTCAACCTCTTTGAGCCTTGACTGCCTCATTAGAAAAAGGAAAAACCAGGCCTGCAGTGAGGATTAAATATGGAGGGTAAGTATATGTGAAGCTTCTAACAGTGCACTGAATAAATGCCTTTTTTTAAAGCAGCTTGATATAATTCATATATCAAAAACTTCACTTATTTAAGGCATACAATTTAATAGTTTTCAGCATATTCACAAAGTTGTACAAGCACCTCCACAACTGATTTTACAAATCTTCATCACCCCAAAAAGAAACACATACCCCTTAGCCATCACATCCCCCACCCAACACCCCTATCCTCCCCTAGCCCTAGGTAACACATTTATCTACTTTCTGTCTCTATAGGTTTGCCTACTCCAGATACTTCATATAAATGGAATCACACAATATTGTCCTTTGTGACAATAAATGTTTTTGGAATTGGATATTTTAGAAGTCAAATATGTGGAATACACAGTGGAATGAGGTCAGAGAAGGAGAAAATGCACATATATATGAATGATGCACCAAGACACACGCTAGGAAATATACATATCATTGAAGTGCTCTGGGTATGTTAAGAGGCAGGAAAACTGTGTGTGTGTGTGTGTGTGTGTGTGTGTGTGTGTGTGTACATGGTAGCAAGTAGGTAGTTTGTGGACAGTCTCCTCTGATTGCTTGATTTTCCTCATTTCCGTTCATGATGAGCAAGGTCATCATAAGAGAATGAGGATGGGGAGTTTGCACAGAGAGAAGAAAGTGTGAAATAATCTTACAGGAGAGTGGGAAAAAATAAACCAGAAAGGTATAGTATTAATTCTGCTTGGCAGAATTAAAGACCCACTTGAGGTTAGCGGTCATGAATTTAAAATGAGATCAGTCAGCAGGGTTTTAAGTTTTTCTCCAGCCACATTTCGCTGCAAAAATGCAGGAACTGTATAAATGGATATATTTAACCAGAGTTTATTCACACTCATGGCTTTAACTGTACCTAATATATTGATGACTCCCAAATCTCCATTTCTAGTGCCACTGAACTCTCTAACACAGAAATCTTGAGGTGACTTCACAGTCAAAGCATTAAACTAGAAGAAGCTTAGATGGAAAAAGAACACTGGTCTAACAATGGTTATGAGAAAGGCATTCTACTGTGTGATTTGCACATATTATCTCAAATAATTCTCATAACTCTTCTCATAATAACCATCTCCACTTTATAGAAAGCTGAAATTCCCACAGATTAACATAAAGTGAAGCTGTGACTAATTCCTAAGTCTGTGTGGCTCTGAAGTCTGTCTTTTTACTTCATCATGATATTTAACTCTTCATAAATGTGGCACCTGGGGCCCAGAGATGCTGAATGATTTGCCCAAAGTGAAAGCATTTTCTAATGGCAGGTACTGTCTCCCAGAGGCTCTCTGACTATCACTATGCTCAACTCTTACATATTTCCTGCTTTGTCATTCAATGTGTGACTAGGTTAGATTGTTTTTCTTCCATTTTTTTTCTGATATCTATCACTTTTTATCCATTTTCTATCCTTTTGCTTTTACAATATAGCTTAGACCCTCAGCAGTCATGCATAGGTTACTCTAATAGCTTCCTAAGCTGGCCTCCATCTATTCCTCCTCTACTCCAGTGTTCTCCAACCTTTTTGGCACCAGAGGCCAGTTTCGTGGAAGACAATTTTTCCACCGACGGGGTGGGGGGTAGGGAGGGTGGTTTAGGGATGAAAATGAAGAGTTCGAGCTCCTATGAGAATCTAATGCTGCTGCTGATCTCACAGCAGGTGGAGCTCAGGCAGTAATGCTTGCTCTGCTGCCACTTGCCTCCTACTGTGTGGAGGTCCACAGCCCAGGGGTTAGGGACCCCTGCTCTAATCCATTTGCATATGGGTTAGTCACTTCCTTTCTCTGAGGCTCTTATATATAAACTGCAAATAATAACATACCTACAGTATAGAATTGTGAAGATTAAATAAAAATAATTTCGTATAATTATCAATAAAATCAGTAACTGTATAGTAATTAAATTCCTATTCAAATGTAAGCTATTACTGCCTTAAGATTTATGAAGGCAGATATTATAACTTAAATATATTTTACATTTTATTTTACATTTATTTCCCCCTGATTATATGCATGTAGTATGTGTTAAAATACATACTTGATTGATTTCTTGTCCATTATCCACACTCCTACCGCTATTATCTAACAGACCAATCTAATCAGATACATCTCCTACATAAGGCCCGAATGCCAACACTTACGGTATAATTAACCACGGTGCTTGTTTAATTATAGAATGCACAGTATAACCAAGTTCTGAATAATCAAAGTAAGAATGCTCCTAACATTATAATGCCTTTTCTCAGATTCTCTAACTCATGAACTCCTATCCCTCATCTGAATGCACCCAAAATGTTACCACTTTGGTGTAGTTTTCCTCTTTTCTCTACATGCTCCTTTTGTCATAATAGCATTCACTTCTCAGTTCCATAATTACTTACATGTTAGCTCCCTCCCTGCTGCCACACATTTGTGAGGGAGTACATTTCAGGGTAACCAAATTGTTGATGAGGGAAAGTTCTTTACAGAAGAATTCCAGCTGATTAATGTACAAGAAATAAATTTCAATACAACAACTTGTGACTCCTTATGGAAAAATGATTGGGAAACAATCGTCGATAGATAACAAAACAGTGATTCTCAGTCCAGCCTACACTTCAGAATCACTTGGAAACTTTTCAAAATATATCTCTGCCTAGGCTCTACACCCAGAGATTAAGATTCAGTCCATCAGGGGTGAAGCCCCCTGATAGTTTTAAAAGCTCCTCGGGTGATCCTAATATGCATCCAGATTTAATAATCAATGCTCTAAAACTATTAGGTAGATGGTTAATAGGGGATTTTTTAATAAGTGAATCAAGAAGGTAACACTGAATTCACTGATCAATCTTATGGTTACTAAAATTGGGGCTGTAGCGGTGGATCACACCTATAATCCCAGGACTGTAGGAGACTGAGGCAGGTGGATCTCTTGAGCCCAGGAGTTCAATACCAGCCTAGGCAACATGGCAAAACTCTGTCTCTACAAAAATATAAAAATTAGCCAGGCATGGTGGCACATGCCTGTAGTCCCAGCTACTCAGGAGGCTGAGATGGGAGAAAGACCTGAGCCCAGGAGGTTGAGGCTGTGGTGAGCTATGATCATGCCACTGAACTCCAGCCTGGGCAACAGAGCAAGACCCTGTCTCAAAAAGGGAAGGGAGCTGATAAACATGTTCTAAAATTGACTGAGGTTATGGTTGCATAATTCTGTGAATATACTAAAAAGCATTAAATTGTACACTTTAAATAGATGAATTGTATCTCATTAAGGCTGTTTTTTTTAAATCAAGATAAATTTCTATCTCTATGCAAACATACAGAAGACTACAGTATTTTATTTAAATCTTTTGATTTTATATTTCTCTTTTCCTTTGCACTGACAATCTTGGTTCCTAATAACTCTAATATGACTATTTGTTTTATCTGTACCTACATCTATATCTATACCTATCTAGCTATGTAAATAAAAATAGTACCTGAATAGCAGTATCTATAATACCAAATTTAGTAGAAACAGTGTAAGATTTTTTTGGTGTTTCTTTTTATTCTTAAGCTGTTTCCCACTTGGGAAGTATAGGAAATTACTGTGTTATAAACACATTTGAGATAATTCTTGGGTGTTTAAGGCACTATTTTGATATACAGGTTTAATTTTAGTTATTTTTTAAAGGTCACCTCCCCCCCTCCCCCCCATTTTTTCCCTGATTTTAAATTTTGATATATAATTACGTAATTTAGTTACAGGTCAAAACAAAGTATTTTCCGAGAAATCTAGCTTCTACCTCTCTTCTAAGTTGTTTCTCTTTTATTGATAACCATTTATTTTATGGTTTATTCCTCCATTTTAAAATAAGTTATAAGCAAATACATAAATGACAGCTTTGTATTATATACAGTTGATTCTGCCTTGTTTTAAACTTAATGTTATATCCTGGAGATCACTGTATACAGAGTTTTTTGTTCTTTAGCTGCATAGTACTCCACTACATGGGTTTCAACATCCAATACATGGATGTGCTATAATTTATTGACATAGTTACTACAAATAGACATTTAGGTCATCTTCTGTATTTTGAAATTAGTAAAAACAGTGCTGTTATCTTTTCATATTTTTGCCAGTATATCTTTAAGATTCTTCTTTTTCTTCTTGAGATAGGGTCTTTCTCTGTCACCCAGACTGAAGTGCAGTAGTGTGATCATAGCTCACTGCAGCTTCAAACTCCTGGGCTCAAGCAATCCTCCTGCCTCAGCCTCCCGAGTGGCTGGGACTACAGGCATGCCCTACCACGCCTTGCTAATTTTTTGTATTTTTTATAGAGATGGGGTCTCACTATGTTGCCTAGGCTAGTCTCAAACTCCTGGCCTCAAGTGGTTCTTTCACCTCAGCCCTCCCAAAAGGTTGGGATTTACAGGTGTGACCCACTGGCCCTAAGATAATTTTCTAGAAGTAGGAATGTCAAGTCAAAGGGTAAACTCATAGGTAATTTTCCTTGATATTGCCGAATTCCCTTCCATTAAGTTGTTTCATTTTGCATTTCTACAAGTAACGTATGAGAGTGTCTGTTTCTCTACAGCCCAATCAATATAAAATGTTGCCAAACTTTTGGATTTTTGTCAATGTAATAAGTGAAGAATAGTATCTCAATGTAGTTTTAATTTGAATTTCTCTTACTATCAATTAGATTGAGCATTTTTTTTTTTTTTTTTGAGACGGAGTCTCGCTCTGTCACCCAGGCTCGAGTGCAGTGGCACGATCTCGGCTCACCGCAAGCTCTGCCTCCTGGGTTCATGCCATTCTCCTGCCTCAGCCTCCCGAGTAGCTGGGACTACAGGTGCCCGCCACCACGCCCGGCTAATTTTTTTTTTTCTATTTTTCGTAGAGACAGGGTTTCACTGTGTTAGCCAGGATGCTCTCGATCTCCTGGCCTCGTGATCCGCCCGCCTCGGCCTCCCAAAGTGCTGGGATTACAGACATGAGCCACCGCGCCTGGCCGATTGAGCATATTTTCATATGTTCAAGGACCATTTGCATTTTTTCTCCTATCTTTAGCCCAATAAAGATAGAGTTATTGGTCTTTTAAGAGCTCTTTATTAGGGATAATAAAAGTTGCAATTTTTTTTTCCAATTTGTCTTTTACTTTGCTCAGCTTTTACTCCCTCCAAAGTTTTTCTTTTAATTTATGTAATCATATTTATCAATCTTTTCCTTTATTGTTTTTAGATTTTGGGTCATGGTTAGGAAATATTTTTCCCATTGCCAGGATATGAAGGGACCACTCATGTTTTCTTCTATTATTTATATGGATTCACTTCTTTGACTCATTTGAAATTTATCTTGATGTATGAAGAATGGAATAATTTTTTACTTTTTTAAAATTTCATTTTAATTTTTGAGATAGGATCTTACTATGTCGCCCAGGTTGGGGTGCAGTGGTGCAATCATAGCTCACTGTAACCTCAAACTCCTGGGCTCAAGCAATCCTCTCATGTCAGCCTCCTGAGTAGCTAGGAATGCAAGTGTATGCCACCACGCCCAGATATTTTTTGAATTTTTTGTAGAGATGGGGTTTTGCTATGTTGCCCAGGCTGGTCTCAAACTCTTGGCCTCAAGTGATCCTTCTGCCTTGGCCTCCCAAAGCTGAAATTATAGGTGTGAACCACCATGTCCAGCCTTACTTTTATCTTATACCAACATTTGAGTAAGGCTTACTTTGCTGGTTTTACAGTCTATGCATATGTATTTATTTACCCATGCAGTCAAGGAAAAAAATATGCGTCATACTAAGGATAGGAATTTTATATGTCATTTTGGATAACAAAAAGTTCCATTTTTACAGAACAAAAATCATACTGTGTGACCTTCTGTACTATTAAGTATTTTGAAAGGCTTTCTGTGCTTTTGCAACTATTGGCATAAACCACATCCTCTTTCTAGTTGTGCCAGGTAACATAAAATTAAGCCAAAGATAACCAACTCCTGGATTAGATAAAGCCATTTATTAATTAAAATTAATGTTAAAAAACATAAATTAAGACTAAATAGGAGTCATAGGGTAAATGCTCAATATCTTTTTAATTAAAATTCCGTGTGATTCTGTGACTAATTCTTGCTGCCAAGGAAAATAAGAATCCCTAAGTCTCTGAGGTTCAACTCTGAAAGTACATTAGGAATATCACCTATTGATATTAATGTCATCAATTTTTAACTTAATTCTTTCTCATGATGACATTTTGTGATAAATATATACTGGTATTTTCATGAAAAAAACTAACTGGCTAAGTCACTAGCACAATTAGAACTTAGCACCAGGTAGAAACTAATACCTAAAGGAAAATGTACAATGTTGCAATTTAAGTTAGACATTATTTTAATTCTCATCTGCTGTGTGCCAAGTTCTAAAGAAATTTTCAAAAAGAATAAAAATTTCTAGATGAGAAAAGCAGAGCAGATTGTAAATGTCAGGTCTCCAGGACAATAATGTCTCATTCTTTCACTTTAATGACTCAAGCATATAAGGATTCATTATTCAATAAATGGCTTCTGCTCTTATCTATAATAAAGAGAGCAAGGAAAGGAATAGATGACAACATCAGTGGATAACCTATAGTCTCATTTTGGATACTGGATCTCACCTTCACCTTAAGCAAACCTATTAATTTCAACTATATCACATGAACAAAAACATCTGAATTTCGGCATTTTAAATCTCCCTCTCTTTCAGGTAGTGAAGTTCATGAGCTGGGAAATAATCAGAAAGTAGCAGGATGAGAGATGGCAAAAGTCTTAGATGACATATTGGCTATCAAAAAATTTCATTTTAGACATGAAGTTACAGCTGAGAGTTTGTGACCTAAACAAAGTTAGTTGGGTATAGGTCTTCTGACTCTGAGTCCAGTGCTCTGTCCAATATACCAATTCTACTAGTCAGGTCAGATAAGAAAAATGTACAGCTGGAACATTATTACCTAATTGCATATAAACAAAATTCCATTGAAACAAAATTCTGTAAACATCACTTACAAGTAGATGACTAAAAAGATAATTCTACTATAGGATCTATGCTAAGTATGCCAAACATTTCACAATCATAATTAATTTATACCATTTCAGATAGGAAAATTGAAGCTACGGTCAAATTCAGGTTAAAAAAAAAACCACTGAGTGCCTACTATGGATCAGGTACTGGTGACAGAATGAGAGGATAAATTACTAAAACAAAGTCAAAAATAAGTATTTTTAACCTTTGGGACAAAGCTTACTTAGACCATACTCCTTATTAAAGGAAAGTTAAATCTCAGTAGTCTCCTATACAATTATTCATTATTTTTGATGAAAAGAAGACTTCAAAGAGTTTTTCCAAAATATAATACAAAGATCTGAATTCAAAAAATATTTATTCCAACATTTCTTAAATTACTGGGGACACTATTATAAGTAAAATAAATTGACAGATGCTAACTCCAGCTTTATGAATTCTCAATGCTAAGATGACCTTATTTCTATAATACAGCATTTATGATATTCTAAAGTACTTTTAGAGATAGAACCAAGATACCAAGTTACTTGTTTGAAATGAAAACTGTCCCAGTCTATCCAGAGTTGATGTCTTCCCTAAGTTTGGGAGATCATTCGTAGAAAAAGGAGACACATACCTTTCCATAACAGCCAGGCACTCCTTTCTCCAGGTAAATCGACTCCCTCGTCGCAGTCGGAAAGTACCAGATGTGGCAGAGACTGGGGGAGGCGTTTGTCTCCATTCAGGGTCCTCTATTGGAATGGGGGCTGGTCTCATACTTAGTGTAGCGCCTGAAATAAACAAGACACTTTTAGCAAATATCTTGCAGTTTATTTAAAACAATATAACATCTACTTCCTATGGGACTAGGGAAGTATGGTCTTTGGCTTAGTGACAACTTAATCAATGTATCTTTCTCTGAAAAATTTCTTTTGAAATTCCTGCTTGATAGTTATACTCTTTTTGAACAATATACCTCAGATGTTCAGAATCTTTTACTAACCATTCAAATAAGTTATAAGCTTAAGGAATTTATGCAGGTAGGAGACAAACTTAAAATAACCCTAATTCTTGTAAACTCTTTTCTTTTTTAAAGAGTGAAATACAGCATGAAAGAAAATAAGATGATATTTGATATGCTTTTTGTCTACTAACTAAATCAGGTCTCCATAGGTCTACCTGTTGATGCTATACTAGATTCTGTTACCTCCTGAACATAATAAAATTTCAATGAAAAATATCTATAATTGAGACATTTTACTAATTCAGATTACTCTTTTCTCAAATAGCTTGAACTGCCAATGATGCATTTATTCATTCATTCACTATTTAACAAATCCCTTTCAAGTGGCTTGCTCTAGGCTAGAAGCTAAGAATAAAACCAGGAAAGCAACATTGTCTGTGACCTCCATGAACTTATTTCATAGACTTTCAATGTAACTTGGTATGCTTTCATAGAGTTCAGTCCCTGGCTACCCCACTCTTCTTTCACTCCTTACACTGTTAAATTCATCTTCCCAAAACATAATTATGATCATATCGGTCTTCTAATCAAAAACCTTCAAAAAATTCTCTCTGCCTGTAGTTTAATTCAAATGCTTAACACAGGTGTAGAAAGACATGTTAGAACATGTAGGTTTATGCAATATTAATAAATATGTTAATTCTATGTTAATGATATTAATATTTATTTCTTCCTAATAGAATTAATACTCTCTTTATTGTACCTTGCAAATAATACCATGGATAGCATTTCTACTTCAAGACTTACAGATCTATTGTAGATCCCCTTCTTAATAGCTACATCTTTAGATGTATTCTCTTACACAGATGTCCAAAATGTTAATCAATCCTGATTTTGCTTTTCAAACCTATTGTCCTGCAGTCTTTCCCATCTCAGTAAATAGATACCCACTCTTCAAACCACTCAGCTCAAAATTCTCAAATTAATCTTTCACTTCTCTAATTATCCCACCTATACATAACTAATTCATAGGCAAGTTCATTTTATCTTCAAAATATTTCCAGTATCAGATCAATTTTTATTCCTTGCACTGCTACTACTTTTAGAACACGTCAGCATCATCTTTCACAATCATGGTTTCCTGGGACAAGTTTCAAAGACGGCTCCTCACAGTAAGTCATACCTCTGGCTAATCATGCCCTTGAATCTGGGCCAGTCCTGTGACAGGTTGTTGAGCAAGAAAATCTAAACAATTCAAGGCTAGGTTATAAGATGCTTTGAAATTTCTGCCTAGGTCTCCTAAAATGCTGGCTCTGGGGGAAACCAGAGGCCATATAAGAAGTCTGACTAACCTGAGACTATGATGTTGTAAGGAAGCCCAGGATAGCCATGTGGAGAGGCTACATGGAGTGAAAGATGCTCTGACAGTCCCCAGGGTCTTCTGCCAACTCCACCCAGGTGCCAGCATTTGAGAGAAAATGCCATCTTGGACACTGTAGCCACAGCAAATGCCACATGGAGAAGTGCAGAAACCAGGTGATAGACAGAAACAAGGCCTCAGACATTCAGTCCCAGCACAGGAATGTGGACATCAACCTCCAAGGTCCCTAAGGATCCCTGCCTCCTGGTCTGCACACCTCCGTATAGTCCCTTCCCACACTGCACCATGATTAGGCTGTGCGACCAACAGCATGTGGCAGTGATGGTATGTCACTTCAAGGATCAGAATACAGAAGACACTATGACATCTGTCTTGGATGCTTTCTCTCTTATTCACTCAAGGGAAAACTAGCTGCCGTGTGAGGACACTCAGGCAGTGGATGGTGAGGCCCATGTTGTGAGGAACTGATGTCTCTGACCAACAGGCAGTGAGGACCTGGGACCTGTCCACATCCACATGAGTGAGTTTCCAAGTGGACCATCCAGTCCCAATGACTGCAGCCCAGGCTGACAGCTGGACAGCAACCTCTACAGAACTCTGAGCCAGAAACAACCAGCTAAGCCATTCCTGGATTCCTGATCTATGAAAACTATGAGATAATAAATGCTGGTTGTGTTAAGCTGCTAAATTGTGGATAATTTATTGTATAAGAATAGATAACTAATAAAAATTATCACAATCATCCTCAGTTGTTTATTTCCCTTTATCCCCCAATACACTATTATTAATTATTCAAATGTATAAATTTGGCAGCAAAAAATTTCCCTTTAATATAGAGACTTCACTACTAATAAGAATGAGCATCTTTTCCTGTTTATTGACCATTTATATCTTTTCTTGTGAATTTCTATCTGTTGTTCCTTTTTTAGGGGGTTATTCTTCTTATGGGTGCAGAGAAATCATAGCAATTGCTAGTCATACAGAATGCAATTTTTTTCTGGTCTGTCATTTGTTTTTTATAGTGTGCTTTGTGATCTTAATTTTAATACAGTCAAATTTGTCAGTCTTTTGTATTATGGCCAATGGGCTTGAATATCACTGAGTATCTTTATATCTTTCATTTTGTGTTTCAGCCTTTAATATGTATGTGATTTCTTATAGCATGTGATGGAAAGTAAATATTTAACTACTTAACATTTCTGCTTAAACAAGTAAGTTTGTCATCATATAATGCTTTAGAGATTTACAGCCCACCCTAAAACAGAGTTGGCAAATTATACCCACTGCCTATTTTTGTAAATAAAGTTTTATTGAAACATGCTCATGCTCATTCATTTACAGATTGTCTATGGCTATGAATGCACTGGAGCAGAAGAGCTGAGTAGCTATGATAGAGATCATATAACCTGCAAAACCTAAAATATTTACTGTCTGGCCCTTTATATGAAGTTTGCCAACCCCTGGTTTAAAAACATTTCTGCTCTACCCAACATGAAATTCTAAACTGAAACCCTTCTTTAAACAATTTAAAAGGGTTTCATTCTGCCAAAATAAACTGAGAATTCAGTCTGGGCCTAATTGAAAGTTAACTAAGTTTAGACATAAGCAGGAATTTGGGGGCTGGAGGGTTTCACAGTCTTATAGTGCTTTTCTGAAAACAAGTAGGGATTACAGCACAGCAAGAGCTCTGGAATCTACCTAATTAAAATTATATAAATGTTATTCTATAGCAAGGGTGAAAAGGACTAAAACAGAGCCAACCGGTTATCATGGCTGATCAAGATAAAGGTAGAAATAAGACTCAGTAAGGGAATACAACCTCTTGTCCAGGGGCTGACCCTTGTAAAGAAAGAAAGAGCTTCAGGATGGAGGGTGGGCAATAGGTCAGTGAATTCCAGGTAGTAGGCCACATCCATAATTGCGGCATGCTCCTTAGTAAGCAGAGTGGTAAATGGGTACAAATAGAACACAGAACAGAAAGAATCCTAACCAAGAGGTTGAAGGAAATAAGCCAACTAATAATAATGGTTCTTTCTTGGTATTGGGGTTTATTATTAATATTATGCTTCTTTGTAATATTCAGTATTGTCAAGACAGTCTCAAGAACTGAAGGAAATTCAGATGAAATAAAACTGGGCAGGAAGGAAAAGGAAGAGGGGAGAAGAAAAAAGGAGAAAAAGAAGACAGAAAAGTAAGTAGTGGCCTGGTTATTTTGAAAGAAATCAAGGCCGGGCGCGGTGGCTCATGCCTGTAATCCCAGCACTTTAGGAGGCTGAGGCGGGCGGAACACCTGAGGTCAGGAGTTTGAGACCAGCCTGACCAACATGGTGAAACCCTGTCTGTACTAAAAATACAAAAATTTGCTGGGTGTGGTGGCACACGCCTGTAATCCCAGCTACTCAGGAGGCCGAGGCAGGAGAATCGCTTGAACCCAGGAGGCAGAGGTTGCAGTGAGCCAAGATCGTGCCACTGCACTCCAGCCTGGGCGACAGAGTGATACTCCATCTCGGGGTGGGGGAAAAAAAAGAAATCAAGACAGTTTACACACAGAAGGTGAAAAATGAATAATCTTAAATTCATCAAAATACCTACTTTAAAACATAATGTTACATTACTTTTCAGATTTTTTTCTGGCTCCTTTTTCTTTTTCAATGTAGCAGTAGTTAAAAACAGCACAAAAAAGTACTCTGGAAACACTCTATTAATAACAGATTTGTTCTGGAAACCTTAGTTCATCTTGCTTTGGTTGAAATGGATGAAAAGCAAGAGCGAGTTCAAAATTACTGACTCTAACAGAAAAACACAAAGACACTAGAATGCAGGAACAATGTATTTAAGCCTTTAAACTCCTCTGAAGTAAAATACAGGAATTCTGGGTTGGCTAAGGTCCTAACAGGAAAAGTGTGTTGTCTATTTCCTTACAGAAATCTTTTTTCCCCCCATCTAAGTTTCCATTAAAACAAAATTTTGCACCTTCACCTAGCAAATCTAAACCCATGAGGAAAAAAAAAACCCAAAACTCTTTTCATAACTTGTTAAGACATATAAAAATTTGGTAAGTGTTCTCTTTACATATATCATAATGTCCTTGCTGATCAGGGTTAGCTCTGGGTGAGGGGACTATAAGCACATCATTACTACGCCATCCATAGGAACTAACCTCTCCAAAAGTAATTTCACATCTTCCCCCATGTCACACACGTTTCCCTGAGATCTAACACTCTGCAAGTGAAGGACTGGATGTTTCTTCTGATGACATTTATCTCATGTATTTGCTGCATAACCCTCTTGGCAAATTTTATTTAATTGTTTAGAAGCATGCAGAATATGCACCACATGCCAAGAGGAACTCAGCAAACCCTGTCTGCTATAGTAATGTTTAAATTAGACAAGGGAAAAAGACTGTGAACTTAATTTGATTAAATAAAGGGACTTTTGATGTCAACCATCCTGAATTTAGCACTCACTTTTTTTTAAAAAATAGGTATTTTCTTATAAGTGTTTTCATAAGAAACAAGATAAAATGTATTTGATTAGTTTCCATCAGCCTATTTTATTAATATGCCTTGGCAGGCTTTCATTTATGCTGGTAAATTCTGATGATGAGTCTGTTATCAGAGAACTACACTATATCAATCGGGTTATCAGTAAAATTAACCTAAATATCCATTCTATTATTTTTCTTGATGAGTCCACTTAAAGAGAAACTTACAAAAAACCAAAAGCCATATACAACTGGATCCAGACTGAAGAGGTTGAAAAAAAGAACTTCCGCTGGGTGCGGTGGCTCATGCCTATAATCCCAGCACTTTGGAAAGCCGAGGTGGGTGGATCACGAGGTCAGGAGTTCAAGACCAGCCTGGCCAACATGGTGAAACCCCATCTCTACTAAAAACACAAAAATCAGCTGGGCGTGGCGGCACGTGCCTGTAATCCCAGCTACTCCTGAGGCTGAGGCAGGAGAATTGCTTGAACCCGAAAGGCAGAAGTTGCAGTGAGCCAAGATTGCGCCACTGCACTCCAGCCTGGTGGCAGAGCTAGACTCTGTCTCAACAACAACAACAAAAGGACTTCACTCAAAGTATACAAAGAGAAATGCTCCAACGCCCAGGAATAGAGTCATAGAATATACAAACATTTTTGTTTTCTAAATGCTTAAATTTACAGAAGAAAAAAGAAAAAGTAGTTTTTCATTTTGTGACTTTTCTTAATTTTGCATTTTCTTCTCAGAATATATGTAAAGGGATCACACTATTTACATTTACCCTAAAGAGCTATCTTTCCTAGACAGAAAAAAAAATTATGAAATAAAAGAATTACTTGATAAAAATCACTGACAACTTATTTTCTACCTGCTTCTCAAAAGCAGGTCTGGACTGTATAAACCTAAGTTTTTCTTCCTTTTCTTTCTTTCTTTTTAATCTTACAAGGCAGATTGATTTCTTTTGGTCTGTCTCCCCCTTCCTATTACACTTTATTTTTCAAATATATAATACAAGTACATAGTATGAAATTTAGAAAGACACATTAGGCTGTGTAGTTAACTCCTTACCCCTGTACTCCCAGTCACTCAGTTCCCCTCCACAGAGCTATTCTTCCCAGTTCCTAACACAGCTTTTCAGAGATTTCTATGCTTAGATAAGCATATACATGTGTATGTGTGTGTGTTCCCCTACATAAATATGCCCTTGATACTGTTATGTACCTTTTTTACTTATGAATTCCATATCACCTCATATAAATTTAATTCATATAAAGCTGCCTTCAAAAAGTAGTTATATGGCTCCATAAGATTCCATTGTACAGATGTGCCATTAATTTATTTAACCAGTTCTCAACTGAGGGACATCTGGGTGGATTCCAATCAGGTCTGAAATGACTTGCAATGAAGGATCTGCTGTCCTATAAGCTAACATAATTTTAGTTCATCTTAACCAAACATAATAGTAGCTCCAAATTCTTTAGCTAAAATCAAAGGTTATTTTAGTCAACAAAACAAAATCACTTTTATCGAGAAAGAATTCTATGTGATATTTGCCTTTATAATAAATGTCAAAATGCAAAGAAAAAGACAAACAAATTTCAGTTGCTAATACCCAATTGCTGTTAACGCAACAACAACTACCAAATGGCAATTACGAACTTACCCTCTTATCTCTAGCTACCTTTAAATTATGTCCCACAGAAAAACTTGACTGAGAAAACCAGTAGTTAGGATTTGGTTTTTAAACAAAAAATAGAAAGTACTTTTTAAAAGGTGACAATAATGCAATCTTACTGAAAAACAAATGCATATAATTAGAGGAACGTCTTAAAAGGAGGCACTATGTACTTAAAGAAATCAGCTCCTAATTATCAGCTAGATGAATGCTGCTGGTTTCAATTCCCTAGTTCTACCTTCCTCTAATTTCCCAATACTGGTTTCAAGATAAACTAAAATAGGAAATTAAGACTAAAAGCTAAAATAAATAACAATAATTTAAAAAAAAAACCAGCTTTGGAAGAACACTATCAGCCCAGTGCTAAAGCTGGACTCCTGTAGTTAGTATTCCACAACTGGCTATCAGATCAGCTGCAACAATGCCATTGTGGCCCTAGAGCTGCACCTTAGTCGTCCTTCCTATTTCTAGTTCAGGGCTGGACTAGAGCCCAGCCCCGAAACTCCAGTGCGGGAATTTGGCCTTACCAGTTGATTATCCCATTTTGCAATCCCCATCAGAATAACAGATTCAATCAAGAATCATCAACGAATGCTAAGGTCATCGGTGAAAGCTGTTGCAGGAAAGGATATTCATCCAGGGGCAAAGTGTCACCCTAAAGATTATTCACAAACTGCAAAGAAAAGATCTGGTGGTCACCATTTTAACAAAACCATCACACTTGGCATATGAATAGTGCTACAACCTCCTAATGCTGACAGGCCTCTTAATATGCGGCAATATTAGGTAAACACTACCTACAAAGTATTTTTCTCCAGTGTTTTATTGCAAAAATTTTCAAACATACAATAGTGAAAGAATTTTTTAAGTGAAAACCATACTCATACCACATATTTTACTTTATCACATAGCTATCCATTTCCCTAAATACAATTCCATTTTATTTTCCGATGCATTTCAAAATAAATTGCTGCCATTAGTACGTGCCTCCCTAAATAATCTATGAAGTAATCTTGCCTAAAATATTCAGCATGAATCCTGACTTCAGATTTTAATTCTAACTTCCAGCTTACAGAAATACAGAAGATAAAGAAATTAGATATTTGATAATAAAAGTAAATAGAAAAATCCAGCATGTGGGACATTCTGTCAAATTACATGGCTTAAGAAGTTCATGTCATTAAAAGAAAAAAGTTTGGGTGACTAGATTTAAGAGATATCCCAATTTTCCAACCTAAAAGAGATACTAAAGAAAGAGCTACAAAAGACATTCTTCTAATAGCTAGAGAAATGTGACTCAGACTGGATATAAAATGATAATATGAAATTATTATTAATTTTCTTAGGTATAATAATGAGGACTGTGGTAATACAGATTATCTTTATTCTTAGGAGATGAATGCTGAATACACACATATATAAATCTTAACTTTTTTATAGAAATAAAGCAAATGTAAAATGTTAATAATAATAATATATATATTTTTTTTTTGAGACAGGTCTCCCTTTGTCATCCAGGCTGGAGTGCAGTGGCACCATCTCCACTCACTGCAACCTCTGTCTCCCGAGTTAAAGCAATTTCTCTGCCTTAACCTCCCGAGTAGCTGGGATACAGGCATGCCCCACCACACCTGGCTAATTTTTGTATTTTTAGTAGAGACAGGGTTTCACCATGTTGGCCAGGCTGGTCTTGAACTGGCCTCAAGTGACCTGACCACTTCGGCCTCCCAAAGTGTTGGGATTACAGGCGTGAGCCACTGCGCCCAGCCAAATGGTAATAATTATTATATCTAAGAAAGAGTAAACAGGTGTCTACTGTGTTAGTCTTTTGAATTTTCTGTACATCTGAAACATTTCAAAATAAAAACTGGGAGTCAGAATAGATTTTTAATATTATTGTAGAGGTTGATAGGTTCTTTTCTGTTTCATCCTGCCTGGACCATTCGGATTGAGAAACTGACCTTTAGGGAAAAAAATCTTATCACATACTTACACACAAAAATACATCTCTATGACATTCTTTATTTCTACCTCAGAGCCAATGCTATTATTATGCAATATTTCAACTAGTGTTTTAGTCTGTGTGCAAAGGCTTTGAGGCTGCAGCATTACAGAACGCAACCCAATCTTAAATTTACACATGAGGGCAGGCTCACTGTCACTTGCCTGTGTAAAGTATAGATTGAGATAGTCCCATAACTTCAGATTTCACTTTATAAAATCACCTGTTAGTATCTTGAATAGATCTTGCCTACTTCTTCCAACTCTAGACATAAATTTTTTTGTCATCTTAGTTTTCTTAAGATTTCATTCTGCTTTCCCAATCTACTGCTGCTCCTGGGAGTCATCAGGGCAGCTGCATCCTAAAGTCCAAAGATACATCCATTACCCAGGTCATTAGAATTAGAAAAAAAAAAATCATTAGCAGAGATCACTGGATATGGTACAGCATGAATTAAATAAAAATATTAAATTTACATTACTAATTCAAACAAGATTTGCAAAAAAAAAAAAAAAAAAAAAGAGATACGGAATCTTACGTAGTTATGTAGTTGAAGAAAACAAAATCAGCCACTGAACATTCATAGCGTTCTTTCAAACTATGGCTAGAAATATCATATAACCTGAAAGCAAAGAGGTGTCTTAGGGGAAGGAGTGAATATGACTAGATAATATTAGACAATAAAATAAAATTTATTACAGTCAGGGTTTAGCTTTTACTGTTAAGAGTCTTTTTCTGCATAAAGCAACCATAGTAAAGTATGAAACCATCTTACTGAACAAGTTAGCACATGGAGTCATTAAAGTAATTCATTATATCTGTCTTGTTTCAGATGCAATAAATAAAAGGAAATGCTATTTACCAGGGTTTGTCTTCTCAAGTTGATACCATCGGTAAAATGCTCTTTTCTTCTGTTCACTCAGGTCTGATCCCTGCTGCAACAGCCAATGAGAGATCCGGCTCTGACTGATACCTATGTAGAAAGAGAAATAGGTTTTGGGGGGCACTGAAATTACAGTGAAATTAATAAAGGATCTTTTGGTTCTAGGTTACTGGGTGCTTTATTCTCTGTGTCCAGTCCATAAGGAAGTTGCAACCTGAGCAAACTATTATTGGATTCCTTTGTAAAGACTGACTGCACTGGCTAGGATATACTCAGAAATTATCTCTTCAACGTCAAGGCAGTTTATTAATTAAGACCCGACAATGGCCTCTAAAATTAATCTCCAAAAAAGGTCCATGAATCTGAGATAAAGAGATTCCTAAAGTAAAAGCTATTTGTCAGAGTTTATTATATTTGTGCTCCTTCAATTACCACTGCTTTCCACTCCACCCCTAATTTAGAATAATAAAACTTTTAAAAGATATTGAGCAAAAAAGTCAAGTCAGCAAGTTTTGTTACTCATTACGGATACTGACCAAAAGATTTAGGGGCTAGGAAACAAAAGGTCACTGAAAATACTGTCTTCAATAAGGTTTTTTTTTGGCTTATTTGTTAATTCATTTAGCCATTTTTAGAGTCATTACCATTAGTACAGAGAAGAATTAGCAGACTTTTAGAGTTATGTATGCTACAATATGACCTCTTAAGAAATCTCAACAGCTAAAGACATTTTTCCAACACAAGCTTTCCACAAAACTGAACAGAATATAAAGCAGTAGTTTTCTGCTATCTCCAAGAAGCTCTTGACAGCAATTACTTAGAAATGTAAAGAATCTCTACATTTGAAAGTAAAAAAGCATGTCTAAAACTTACTAGTATGAGAATCACATGCTCATTCTGGCCATTCATAGCTATTCCAAAAAATGAATAACTCAGTACAAACTGGCAAAAGCAAGTAACAACAGGAAAGACAAAACTGTCTTGTAAGTCCACAAGGCAGTTTCCAAAAGACCATTCAGCTACCAGAGAAGGTTACCTATACCTAAAACCTCCCAAGGAATTACTGAGGGTAACCGAATATTACTGAATATCACCTGTGTCGACTCGTCCCGTTTAAAGGTATAATGCCCAATAGGAAGAGTAGCTATCATGAAGTAATCACACCCTCTAGCATCAGAAAAAGCAGGAGGTCCTGGGATCACATTTAACTCATTAAAAGCAAGCCCCTAGAGTTTCACACACTTAAAAACCTATGTCAAAAGAAAATTTGAGGAAATGGGAGAGGGGAGTGTTAAAAAAAAAGACTGTGAAGCAAAGTTCTCTGACTGGAAACATCTTTCTTTTTTTCTTTTTTGAGAAAGGTTCTCACTCTGTCTCCCAGGCTGGAGTGCAGTGGCGCAATCATGGCTCACCACACCCTCTCACCTCGGCCTCCCAAAGTGCTAGGATTACAGGCATAAGCCACTGTACCAGGCCCCACCACATCCAGCTAATTTCTTATTTTTTCTGTAGAGACAGGGTCTCACAATGTTGCCAGGCTGCTCTCGAACTCCTGGGCTCAAGTGGTCCTCCTGCCTTGGCCTCCCAAAGTGCTGGATTACAGGCACAAGCCACCATGCCCAGCCTGGAAAAATCTTTCAATTTCAAAAGGCAAAATTCAAACAGCTTTCCAAACCCTAAGTGATTATATTCTCAAATAATTCACACAGCAGTTTTCCAGTGGACTAAAGATTCATGTAATGTAGGCACTGTATGCCTCTTCTAAGAAAATGCAAATTATTCTGGATAATTAATTCGGCTTTCACCAAAAGTCTAGTTTCAGACATTATGGTTATTTTTTAATACTACTTTTTTTTTTCTTTGTATTTTTTTGGAAACAGAGTTTCACTCTGTTGCCCAGACTGGAGTGCAGTGGCGTGATCTCGGTTCACTGCAACCTCCACCTCCTGGGTTCAAGCGATTCCCCCGCCTCAGCCTCCCGAGTAGCTGGGACTTCAGGCATGCGCCACCATGCCCAGATAATTTTTGTATTTTTAGTAGGGATGGGGTTTCACTGTGTTGGCCAGGCTGGTCTCGAACTCCTGACCTCAGGTGATCCGCCCGCCTCAGCCTCCCAAAGTGCCAGGATTATGGGCATGAGCCACCGCACCCAGCCTATACTGCATTTTTAAAGGGTGAAGAAAACAACCACCATGAAATCAACATTGATTTTCATGTCAACAAAATAAAATTATTTTACATGGATTCTTCATATTGCTATCATACTACTCAAAACAGAAAACTTGAGAAAAATCAGTTAAGAAAAAATATATTATCAGCTCTGTTAACTGGTTCCAATATGAAATCTTCCTTAATCAGATCATACATAGAACAAGCCTCAGAGCTCGCTAGACAACAGAACTGTCCAGGTTCTGGCTTTGGTATAGTGAGAAGAGGACAAAATCTCATCAAACGGACATTAGTTAAGTTAGAGTATATTTATATAACAAAACACTGGTAGGCTTTAAAATTAATGTTTTTAAAAAGCCATAAAAAAACCCAGAAAACTACAACAAAAAAGCAGAACCAACCAAACAAATAAAAAGCCATCAATATCAAGTGCTGGCAAGGCTATAGAGCATATACGATTCTCACACTGCTGATGGAAGGATAAAATGGCAGGGCCACTTTGGGAAACAGATGATAACTGCTAGAGCTGAACATACATATACTCTATGACCTAGCATTTTTTTACTAGGCATATATCCCACAGAAATGTGCACCTGCTCAATAGAAGTATGTTCAAAAGAGACAAGAAGGCTCTTATAAACATTTCCATAATAGCCCCCAATGTGAAACAACTAAATGCCCATCAATAATAGAATGCATCGGCCAGGCGCAGTGGCTCACACCTGTAATCCCGGCACTTTGGGAGGCAGAGGTGGGTGGATTGTCTGAGGTCAAGAGTTCCACAACAGCCTGACCAATATGGTAAAACCCCATCTCTACTAAAAATACAAAACTTAGCCAGGCATGGTGGTGTGTGCCTGTAGTCCCAGCTACTCGGGAGGCTGAGGCAGGAGAATTGCTTGAACCTAGGAGGCAGAGGTTGTAGTGAGCCAAGATTGCGCCACTGCACTCCAGCCTGGGTGACAGAGTGACACTCTGTCTCAAAAAAAAAAAAAAAAAAAATAGAATGCATCAACTGTGATAGCTACACATTCTGCTATAGACTACTATACTAAATAGAAAAAGATAAACTACCACTATATGAAACCACATGGATAAACATCACAAAAATAATGTTAACTGAAAAACCTATAACACAGACACACATACACAAAAGCCATACATAACTATATATGATTCATTTTAAATAAAGTTATAAAACAGATACGACTAATCTATAGCGATGGAAATCAGAATAGTAGTTACCCATGTAGGAGGGAGAAGGTTTCTGCCTGGGAGTTAGAATGAGGAAAGTTTATGTGGTGACCAGCATTGCTCTTTATCTCGATCTGGAGGGTGGTTATATGGGTGTCCTAACTTGACTTTTAAGTGTCCATTAAGCTGGACAGTTTTCTGTGTATATATTTAAATTTTAAAAAGTCGCCCCAAAAATGTTCTTAAAATTCTATGTAGTTTCAAAAAAATGAAGTAAATGGATATGTATCAATATGGAAAGATGCTCATGAAATAAATGAAAAGATATATTTTTATGAATATACAATGTTACATATTCTAAATTCTGTATAGTAACAACAGCTAATATATAACTAAAGATATATAATATGAATTTAAAGTGGCAGATTCTTCCTACATTTCTATCTCTATATTGTTTTCTTAATCTTCCTATAAATATGCATTAATTATTTTTGGCTTTTCACCCTAAATACTAAATACAGAGCTTTACTGGTTATTTTACAAGCAAATAGTTGCAAAGAATTTCTGTCTTCCCCCTCCAATTCTACTCTCTGAAGTAAGCAAGGTTAGCTATTTACACATGTTGTTCCACAATTTTCTCTATGCATAATTATTACTTTAATAAAACAAAGGAAGAAGATGGTGTTATAGAATATTCTCCTGTCTTGTCTTTTGTGTGAGGAAGAAATAAACAAGAATTTCTTCCCTCTAAATTTAATCTCAGTATTCATATAATAATGTAGAAAATAAGTAAAGCAGGTAATTTTTCCAAAAAAGGCACTGTAAACAAAATAAAAGCATAAAAGGACACGTTTTACAGTGATTTTTCTAAGCAGCCTGTTAACAGATGGGTAAGGCTCCTTGAACTCATGCTTTGAGCTGCTTTGGTCCTTCAGCTGAACACGGTCTCATAAGCCCTGGCAGCCTCTCGATACTATCAGCTTTGATACTTTTTCTCAGGAGAAAATTTCCCTAACTTTCCCCCTACTTCCCACTGCAGAAGAAAACGTCATTGCCCACAAGTTTTAGTTCCTCAAAACCTATCTTGTCTACCTCTGACAGGGCAGAGGAAAAGAAAAAATTTACATATAACCTTCACACATTGAGAGACTAAAACTAACCCCTGATTAATTTATTTCCAATAAGAAAGTTATCACATGGTATTCAAAGGAAGAAAAAGCCTTTCCAGCCTCATTCACATTATTTTCTGAGCAGCTGCATCAGGCTACCTGTTCCTCAAACACCACGCTCCCTTCCACTAGAGGGCTCTCCACCATAATCCTTTCTTGTCAGAGTCTCCAATACCACAAATTTATGTTTAATTTTCCTTCCACTTCCTGAGGAGTGAAACCACTGACCACTCCCATCATCTTCCTCCTTGGAATGCTGGATACAATTCCAACACCACATCTTTTCAGTCGACTTCAGGGCTGCTTTGCTAGCTTCTTACATGTTAGTAACCCTCAGAATTCCTTTGGTCATCTCAATTACCAACAACATTGATTTAAAATGTCATCTAAATGCCAATGACCTCCAGGGTACCAGACCATTCTTTCAAACCATCTGCTAGATAGCGTCCATGAGATTTTCCCACAGGTCCTCAACACAGTCAACTTAATTCACTATCATCCTTAAATCTGTTCTCCTTCCTGTGTTCTCCATCTCAATTTTACTGTTCACTCTACTTTCCCCCCACACTCTTACATATTTACTAAATACAATCACTTTCTCTTCCTAAAATTATTTTCATGTCCTTTCCAATCCTCATTCCAGAAGTTTGGAATCTCAGTCTCTTTTGCCTGGACAATTGCAGTAACTATAAGAAAAATAACAAACCATTTAAGATCCACAAAGTACAAAATTCTCATAAGCTCCTTTTTAATTAGAAGATCATTTCACAATTGAAAAAATGAAATTTCCTTCTTCAAGCAATTTTGTACTTCAGAACTGCTATCATCTCTATAATTCGCCTTCCACAGTGCAAGCAGAATTATGTTTAAATTTAAGTTAAAGCACATATATGCATTGTCTACAAAAATTCAAATAATTCATAAATGCACGCAGATAAAATAAAAGCCCTTCCTCCACTCCCACCCCTTATTTCCTATCCTAAAGGTATCCTTATTTGGTGTGAATCCATCCAGACTTTCTACATGCATTTAATACAGAAAAATATGCATTCATATATATATATATATATATATTTAATACAGAAAAATTTAATACAGAAAAATATGCATGCATATATATATATATATATATACACACACACACAACCAGTTGTTTTAAAAACATACACTTGGGGTTATTCTACATATAATAAGTAACTTACTTTTCTCTAATATCTTAGAATGTTCTCATATAGTACATTGTAAATCTTCATTCTAGTGGTTACAAGGTATTCTATACCATAATTTATTAAAACATGAACCTATTATTCGATACTGCAGTTGTTGTTAATGTTTCACTATTATAAATTATGATGCAATGACACTCTATGTACAACCTTCTGCAGACAAATAAATATTTCTCTAGGGCTGACTCACAGGAATGAAATTTTTGATTCATAGTTTGTGAAGAGCATTTATGTTTGTGACAAATGTCACCTAACTGTCCCCTAAAGAAGACTGTACTCTCACTCCTCTCCTACTTAGATAAAAAATGAAAAAAAAAAAGACAAGACTGTACTCAGTTTTATACTCTAACCGTAGTATAAGCATGTTTTCCTACATTCTCACCATTACTGAATATTACAAAACTGTTTTGAAAGTCTGACTTTCTTTTTGTAAGCATAATACAAGTCCATTATTTTAAAAATCCTAAGCAATTCAGATGAAAGGGGAAAAATTAAGAGAAAAGCGAATTTTAAAAACCACACACCCAAATTCTCACCCCTTAGAAATAAATACACTAATTCCAAGATCATCACTCCAAGCATATATACACACAGGACAGGTAGAAGTAATAACTGAAATGAAACCACACTATAGACAGAATTTTAAAATATATTTAAAAAGTAGTTTTATTTTAACACAGGATTTTTTTTAAACTGGAGTGAAAACAAAATATCTGAAGTTTTGTAAATGTTTCCATAAGAGAAATGAGGTTCTCGAAAGAGTCCACTAAAGCAAGGTAAAAAGCATTATACAAAAACAGTGTATCATTGGGATGGATTTTTTTTTAACATATGGGCAATATTTAATGGTTCCAAGCTAAAAAAGCTAAGGAAATTAGCAGACTGTGGTAGCTAACCTCCAAAGGGACCTCCAACCTCCAAATGATCCTTCTGGTCTTACTACCTTTGTGTAATCCCCTCCAACACTGCATCAGGGTTGCTCTGTGCAACCAACAAATGTGGCACAAATGATGGTCTATGACTTTTGAAGCTAGGTCATAAAAGACATTACACCTTCTGCCTTCGTCTCCTTCTCTCTTTCCCTCTCTCCCTCTCTCCCACTGCCCCACCCACAGATACCTAGTTGTGGGAGAAGCTAGCCATGTTATGAAAACACTCAAGCAGCCCTATGGAGAGATCCACGTGACAGAGAACTGAGACATTCTGCTAACAGCCAATGCAAGTGAGTCATCTTGGAAGAGGGTCTTCTAATCTCATTTAAGCCTCCAGATGACTGCAACCTCATGAGACCCCCCTGAACCAAAACAACCTATCTAAGCTGCTCCTGAATTCCTGGCCAATACAAATTGAGTGACATAATAAAGGCTTATGTTACAAGATGCTAAGTTCTTAATGTTGCAACAGATAACTAAGACACATCCTTACACTCTAGTTCCCCCATCTCCACATTCCAGCCTTTGCACCCAACTCCTCATATTTAGAACATATTTTTAGACAGTCAGCATTTACATTCTGTTCTGAATTCATAGTTGCCACAGCTGTACACTCATGGTTATAGATTTAAAGATTTAAGATTTACCACAGAGTTTCTTAAAAGTTTTTCCATTCCTAAACTCTTATCTTTTTGTTTTTAATTGAGTTATATTTTACAAACAGTAAAATTTTAAGTATATAGTTCAATGAGTTTTGATAAATATACAGACGCATGTGATAAATGTACATGATGCATGCTCAAATCAATTTACAGATTATTTCTATGCCCCTTGAAAAGTCCCTCTTGTTCCCTTTCCAGTCAATACCTAAATGTCTTGTTTTGTTTTGTTTTGTTTTGTTTTGTTTTGTTTTGTTTTGTTTGAGATGGAATCTCGCTCTATTACCGAGGCTGAAGCGCCGCGGCATGATCTTGGCTCACTGCAACCTCTGCCTCCCAGGTACAAGTAATTCTCCTGCCTCAGTCTCCTGAGTAGCCGGGATTACAGGTGCCCACCACCACGCCTGGCTAATTTTTGTATTTTTAGTAGAGACAGGGTTTTGCCACATTGGCCAGGCTGATCTTGAACTCCTGACCTTAGGTGAGCCACCCGCCTTGGCCTCCCAGAGTACCTGGATTACAGGAGTGGGCCACTGTGTCTGGCCAAAATGCCTTATTTTTAAATATAACTTTGGGTATAGATTTCTTCACAGAGTAGTTTTTAACAGCACAGGCTAATTGGTGCTGTATTTTTCAACCCTTGTATGTTTGTATGTTTGTCTCCATTTTCATACTTTGAGGACAATTCTAGAGGGAAAATTTTGGGGGCCAGCTTTCCTTCAAAATCTCTTGAATTGGAGTGACATCAGTGAGAATAGTGAAGTAAAAACCTCTGAAAACCTACTCCTCCATAAAAGCAACAACAGCAAAATCTGCTGTTCCATAAAAGCACTGTCAACAATTGTCAGAATCAACTTCTTCAGAATTTTAGAAATTACCAAAGGCTTCCAACAATCCAAAGAGCATTTATTTTAAAAAATGCTGAATTTTGGTAAGAATAGCATGTGACATTTTAACTTGGCCTCCTCCCATGCCTGTCACACTATCATTATAGCAGACTTAAAAACCAACATTACTGCAATCACAGTGAAAACCAGGTGTGGCCTAGTAGTCACTGGAGGGGAAAGGACAGGTTTGGAGTTCCTCAAAACACCCTTCTAAGAGAACTGTCATTATTTGACCTGTCTGGCAATTACCTGGAAATCTTTATTTGCAAGGCTTGCTTTATTTGACCTGACTCAAGATCTCACTCAGTGTGAATAGCTTCTCTCTGAGGAGGAAAGACAGATGTGAGGTAATTTGTCGAAAACAATCAGTGGCAATAAGTTAACACTGCAGCTGCCTGAGGCAATGACAACAACTGATGTGAACAAGAAGCTGACCAAAATATTTCAACAGAGAAGTGGAGGTATGAGATGTCCACGAGAGTCTTCAAAAAGCTATGACATATTCCTAGGAATCTAGAAGGTCATGAACTTGTATAGGGCTGTGCACATGTATAGGGCTATGAAGATGTATAGGAAAGACCCGTGAAGGCTCGAAGCTCTCACCTCTGGCTGACCTTGAGACCTAGTACAAAGAGAAAGTGAAGGTTTACGCAGAATTATAAGCTGCCTGTCTGAGCATTAAAGGTATGCCCAATACACAGAGAGAGCCCCTTGACAAAAGCTGGGAGACTTATTGTTTCTAGAGATTTGAGGAAATTTTTACCTAATAATTAGCTGACCACTAAGCTGACAAGGAAGATAGTTCAGCAGCTACATACCACAAAGAATAATAACTTTATAATGTTAAATCAGGAAATTCATTAAACAAACATCACCAACAACAGCAATAATAAATCCAAGGGAGGAAGGAATCTGATTTCCAGAGTTTCCACATTACTTAGAATTTCCAGGTTTTAAAACAAAACTTATGAGACATGCAAAGAAACAAGAAAGTATGGCTCATACACAGTAGAAGCAGTCAATAAGAAGTGTCCTAGAAGAAATCCAGATATTGAACTTAGTAGACAAAGATTTAAATTAACCATTTTAAAGACTAAAAGAATTAAAAGAAACATGTCTCAGGAACTAAGGAAAGTATGAGAAAAATGCCTTACCAAACACAGAATATCAATAAACAGACAAAAATTATAAGAACCAAATAGAAATTTTGGAATTGAAAAGTATAAAAAATAAAATGAAAAATTATCTAAAAGGACTCAACGGTAGATATGAACTGGAAGAAGAAATAATCAGCAAACTTGAAGACAGGTCAATGGATATGATCTATTATAAGGAACAAAAAGAAAAAAAGAATGAAGAAAATGGAACAAAGGCTCAAAAACCTGTGGGATACCATTAGGCTTACCAACATACACATATAATGGGAATCCAAGAAACAGAGAGAAAAGTGAAGAATATTTTGAAAAAATAGTGACCAAAACTTCCCAAATTTGATGAAAAACATTAATGCACACATCTAAAAAGCTCAATGATCTTCAGGTAGGGTTAACTCAAAGAAATCCATACCTAGACACATCATAAATTGTTGAAAACCAAAGATCAACAGAAAAATCTTGAAGTGTCAAGAGAGAAGTGACCCATTACATACAAGCAATGCTCAATATGATAAACAGCTAATTTCTCATCAGAAACCATGGGAAGGAGACATTAAGACATTTTCAGATGAGTAAAATTACAGAAAATATGCTCTCAGCAGATGTGCCCTGTAAGAAATACTAAAGGCAGGTCTTCAGGCTGAAAGGAAAGGACATTAAGCAGTAACTCAAATACACCTGAAGAAATAAGAGTGACAGTAAAGGTAACTATGTAGGTAAACATAAACGAGAGTATAATTAAATATTTTGTGTCTATAACTCCTTTTTTATTTATAAAAGAAAACTATATAATGCAATAATTATAATCTAAGTTGATGGGCACACAATATATAAATGTAATTTATAAGACAAAAATTAACCTATTATAGGAGAAATGTTTTTCTATACTATTAAAATTAAGTTGGTATTAATTGTCATAAATTAAGATGTTAATGGTAATCTCCAGGGCAATGACTGAGAAAATAGCTCGAAAAATATAGCAAAAGAAATGACAAGGGATTTAAAATTGTACATGAGAAAACAATCTATTTAACACAAAAGAGAAAGTAATCAAACAGAGGAACAAAAAGATGAAACACATATAGAAAACAAATGGCAAAATGGCAGATATAAATTCTTCCTTATCATAATTAAATTAAATTTAAATAGATTAAAAACTCCAATAAGAAGACAGAGATTGGCAGAAACACAATCCAACTTCATGCTGTCTATAAGAGATACATTTCAGATTCAAAGACATAATTAGGTTGAAAGTAAAAGAATGGAAAAAGATATATCATATAAAAATAACCAAATGAGAACTTGAGTGACAGTTAAATATTAATGTAAGACAAAATAGACCTTAAGATAAAACTTGTTACTAGAAAAAATAAGACATAATAAAAGGCTCAATTAACGAGGAAGATATAACTATAAATGTACATATACCAAACAACAGAGCCCTAAAATGCATAAAGCAAAAAATGACAGAACTGAAAACAGAAAGAGATAATTCAACAATAATAGTTGGAGATATCAATATACCACTTTCAATAATAGGCAGAACAAATACATAGATCAACAACGATTATATGAACAACTATATGCCAACAAATTACATAATCCAGATGAAACGAACATAATTGTAGGAAAAAACTACTGAATCTGACTCAAGGCCCAGAAAATCTGAATAGAGTTACATAGCAAGTAAAGATATTGAATTCATAGTCAAACATCTTCCCACAAAGAAAAGCCAGAATGCTTTACTGGTAAATTCTACCACGCATATAAAAAATAATTAAAGCACATACACCCATTAACAACTCTTCACAAACTCTTCTATAAAAATAAAAAAGGAAAAAACACTTCTGACTCAATTCCATGAAGCAGTATTATCCTAATACCAAAATCAGACAAAGACACCACAGGAAAACTATAGACAGGCTGGGCCTGGTGGCTGACACCTGTAATCCCAACACTTTAGGAAGCCAAGGAGGGAGGATCACTTGAGGCTAGGAGTTCAAGACCAGCCTGGGCAACATAGGAAGACACCATCTCTGCAAAATAAAATTTTAAAGTTAGCAAGGCATGATGGCGCACACCTGTAGTCCCCAGCTACTTGTGAGGCTGAGGTGGAAGGATCACTTGAGCCCAGGAGGTCAAGGCTGTAGTGAGCCCTGATGGTGCCACTGCATTGTAGCTTGGGCGACAGAGTGAGACCCAGTCTCAAAAAAAACTACAGATTAACGTCCCTTACATATGCAGATGTAAAACTCCTCAACAAAATGCTAGCAAACTGAATCCAACAACATATATAAATATAAAGGATTATAAACCATGACCAGGTGGGATTCATCTCAGGATAGCAAGGTTTACTCAACACACGAAAATCAATGTAATACAGTCACATCAATAAATGACAAAATCCACATAACTATTTTAATAGACACAGAAAAAGCATGACAAAATCCAACAGTCTTTCATGATATAAAATACTCAAAAAACTAAGAATAGAAGCAAACTTCCTTACCCTGATATAGGGTATATATGAACAAACAACAGCTGACATCATACGTAACGGGGAAAGACTGAACACTTTCCCTAAGATCAGGAACAAGACAAGGATGTTTGCTCTTGCCACTTCTGTTAAACATTGTATTAGAGGTTCTAGCTAGAAGGCAAGATAAAGAAAGAAAAGGCATCCAGATTGGAAAGGAAAAAGTAGAACTACCTCTATTTGCAGATACATGATTTTGTATATAAAAAACCCAAAGGAATACACAAACACACACACACACACACCCCATTAGAACTAACAAATGAATTCAGCATGGTTGCAGAATATAAGATCAATATACGAAATAAACCTTATTTCTATCCATTAACTATAAACAATCCAAAAATAAAATTCAGAAAACAATTCTACTTACAATAGCATCAAAAAGAATAAAATACATGGGACAAGTGGATATCCACATTAATATAATGTTCACATCCCTTCCTCACATCATATATAAAAAGTAACTCAAAGTGGATCAAAGATGCAAATGTAAGAGCTAAAAGTATAAAACTCTCAGAAGAAAACACAAATGTAAATCTGCATGATTTGGGAATAGGCGTTTTCTTAGCTATGATACTAAAAGCAAAAACAAAACAACAAAACAATATACACTTCATCAAAACTAAAAACTTGTGTGCTTCAAAGAACACTATCAACAATGTGAAAAGACAACCCAGCCTCCACCTGCTGGGTTCAAATGATTCTCCTTCCTCAGCCTCCCAAATAGCTGGGATTACAGACATGCGCCACCACACCCAGGTAATTTTTGTATTTTTAGTAGACAGGTTTCATCACGTTAGCCAAGAATGTGAAAAGACAACCCAAAAACATGGGAGAAAATATTTGCAAACACTCCATCTGCTAAGGGACATATCTGATAAGCGATTTATCAGATATAAGTTCACGTATACACAGTGCATTACTCACGTGTGTCTACGTGAACTTATATAAAGAATTCAACTTGTATATGAACTTACATAAAGAACTCAACTTATATATGAACTAATATAAAGAACTCAACACTTCAATATATTATATAAACCTATATAAAGAACTCTTAACACTTCAATATAAAAAGTATAAGAAGATGAATAACCCCAGAAGATGAATAACCCCCTTTTTTTTTTGAGATGGAGTCTCACTCTGTCACCCAGGCTGGAGTGCAGTGGCGTGATCTCGGCTCACTGCAAGCTCTGCCTCCCGGGTTCACGCCATTCTCCTGCCTCAGCCTTTCAAGTAGCTGGGACTAAAGGCGCCTGCCACCACGCCCGGCTAATGTTTTGTATTTTTTTTTAGTAGAGACGGGGTTTCACTATGTTAGCCAGGATGGTCTCAATCTCCTGACCTTGTGATCCACCCGCCGCGGCCTTCCAAAGTGCTGGGATTACAGGCGTGAGCCACCGCGCCCAGCCAAATAACCCAATTTTTAAAATGGACAAAGGATTTGGCTAGACATTTTTCCAAAAACATACATAAATAACCAAGATGCACATGAAAAGTGCATTACTCACTAAATCAAAACTACAGCAAATCAAAACTACAATGAGACACATACCACTTCACATCCATTAGGATAGCTATCATAAAGTGTTGGTGAGTATGTGAAGAAATTGGAAATGTCATACATTGGTGGTAGTTTTATAAAATGGAAAACAGTTTTGGCAGTTCCTCAAAACATTAAACATAGAATTACCATGTGACCCAGCAGTTCTATTTCTAGGCACATTTCCAAGAGAATCTGTCCACTCGAAAACTTATCTACAAATGTTCATAGCAGCATTATTATTGAAAATAGCCAGTGAAACAATCCACATGTCCACCAACTGATGAATAAATATAGTATATACATATAATGATATATTATTCAGTTATGGAAAGGAATGAAGTACTGATGCATGCTATAACATGGGTGAATCTTAAAAACATTATGCTAAGTAAAAGGAAGCCCGACACAAAAGTTTATATAGTGTATGATTCTATCTTATGAAATGTCCGGAAGTTTGTCTGTAGGTATATCTGCAGAGACAGAAAGTATATTAGTACATACCAGGGCTTGGAGGACTGGGGGACTGGAAATTACTGCTGATGGGCATGGGTTTCTATGTTAGACTGTATCTATACAAGAATTCCCACCATTTTCCTCTGTTTTGATCCAGAATTCTTATTTGACTTGGTGTGTGTTTTAAGGTTCTAGCTATGGCTTCACTAGTTTTTCTTATATTTTTGTTTATTTTATTGTCTTTGCTGGGTTTTGATGGACAGAAGTGGACCAGTAGTATCCCTCAATCTTCTAAAGTTTGCTGATTTAATGGGCAAAAATCCCCCCTGATCTCTTGCAATTAAATTGTTCTTATTTAATATTCTAAGATGCTTTCATCTTTTCATATGCTTATTGGCCATTTATATTTTGTCTTGCATAAGTTACACACTGCTATCCCTTGCAAATTTTTTATTAGGTTATTTGTC
The DNA here is from genome assembly GCF_000001405.40 of Homo sapiens. NCBI lineage: Eukaryota > Metazoa > Chordata > Mammalia > Primates > Hominidae > Homo > Homo sapiens. The sequence continues at coordinate 28,994,766 of NC_000008.11, read as the reverse complement.
ATTTTTCATAATAACTTGTAAGAGCTCATTTGAGATACCATCATAGATACCAATCTTTTGCTCTATAATGCTACAAATACCTGTCAATGTGAATCTTGTTTACAGTATCTTTTACTGGATATATGCTTAAAATTTTTATGCAGTTGGACCCATACAATTTTATTTTTGGGGTCTTATGTATTGCTTAGGAAAGCCTTTCCTATCCCAATATAATAAAAACATTCATTATTTTCTTTTAACAGTAGTGTAGAATCTTTTCTCCAGCTTTAAAAAGTATATTCATTTAGTTCTTTATCCATATGAAAACTGATTTTTGATTCTGGTATAATGTTGGTATCTATATTTATTTTTTCATTTTCAAAGAATCAATGGAAAAACATTATTTCCTTACAGATTTAAAGGGCTTCCTTTATTTAAGCTAAATTTGCTCATCTCCAAGGATCTATTAATGAACTCTATCCTGTACAACTAATACATTTATCTGACAATAAAATGACTCTGTTTTACTTACTCTAACCTTATGTAGTGTATTTTAATATCTGGTAGGGCAAATTTGGCCAACTCTTTCCTCCCCCATCCCCCCGCCTTTTTTTTTTTTTGGTGAGAGAGTCTGGCTCTGTCGCCCAGGCTGGATTGCAGTAGCGCAATCTTGGCTCGCTGCAGCCTCCACCTCCTGAGTTCAAATGATTCTCCTTCCTCAGTCTCCCGAATAACTGGGATTATAGGCATGCACCACCACATCCGGCTAACTTCGTATTTTTAGTAGAGACAGGTTTCATAATGTTGGCCAGGCTAGTCCTGAACTCCTGACCTCAAGTAATCTGCCCACCTCAGTCTCCCAAAGTGCTGGGATTTCAGGTGTGAGCCACCATGCCTGGCCTTCCCCTGTTCTTTTTAAACAATCTCTTAGTTATTCTTATGTATTTTTTTCTTGCAGATAAACTTTAGATTCATGTTGACAAAAACAACAAAATCCTGTTGTGATTCTGATTGGTATCAGAGAGCACAATGAACAAACTGGTAACCCCTGAATTGAATCTGGCCGGTACAGATTATTGTTGAGTCTGTGACATAATATTTGTTTTTAAAATTGGTGCTGGAATTTTTTTTTAATACAGAACTTATACATGGAGTACAAAATCCAAAAGGAACAAAAATAAGTCATCTTCCATCCATACCTTACAACCTACCCCCTTCTTCATTCCACTGGAGACATACAGAGCTGCTTTATTCTTTAATGGACAAATAGTACTCCATAGTATAGATATAGTATAATTTACCTAGCTAGCCTTTACTGGTGGACATGTAGGTTATTTACAGCATTTTGTTATCATACAATATGCTGCAATAAATATTCTTGTACTGTCATCATTCTAGACATAAGCAAATATTTCTATAGGATAAATTCCTAGATAAATTACACAGTCAAAACTTTAAAAAATCCTACTCATACAAGAGTATGTATATCTTAAAGAATAATATATTTATCATCAAATTGAAATCTAAATCTTTATCAAAATATATCTTATTTAATTTGTTACATAAGTAGTGTCTATTTTGTGTGGAATAAAGGCAAAAATAGTTTAAAATAGTTACTTAACTGCTATTAATAGTTGAAATTTATGTATCTAGAAGATGGTATACTATGTTCTTTCTGAAAATAGTGATAATACTCTTATATACCAATATGGAATCATTTCCAAGTTAAAAAAAAAAACTAGGTGTTGATTTGGCATAAAAGGACAATAGACATACTTATTTGCTAATAAATGCATAAAATTTCTGAAGAAACTGTTAACATTAGTCTCATGTGGGAAGGGGATATGGCTGAGGAACACAGAAAGGAGATTTAGCATTGTATACTCTTCTTCCTTTTTTTTTTTTTTTTTTTTTTTTTGAGACAGAGTCTCGCACTGTCACCCAGGCTGGAGTGCAATGGCAGGATCTCAGCTCGCTGCAACCTCCACCTCCCAGGTTCACACGATTCTCCTGCCTCAGCCTCCTGAGTAGCTGGGATTACAGGCACATACCACTACACCCGGCTAGTTTTTTGTATTTTTAGTAGAGATGGGGATTCACTATGTTGACCAGACTCGTCTTGAACTCCTGACCTCGTGATCCACCCCACTCGGATTCCCAGAGTGCTGGGATTACAGGCATGAGCCACCGCGCCCAGCCAGCATTGTATACTCTTCCAAAGGTACTTCTGAAGTTTGAACCACATGAATAAATTTTCTAACATAAAAAGTAAATTTATTGTTCAAAAGTTCATTATCAAGTGGCCCAAAGCTATAAAACTTATGGTTAACATATTTAGCCTCAGGAAACTTAGCTTTAGGAAAGTCAATCTGGAGAGACATGAATGAAAAATGATTGCCTGCTGAAAATTAAGCAATTATAATGGTTAACGATAATAACAGAAAAACTTCTATGGCATTTACTATGTGCCATTTGAAACTTTACCAAAACTAACTCATTTAATCCACTCAAGAATCCGTTTAGGTAGGTACTGTTGTTATTCTTTCCATTTTCCAGAAGAGGAGAAACTGAGGGTTAAGACATTCAGTAATTTGGCCAAAGTTACATAATAAGTAAGGGATGGAAATCAGATTTTTGAAGCCAGACAGTCCATCCTCAAAGTCGTGCCCTTGACCATGGCACCATATTTTCTCTATATACCAAATTGCTATGTAAAGAACAGTGGCTGTGTGGCAAAACAAACGCAATTAACTGCATGACTATTGGCAAATGAGTCAATCCCCTTAAGCCTGGGTTTTCTCATTTGTAACTGAGGAAGTTAACACCTGCTTCTCAAGTACATAAAACAGTTGGCATGGCATCTAACACCTGATAGTGTTAAATAAGTTATAGCTAAAAATACAAACCCTAAAAAAAGAAGGTTAGCTAAGAGGGTGCAGGCTAGTAAAAAGCAGAGCCACTGGCCATCTATAACTCACTTGGACAGCTAGATGTTGATAGGGATTCAGCTTAATGATAAAGCTGAAGACTGTCCTACAAAAACTGTTCAGCAATGGAAGGGCTTGGAAGCAAAAGACAATATGTTTAAAACTGTCAAGGGAGAAAAAAACACTTAAGAAAATAGCATATTCTAGTCCTTAAAATGACACAGAACATTAAATGAAAGATCACATTAAGAAAGTTTCTAAGAATCCTGGACTACATTTCTCATCAAGAACAATGATGAGCTTGGGGCAATATCATATTGGCCTCGTACTTTAAAATCGACATGTTCAAAAGCAAGATGGTGTTCATGAATCTGTTTGGGAGATCTGGAGATAGGCCACTCAATATTTTAAAAACTACTACAGGCGGCAAAATCTCATAGCTTAGCAAGTAAAAACTATGTTCTTTACTCAGGCATCACAAGGACATAAGGAAAGGGCTACTGCTGTATCTAAAGCTAATTTAATTTGGTTTGTGGTTAGTAAATCTGTTATTTTAGGCAACTGGCAAGAGAAAAATATTCCTGCCATGAGTAAAATCATGTAGAAAAGTGCTGGCAATCTTTAAAGTATTAAGGACCTAATAATCTCTACTGTTCTATATTCTATTCTGCTGACTTCAGTACAGGGCACAAGCCCTAAGATCCAGGTAGTAAATTATGAGCAGTGTAAGATAATCACTATAATAAAAAAAAGGCACATTTGCAAAGACATTTAAGAAAGAAATAATACCAATTCTACACAAATGCTTCCAGAAAATACAAGAGAAAGGACCACTTCCCAACTTATCTCATGAGGCCAACGTTATTATGATAACAAAACTATATAAGGACATTGTAAGACTAGAAAGAGCCGGGCACAGCAGCTCACGCCTGTAATCCCAGCACTTTGGGAGGCCGAGGTGGGCAGATCACTTGAAGTCAGGAGCTCGAGACCAGCCTGGCCAACATGTTGAATCCCTGCCTCTACTAAAAATACAAAAATTAGCCAGGTGTGGTGGCAGACACCTGTAATCCCAGCTACTCTGGAGGCTGAGATAGGAGAATCGCTTGAACCTAGGACAGAAGTTGCAGTGAGCCGAGATTGCGCCACTCCACTCCAGCCTGGGAGACAGAGCAAGACACCGTCTGAAAAAGAAAACAAAAAAACAAACAAACAAAAAACAAAACAAAAAAATAGAAAGAACACAGGAAGTAAAACATAAACCCAGAATGTCCCTCATGAACACAGATGTGACAATTCTTAATATCACCAAATTAAATAATATAAAATGGATAATACATCATAACTGAGTGGGACTTTTCCCAGAATATAAGTCAATGTGATTTACCATATTAACAAGACTAAGCAAGAAAAACCAGGTGGTCATCTCAACAGATGCAGAAAAAGCATTTGATAAAATACAACATCTATCATGATAAAAACTATTAAAAATTATAAATAGAAGCTTTCCTTGAAAGGAATCCTGGTAAAGGGCAACTATGAAAAACTTACAGCTAAGATCATACTTAATGATGAAAAACTGAATGTTTCCTCCCTAAGACTGGGAACAAGGTAAGAATGTCTGCTTTTGTCACTCTATTCAAGATTGAACTGTTAGTGCTAGTTCAATAAAGGGGAAAAAGAAGAAAGAAAGAAGACACATTGAAAAGGAAGAAGTAAAATTATCTCTATTCACAGATAACATGATTGTATAGAAAATCCTAAACAAAAAAAATGTTTTAAAGCTACTAGAACAAATAAATGAGTTAAGCAAGTTCACAGGTCAATATAATAAAACCAACTGACCTATGATACAAGAAACAAGGAAGCGGGCACTGAAATTAAAAACAATACCAATATAATAGCAATAAAAATATAAAATATTTAGAGAGGAATTTTATGTGTACAAAACGTGTACACTGAAAACCACTAAAATGGTTGAGAGAAAATAAAAAAGACCTAAACAAGTGGAGAGATATCAAACTATGTTCATAGACTAAGACTTGATATGATTAAGATGTAAATTCCTAATGTCAGATTGAGCTATATATTCAACACAATCCCAATCTCACTACAGATGTGCTTTTTGTAGAAACTGAAAAGCTAGTTTTAAAATGTACATAAAAATACAAAAGACCTATAAAGTCAATAGTGATCTTGAAAAGGAAAAACAACATTGGGAGGAATTACACTTTCTGATTTCAAGACTTATAATAATCTACAGTTTGTATTGGTATAAGGATAGACATAAAGACTGACAGAACAGAATACAAAGCCCAGAAACAGACCTTGCATGCATGTCCAACTGAGTTTCCACAAAGATAACAAAGTAATCAAACGGGGAAAGGCTAGACTTTTCAACAAATGGTTTTCCAACAACTGGATCTCTATAAGAAAAAAAAATGCCTCAACCCTTATCTCAACACAAAAATTAATTTTAAATGGTCCATTGACCTAATGTAAGAGCTAAAACTATAAAACTTACAGAGGAAAACATGAGAAAATCTTTGAGACTTTGTTTAAGCAAAATTTTCTTTTTTTTTTTTTCTGAGACAGAGTTTCACTCTTGTTGCCCAGGCTGGAGTGCAACGGCACAATCTCGGCTCACCCCAACCTCTGCCTCCCAGGTTCAAGCAATTCTCCTGCCTCAGCCTCCCGAGCAGCTGGGATTACAGGCAAGCACCACCATGCCCGGCTAATTTTGTATTTTTAGTAGAGATGGGGTTTCACCATGTTGGTCAGGCTGGTCTCAAACTGCCGACCTCCTGTGATTCGCCCGCCTCGGCCTCCCAAAGTGCTGGGATTACAGGCGTGAGCCACCGCACTTGGTCCTGTTTAAGCAAATTTTCTTAGAACACAAAAAGCAAGAACCACAAAAGAAAAAAAATGATAAATATAACTTCATAAAAATTTAAAACATTTGCTCTTTGAAAGATATTAAGAAAATGAAAATGCAAGCCTCAGACTAGGAAATATGTATATCTTATATTTAAGGACTTGTACCCAGAATAAACAAAAAGCTCTTATAATAAATAAGGCAAACAACCTGATTAAAAAAAATAGACAAAAGATTTGACAGACATGTCACCCAAGAAGATACATGAATAACAAATGATCATATAAAAAGATGCTCAACATAATCAGTCATTAGAAAAATGCAAAATAAAACTAGAGTGAGAGATCATTATAACTGCACTAGAATGACTAAACTCACAGAGAAGCACAAACACCAAGTCCCAAAGAGAATGCAGAGCAGTAAGACCTCATTCTTTGCTGGTGGGAAGATAAAATGGTGGAGCCACACTGGAAAACAGTTTGGCAGTTTCTTAAAAAGTTAAACGTATATTTACCAACAACCCCACAATCCCACTCCTGGGTATTTACCCAAAGGAAATGAAAACATATTCCCACACAAAAACTTGTACACAAGATGTTCACAGCAGCTTAGTTCAAAATAGTCAGGCCCTGGAAACAATCCAAATGTCCATCTACTGATTAATGGGTAAACTAATTTTGTTATATCCATTCAATGGATTAGTATTTAGCATTCAAAAGTCATAAATAACTGAAACATGTAACAACACTCACGAATCTTAAAAGCATCATGCTAAATGAAAGAAGTTGGAGACATAAAAGGTATGTTTTGTATGATTCCACTGATATGAAATTCTAGAAAAGGCAAATCAATAGTGAAGGAATGCAGATGAATGGTTGCCAGGGACTGGGGGTGGGAGAACAATATTTGACTGCACAGATGCATGAGACAACTTCTTGGAATACTGAAATATTCATATCTTGAATTTGGTAATGATTATACCACTGTATAAGTTTGGTACAACTCAGAAACCTATACTCTTATGTAAATTTTATCTTAATAAAGGTGATAAAAACAAAGGAAAAAACAAATTTCCCCTGTACATCTCCAAGTTTATTTTGTGAGAATCAAATGATATAGTTAAATTTAGCTGAAGTTGACACAGTCTGACATTAAAAGTTTTCTTCTAAGCCAAAAGAATTTGAAACATTGCTTCAAAATTTTATAGGCCTCTCAGGTATCAAGGCCCTCAGCTGTAGTTTGGTTAGTGCAAGCATCAGTTCCTTACTTAAGCAGATTTAGTAACACTAAATATAGTGTTACATCTTCCTGACAAAACTATTTGCAGCACTTTGATTTAAGGTCTCACTCTGAGTAAAACTTTTAAGAGTTAATAGGATAATTCTTTACTGCATAAAGGACCATATCTAGAATTTACAAGCAATGGCATTTATTTTCTCTTCAGAGTCTCTCTTCTGCAGGAAGTTATTTATGATATTTATGATATTGCTTTAAGACTAACAGACTACAGCTGAATCTCAGGTTTTGCTATTTTATCACACACAGATACCTTGTGACTTTCTTACTGGGGTATCACTTCCTCTTTTTGTCATTTATTCCTGTATATTTAACAATTAACATATTTAATATAACAATTTTTAAATTACATTAGGCAAGAAATATTTCACACAACAATCAAAGAAACATTGTATCTAAGTACAGGCTTTTCCCCATAATCTTAGGAAACAAGAACTGGAGAGAAACAAAAATGATAATTACTGAATGAGGGAAAAACCACATCTGTGCCTAACCTTTACAAGTCATTGTCAGGGCTTGTGGTAGGATATCATTTTTTAAAATACAGTTTCTACTTTATATACAGGTGAAAGAGAGATGCCATTTTATACCTGACAATGAGTCTTCCTAGTATTTACACCAAAAATGTAGACTCCTATGCACTGCATTTGAGATGACTGAAGCCCTGGCAGGACAAGGAATTTCAATAACTGTAGAGAACTGATTTTCAAACAACAAAAAATATCCTCCGAAATTATTTCCACTCCAATTCCTCACTTAGCTGTCAACAAAGTAAGAAAATATGGGCATTTGGATGTGGTGAAGGCTGGTTTTTTTCCTGAGGGGAAAAAAAAGTAACTTCATGTATTATGTTTAAAAGAAAATAGTTTTCCAAAAAATTAAAGAATAAGATAGAAGGAAATGAGATTAAAAAGTAAGAATTTTTTGAACCCTGGAATAACATCTGTTCCTATTCCCCTGAGGCTGCAAAACAAAAGAAAATCCCAAAATGCACTCTGCGAAAACAATTATAACGTGAGTGAATGAAGTACATTCAAAGAAGATTTGAAAAGGTTTCTCCTAACAAAAACTCTAAACCTCTTCCATTTGGAGAGAGAATTACATCTTTCATGTAGAAGCCCACTCATTCTGTAGATAGGTGATAGCCTTCAAATTGGAGATCCACATAAAACTGGTAAAATCCATTAGGTAGGAATTCATAAAATCTTGTTAAATAAGCAAGATAATTATTTCTGGTTGTATTATAATAGGACAATTCCACAGTCTGTGACATATTCTACCAGCATTGCTTTACTAATATAGATAGAAATTCCACTTGTTTATAGCAGCTTTATTCATAATTGCCAAAACTTGGAAGCAACCAAGATGCTATCCAGTAGGTGAATAGAGAAACTGTGGTACATCCAGACAATGGAATATAATTCAGTGCTAAAAGGAAATGAGCTATCAAACCATGAAGAGAGAGGGAGGAATGTGAACTGTATACGACTATGTGAAAGAAGCCAATCTGAAGCTCCACACTGTATGACTCCAACTATATGACATTCTGGAAAGGCAAAACTAGGGAAACCATAAAAAGGTTGCCAGGAGTTGAGGGGAGAAGGGGATGAACAGGCAAAGCACAGAGAAGTTTTTGGGCAGTGCAACAACTCTGTGTGATACTACAATGGTGGATACATGTCATTAAACATTTGTCCAGAAACCAAAGAATGTGCAAAACCAATATAAACTATGAACTTTGGGTGACAATGACGTGTCAGTGTAGGTTCATTGACAGTAACAAAGGTACCACTCTGGGGCTGGATGGTGATAGTGGGAGAGTGGGGTGTATAGAAGACAGTTGTGAACCTAAAACGACTCTAGAAAATGAAGTGGTTGTTGTTGTTTATTTTTTCTTAATATACTGAAACTTTAGTTGATTTTTAATGTCTGATCTTAAGTTCTCTGATTAGGGAACTTAATTCTTTACCTTTGTAAAGAAATTGCTATAATTAAATAGAATATGCAGTGGTTTTATCCTACATTTTAAAGATAAGTTAAAAAGGCAGTGATCTGAGTACAGCTGGAACATTTCTAAAACCAGTTCAGAACTTGTCTTTACACAAATTCTTATGTTTTGGGAATGAGAATCACTAGGTACAGGTAAGATGCACATCTGATAAAATGCATTTACAACTTAAAAACAGAATAGAATTTGACAGCTAGAAAAGATACATAGAAGCTGCTATGGTTGAATGTTTATGTCCCTCTAAAATTCCTATGTTGAAATTGTTACTTTCAAGGTGATGGTTTTAGGAGGCGGGATCTTTGGGAGGTGATTAGGTGATGTGAGTTGAATCCTTATGAACCAGAATTAGTGCCCCAATAAAAGAGACCCAAGAGAGACCCGTTCCCCCTGCCACTACGTGAGAACACAATGAAATGGCATGGTCTTTAAGTCAGAAAGCAGGCTCTCACCAGACACTGAATCTGGCTTCATCCTGGACTTCCCAGCCTCCAGAACTGTGAGAAATAAATTTCAGTTGTTTATAAGCCACCCAGTTCATGGTATTTTGTTAGAGCATCCAGCTCAAATGGAACTAAGAAAGAACCTATTTAGTCAAAGTCCTTTATCTTATACATAAGGAAAATAAGACTCTGGGTCACAAGGCTATTTTATGGCAGAAAGACCAGAACATTGAGATTCTGTTACTTCTTCATTATACTACTACATTTTAAGAAAACAAAATTATGGTAAATTTCTTAAAATTCAGAGGCGCTGTTTTTTTCTTCTTCTGTGTATTTATTTCTTCAGAGGACATGCATCCAATTAGTATATTTCTTTGGCTGATAAGCGCTGATCAAGCTCTGCCCATTTACTCATTTATTCTGCATGCTTGAATTTTTTCCCAAAGGTCATTAAAAAAAATTATGTTTTAAGCATTCTTAAACAGCCTAAGAAAACATTTTACCCTGAAAGTGAATACAGAATACATGTGCTTATTACTAAAGCAAAGACTATGCTTACCAACCCACCATTGTTAGTGAGAATTTAGAATCTTGGCTGACCTCTTACAGAGGTAAAAATCCACCCTTGGTGGGAACAGCTGCGACTGTGAAAGAAGCTACAAATAACATGCTGGGAATTCAGCAGGCACTGTTATTATATCCTGTTTATACTGTCATTTTTCCTATCAGTAGGATATTATTTATACAGACCCCACCCATGAACTTCTTGTTTATCTTATAATAGAAATCCTCTGAATCTATAAAAAGAAACCTCTGTATTTGTTTCTGGAACAAGCACATGTGTTATAATTTTGCACCTCATTACACTTTTTATTTAGCATTTTCTTTTGTTATGCACCACTCGTTCTCATTTTTATCTCAAGGTTGACTTATTTCACATATTAGAGTTGAACTTAAATCTTTTTAAGAGAACTTGTTGTAAGATTCAGGAGAACCACATCCTAAACCTTAAGGTAGATTTCATCAGGTACATATTCTTTGAAGATACACTTGACTAATTTGTTTAAAGACAGAAAAATGCGTATATACACTGATGAGGTACTGCAGGGAGTGAGCTCTAGGTGACCAGAAGGCTTCCATACTCAGACTCACTCTAACCTAAGTTAGACCAATTACGAGGACAAGGCTTTATTCAGTTCTACTACCTCACTATTCTCTAGCTGGATCTCTTCTCTGCAAAGAGAAGCCTTGCCCCTGAGTTTAGCTTGATGGCTGGGCAGTCTGGGTAAAAAATGTAACACAATAATACACAAAAAACATAGGAGTTCAGTAAGTTGACCAACAGGACAATGAACCAATATGGTTATCAATCATCCTCATTCCCCAGGCCTGATATAAACAACTGAAGTAGATAAAGGAAAAATGCAAGCTCCTTAAGGGCAAAAATTCACACAGCATTTGTTGAGCAAATGAATTATTATTTTTGGAGAGGGCACACCACTGAAGAAAGTCACACTGGACAAATTTTCACATGTATAGCTTGTGTCAGCATCACCTGTTCTCCTCTTACACTACAAGGTAGCTAGGTAAACATGGAAAGTTCAGAGTACCTGCACAATGCTAGACTCTTTGTGTAAGGAAAGGTCACTCCTGAAGAACATTGCTCTAAAATGCATAATTAAAATGAGTACTACACCTCAGGGTGATGAACTAAGTGTAATTAATTTCAGAAAAAAAGAGAGGTCTGCAAGGACTAAATTGGTCAAGAAGTTAAAATGAGGGTAACAACAGAGATAATCTTGATAAACAGAAATTCATAAGGCTGAGATGAGGAGGTGAAAGGTATCTTTGGCACAACCAAAACTCTGGGAGCATCCAACTGGGCAGAATTCTGGGAATGGCAAATAGTGAAATTCAGCTGGGGGCATACTGAATAGAGGATGGCAACAAACGAAAAGGCTGGAGTCAGATTAAAAGAAATTTCATTTTTTAGACAATGGAGAATCATCAGAAGATATCTGATCAAAGGAAGATGAATGCAAGCTTTTGGAGTAGAAATGAAGAGGAGGAAGAACAAGTTAGGGTGAGGCTGAAAATGGTGAAAGAAGTTTGTAACAATACCAAATCCCATAGATATGGCAGCAAAAGAAAGGTCCACGTGGTACAATAGATAATAAATGTGTAAATGTATTTTCAGTTCTTGCTTGCGAAAACAGGAGATGATAGCCGGGTGCGGTGGCTCACACCTGTAATCCCAGGAGATCAAGACCAGCCTGAGCAACATGGTGAAACCTCATCTCTACACAAAGTAGAAGATAGGCTGGGCACAGTGGCTCATGCCTGTAATCGCAGCACTTTGGGAGGCCGAAGCGGGTGGATCACCTGAGCTCAGGAGTTCGACACCAGCCTGGCCGATATGGTGAAACCCCGCCTACCACAAACACAAAAATTAGCTGGGCGTGGTGGCAAGTGCCTGTAATCCCAGGTACTTGGGAGGCTGAGGCAGGAGAATCGCTTGAACCCAGGAGGCGGAGGTTGCAGTGAGCTGAGATCGCACCATTGCACTCTAGCTTGGGCGACAGAGCAAGACTCCAACTCAAAAAAAAAAAAAGTAAAAAATAAATATTAGCCGGGTGTGGTGGTGCACAACTGTAGTCCCAGCTACTCAGGAGGCTGATATAGGAAGATCACTTGAGCCTAGGAGGTGGACGCTGCAATGAGCCATGATCACTGGCCACTGCACTCCAGCCTCGGGAACAGAGCAAGAAACTGTCTCAAACAAACAAACAAACAAAAAAGTAAAAACAAAACAAAAATAAAAACGGGATGGCATCATCATGACCATTACTGAGTGAGGTAATGCCAATCCACTGAAGTTAAAGTCAGTAAAGTTTACCAGTCTCCTAGAATAGCATTTCTCAAACAGAAATCACCTGGGCTTCTGGTTAAAATGTAAATTATGTTTCAGCACATTTAGAGCAGTATTCAGTATTTTTTGTTTTTGTTTTTGAGACAGAGTCTCGCTCTGTCGCCCAGGCTGGAGTGCAGTGGCGCGATCTCGGCTCACTGCAAGCTCCGCTTCCCAGGTTCACGCCATTCTCCCACCTCAGCCTCCCGAGTAGCTGGGACTACAGGCGCCCGCCACCACGCCTGGCTTTTTGTGTTTTTAGTAGAGACAGAGTTTCACCGTGTTAGCCAGGATGGTCTTGATCTCCTGACCTCGTGATCTGCCTGCCTCGGCCTCCCAAAGTGCTGGGATTACAGGTGTGAGCCACCACGCCCGGCCAGTATTCAGTATTTTTACGATTCTAGCAAGCTCCCAGGTGATGCCAATAATGCTGTTCCATGTACTATATTTTGAACAGCAAGATGGGAAAACATATCTTTCAGTTTCCCTTTCCAAAAAAGGCAATACTATATTTAATGTATCATGTTTAACCCATTATGGTTTATTCCATGCCTTTAGATATGCTCAAGAAATGCTTTTTAAACATATGTTACTATGATTTGCATTAATTAAGATTGGATGGGTTTCAAAGCTACTATTTTAAAAGTCCTAAATGATTCAAGATTCAGGGAATTCAAAGTACTAAGAAATGCTTCTACCTGAAAAAAAAAAATCAGCGTTGCAATGCTATTCTGTAACACTAAAATTTTGTCTTTTTAGTTTTAGGCTGGCAAACTGGAAGATACTATTGCTTCTAGTAATGGAGGCTGAAATGTAAGTACTGAAAGACAACATTTCATCTTTTCAAAGTCCACATCAGTGAGTTTCACTAAAACCTGCTTGACTTGTCCTTACATTGCATTAAGAACCATAACTTGGTCCTTGAAGATAAAGGTTAACAACATATTTTAAATATCCTACAGAAAAACACCTAAATACTACAACAATTAAACTAACGCACTGTCCTTTGGTATAAGACTTCTACACCGAAGGACACCTTTAACTAAAGTATTTTACCATAAGCAGAAGTGTCATTTATAAAAATATATTACTAGTGTAATATATTAAACACACACACTATAAAAGATTGGCTGACCTTAGATACTTGGGATGAAATATAAGACTTCTAAACTCTGGTGTTTCATTTTTAACCAAATTAATGGCCAGTAACAACCTTTTAGGTAAATTAGCTTCAGTATGTATCATGGTCTGGAGAACAGAAATAATATCTTTAAATCATAAGTTATTGTTGAAGATCAGATCCAAGTATTTCATTGTAGCAGGAAGAAAACTGAGGCACAGAGGCTAAAAAGCCCAAATTCACATAGCCAGCTAGTAGAATGTTAACAAAAGGAGGGGAGAATTAATTTTTATATCTATCAATATGCAAAGTACAACAATGTTGCAACTACAAAATGTAGTTGAAAAGAGTGTCCGGTTCTTCTAACGACTAATGCCCAGTTACTTTTTTTAAGGGTCTTATAAATCACTGAAATCTAAGAAAGGAAGATCACACATTAACAAGGAAAAGACATCTGCCCCCAAATTTAAGAACGTCATTAAAAAATGCAATCTGAATAGAGAATGACACATATACACCACATACTAGGGATGGGGCTTAGGTGGGGGTGGAGAATGGGATGGGATATAAAGAACAAAGAGAAGACAATGGTGACTCTTCTCAGTAATGTTTCAAGGAATGCTTTTACATATGGAAAAGTGGTTTAAAAAACAACTTTCTTTACCCTCATGAATCATTTTTTAACTGGTATAATCAGGGATTATACTTGGAGGATTACAAAGCTTTTAAAAATATGTAGTATAGAAAGCAGTTGGATGTGCATGTGTCATATGCTCTGTCACAATCAAAAGCAAACTATAGGAACCTTTTCTAGCCACAAAATAGGGAATTTTGTGCTTATTAAAAATGCTATAAAATTTACTAGCACAAGTCAAAAAAATCACTAGAGAAGTTCGGCGATATTGGAGACAATGGGTTTTAAATCACAGGCATACATAATTATGCCTAAGTTGACAGATCTGCACTGCAATGCAGAAATGCAAGCAATATTCCAACATCTGCACCAGAAGGCAGAGACTACACATGATTCCAGAATAAAGGGCTCTTCAGCTCTTACCTGTTACCTGTGCAACAACTGCTTGGGAAATCCTCCGATTGGCAAGAAAGGCTTTGATTTCCTCTTTTATCACACTGCTGTCCCTCCTAACAAAAACAGAAGACAAGACCAACAATGTATGTTGAAGGTAGAAATCCTCATCTTTGCTAAAAGAAAGGTGAAGCAGAGAGGTGGGGAGAACACAGAAAGGACACAAAAATAAAGGGTAAACAGACCAAACTTGTGTGAAAATATGAAATTACAATGAACCAAGAAACACCAAATATTCAAGTCCTAAAACATCACACCATCAAACAGACGCTTTAGTGAAGACCACAATAGATATGTCTCATACCAGAGGATGGTTAATCACATGCTCTGTATAATTCACATTAGGAACAAGGCTGTCATATGGTATATACAAAGTTTCATTACTGGGGAATGAATATATCTTACACAGACAGAAATCCTAGAAAAATAAAGAGCAACAACAACAAATTCAGTTGTGAGCAGATTGTGGGCTCGCATGTTAACTACACAACTGCATGAATAATGTTCATTTAAAAACCTTTAAAATGATTAAGGAAAAAGCAATCATCATTCTCACAACCGTAAAAATGTTAGCCATTTGAAGAAAGGCTTGCTCTTTAACTTCTTTTCCTGTATAAACAAAAAATTTAAAGTGGGATCCGTTGAATATAAAGTTTTAGTACTAAAAAGGCATTTATACATTTTGTATTATATATAAGAATACTTAAAACTACATAATATTCTGTGTTCATGGGAATACATTATAGACCTCATTTTTCCTCCACTAAAATGCCTGTTACAAATTTTTACTTAGACTCAACAAATTCTCAAAAGACCAGACATTCACAAAAATGACAATGAGTGGCAAGACTTCTGTTTTTCCACCAGAACAAGAATAAACAAAAATTATAGTTAAACTCTTAAAACCGACCAATCTCTCTTTCAATGCTTTATTTTCAAAAGGATTACATAAACAGAGCAGTGGTTTCTGTTCAAGCTCAAAAGTAACATAGAATAGAGGTAACTTCTTATCTAACACAGGGGTCAGCAAATTACCGCCTATGGGCTAATTCTAGCCTGCCACCTATTTTTATACAACCTATGAGCTAAGGATCATTTTCACAGATGGACATTTGCAATCAATTTGACGACAGAAAATGCTAACGATAAACACATACTAAGCAAAATATTATCCCTCCCCCTGCAATTTCATTCTTCTGACTAGCAGGCCTGTATTTTTAAAAACTGTACCCAATTATTATTATTCTGTATTGACTTTTGTCAATAAAAATTTGTGGCTGTTTGTTTTCTGTCTTGTATATATCTCTACATTACATCCTCTTTTTTTTTTTTTTTTTTTTGAGACGGAGTCTCACTCTGTTGCTCGGGCTGGAGTGCAGTGGCGCAATCTCGGCTCACTGCAAGCTCCACCTACCGGGCGCAAGCAATTCTCCTGCTTCAGCCACCTGAGTAGCTGAGGTTACAGGCATGCAGCACCACACCCGGCTAATTTTTGCATTTTTAGTAGAGTCGGGGTTTCACCATGTTGGTTGGCCGGGCTGGTCTCGAACTCCTAACCTCAAGTGATCCTCCTGCCTTGGCCTCCCAAAGTGCTGGGAATACAGGCGTGAGCAGTAGCGCCCAGCCTACGTCTCTTCATTATATCCTTAAATTTGCCTCTTGGCCACAAAGTCTAAAATTTTTACTATCTAGTCCTTTAGAGAAGAAGTTTGCTGACCCCTGATCTGAGACAAAGGATCACAAAACCTTAACAATTGTTTTGTGAAAGAAGCACAAACTCTTTCTAGGGGTTCACATCTCTCTGTAGACTATTTGGAGAAACTGAAGTATCCTATTCAAAAACAATGAGTTGTGATTTAACTTGGATGAGGGATTTTAGCTCCCTGATGAGCAGTTGTTACATGCTCTGTTGAAAGGACTCTGTTGTAAGACCATGCTCCCTTTGGGGAATTCTGGAAAAAAACAGAGAGGTCATAGTGGTGAGTTTCCAATCTGTAGCTCTACAGTATACTGCTGATCTATCAGTTGGAAATCCTGATCAAAAATATTCCTAAAGGAAAAAATTAATCAGCTGCCTAATGCAGTAAAATTTCTCATACTGATCTAGATTCTGGTTAGATTCTTCCCAAAATGACTGTCTATATTTGAAATATTTCTTTCTTTCTTTCTTTTTTTTTTTTTTGGAGACAGAGTCTCGCTCAGTCGCCCAGGCTGGAGTGCAGTAGCGCGATACTGGCTCACTGCAAGCTCCGCCTCCCGGGTTCACGTCATTCTCCTGCCTCAGCCTCCCGAGTAGCTGGGACTACAGGCGCCCGCCATTACGCCCGGCTAATTTTTTTTTTGTATTTTTAGTAGACACGGGGTTTCACCGTGTTAGCCAGGATGGTCTTGATCTCCTGACCTCGTGATCCACCCATCTCAGACTCCCAAAGTGCTGGGATTACAGGCGTGAGCCACCGCGCCCGGCCTGAAATATTTCTTTGACAAATATGCATTCACATTTTATTTAAAAATTGTGTATATGAAAAAGAAAAAGGTACAAATAAATATATTTTAAAGTCAAACAAAATAACTGCTGACTAAAATGCAGGTAATGTAGAACAAAAGCTTTCAAATATGCATCAATAATCAGTGTACAAGAGATAACTTCAGCACTATTTCAATTGGCTTATATAAATAAAACAAATCATTTGGTTTCTAATATAACTATAAAATTAATCTGAAACTTTTTAAATAAAGTATTGCATTTCTATATATAGAATGACCTACGAAAATGAAGCTGAATTTAAGAGAATATTTATTCAGGTTAAATAAAAGAATGTACTTTTGTGGGGGAAAAGAATTAAATGGGTTTTTTGACTACTAATTTACATTGTCATTTAAATCCATTTATTTTAAATTAAATTCATCTGGACACTAAATCATACAGAAGAGATAACACTCAATTATTGAAATAGGAAATATCCAGTTTGTAAATTATTCACAGCCTTGCAGCACGATATTATTAAGGACTGCACAAAACAGAAGGAATCCCAAAAATCTGTCAAACAGTAGCAATTCACATTTTTAGATATTTGACAAGTCTCTAAGTACCAATAATGTTTAAAAACATAGAAATAGCCAGGCACGGTGGGTCACGCCTGTAATCCCAGGACTTTGGGAGGCTGAGGCGGGCGGATCACTTGAGGTCAGGAGTTCAAGTTCAGCCTGGCCAACATGATGAGACCTCGTCTCTACCAAAAATATTTTAAAAATAGCTGGGTGTGGTGGCATGCCCCTGTAATCCCAGCTACTCAGGAGGCTGAGGCAGGAGAATCGCTTGAACCCCAGAGGCGGAGGTTGCAGTGAGCCGAAAACGTGCCACTGCACTCCAACCTGGGTGACAAAGTGAGACTCCATCTCAAAAAAAAAAAAAAAGAAAAAAAAGAAAAGAAAAGAAATAAAAAGCTCTTCACTGTTTTACCAGAGAGCTTTATCAAAAAGCAAAACAAAAGACTTAAAAGATAAGGTTGTGCATTGGCAAGTCATTTAACAAAGCTGGGCCCTGGCTGTATCATCTGATAAAATAAAAGCACTGGCCAGGTGCAGTGGCTCACTCCTGTAATCCCAGTTACTTGGGAGGCTGAGACAGGAAAATTGCTTGAAACCAGAAGGCGGATGCTGCAGTGAGCCAAGATTGCGCCACTGGGCAACAGAGTGAGACTCCATCTAACAACAACAACAACAACAAAAAGCATCAATACTCCCTTCACAAGGCTTTTAAAATTTGTCTCCTAGCAATGAAATTAAATATTGTTTGTATATATATGTCTGTAATACATAGAATCAAAAATTCATTGCAAAATTTTTTTTTAAATTGTAAAAATACTAAACATTGACTATTATTTTATGAAACTTCAGAAAGGTTCCCAAGAAAGGAAGAAACAAACGATCTGCTGTAATCATATAAGACCAAAGTAAACATCTGTACCAGGTACTTTAAGGTAGCATTAAAAGAGTTCTATAGGCAAGCAGTGATGTGTCATTTAGTTGGTTTCACTAGGTATTTTCAAAATACTAAATGCATTCTATTTTCATTGTGTCCAATTCTCTTAAGTATTTTTAAAAGTTCCATTCTAGTGGGTTAGCTTTGTTGTTCAAACTTTGACATCACCCCCGACCCTCATTCTCTCCTCATTCAGCCTTCTTTAAGGACCTGCTACTCCTATTGTCCTCATTGTAATCTATGAAATCACCACTTTGGTAGTGTGAAAACTTCATTTACTCTAAATCTAATTCTCTCATCTTCTCCCACCCCTCACTTCCTCTCTTCATCTGCAATTTTACATCCTCCTTAAAAAGAATAAATCCCCTCCTTCCTCTCTTCTCTTACAAAATCTCACACTCTTCAAGATTTCTATGCCTCAAATCTTAGGGAATTAAAGTGAAGAGCGGGCTGATCTTGTCTTTGATTCCACAGCTTACTTACTTCAAGATAAGATACCCACCTGATTTGCAACTAACCAGTTCAAGTCCATGTCATTGCCTCCTACTCCCTTTTTCAAGTCATTGCCATGCTAGATTCATCTGGGTGATTTCCACACCAGGATGAAATTCTTCCTTCCCACCCTCCATTGCCATTATTTTTATAACTTGCTAAACTTTCACTGTTACTTACAGACCTTTCTTAATATCTGGATGAATTCATCAGTTATGCCTGTTGGTTGAATCCCCTTTTACTAAGACACAATTTAACTGTCATCTATTCAAAGACGTTCTCCCTGATCTTCAAAGCTAAAAAAGGTCTCTTCTTGCAATGGCTAACTTTAACATTTCAATACTACTACTCGCATGCTAATATATTACATGCTGTTCTGTATTATAGTTGTTCCTAATCTTGTCTCATCTCTCCTACTACCCTGTAAAGTCCTTAGTCCTTCAGCACAAAGATGGTGCCTTATTCAATTATGGGGTTTGCATATAATAGAGCTTAATTTGTTCAATGAAGGAACAGTTCTGTAGTTGGAGATAAAAGGTTGTAAAATGGAAAGCCTGATCTAGATAATTTATAAAACAGCTTTAAATTTTTATTCTTAAATAGATTTAAGCTTACCAAATCAGAAAGGAAAAGAATTATTTATAGTAGCTCGAAATGACATTGCTTCCTTTTCTAGAACAAAGAATAATAAAGACCACCTGTTTTAAAAATGATATGCTTTAAGATCTTCCATATTTTCATAGTTAATATACACTGCACATTCTTTAGGATCTCTTAAAGGTAATCATCTATCTGACAGACTTTCAGAGATGAAGCAACACCTGCCAGGACAGACTATTTCACACTTGGAAAAATACAATGATGTACAAATTTCTTTCATGTTTGAATAAAACCTATTCCCATACATTTTCACCTATGGAGACAAAGTATAACTTTAAATTTTAAAAAATCACTCAAAAATAAAAGTTACTAAATATGTATCAATAACATAGTAACTGGAGATCATGACCATTTTGTCTTATCTACAGAACATGCACATCCTACTTAGGCAAGTAAAATACTTAGCCTATAGATAATCAACTTAGAATAAAGCCTCAGTTTTATACAAAATACTAACATATCATAAAATTTAGTACATGGGTTGTTAAGAATAATATCCTTAATGTATGGCATTATTAATAAATTCTGATAAGCCTCATTTAAATTATTTCATAATATGTACATGAAACACACATTAGTATCTATATGCTATATTAGCAGATATGTATACACACATACCCCTACACATATATTTATATATTAATAGATGCATTTTTAAACATTAAAACGTAAAACAGGTCTTTATTTTTGGCTTTAAAGTCCTTCCTAAAATGTTATATTCAACAATCTGTTAAATTCATATCGTAATTTACCTTTTTTTCCCAACCCTAACTCAAAAATGAAAAAAGTGAAAGTTACTTTTTCATTGTTTCTTAATGAGTCGATAAGGTGTACAATTACAACTTGATGAAGTTCTACAAAAAAATCTCCATTATGAGCTGGGCACAGTGGCTCATGCCTGTAATCCCAGCACTTTGGGAGGCCAAGGTGGGCGGATCACTTGAGGCCAGGAGTTTGAGACCAGCCTGGTCAACATGGTAAAATCCCGTCTCTACTAAAAATACAAAAATTAGCTGGGGGTGGTGGTGCACGCTGTAATCCCAGCTACGAGGGAGACTGAGACATGAGAATCGCTTTAACCCGGGAGGCGAAGGTTGCAGTGAGCCAAGATTGCACCACTGTACTCCAGCCTGGGTGACAGAGCGAGACTGTCTCAAAAAAAAAAAAAAAAAAAAAAAAAAAAAAACTCCATTATGTATCTCGAAATTATTAGGAGTGAAGTTCGTGAAGTCAACGAATTATAAGATTTTTAAAACTACATCTTGTGTATGAGTTGAGGAATGTGAACAAGCAAGAGGTGAAGCACACAGGTAGAAAAGGAGACAGGAAAGCATTCAGATACCCAGGCTCCCCCACCAGAGACTACCACTTCCAACGGGCTATCATATCACCATAGCATCTAGTGATCAGCAAGGGCAGTATATTCCTAAAAGGGCACAGAATACTCAGAAAGATCCACTGCTCAAAATATTTCTCTAACATTCCACTAAATAAAAATTCATGTGGTAAGTGATTGTTTTGAAGCAGCAAATATCATGGGGGAGGGGGATGTGAAGCCCATTAAGGCAATTCATACTTTGTCTTATGTTAATTAACCACCTTTCCTAAAATCTTATTAAAATCTACAGATATGAAAAATTTATTTGGAGAGGGAATGTACACCAGTGACATATTGATAATAAAGACATAATTTAGGCTCTGCCACTTAATATTGAAGTTCTCTTGGGCAAAGTATTTAATTTTTGTGAATTTCAGTTTCTCTGATCAACCTCACATCATGGTTTTAATGATTATAAGTGACAATGTGATCCAATAAACTTTCCCACTGATCCAAGGATTGTTATTATCTACAACCTGAGAATCGTGAGAGGGGGACACAATGGAGGAAAGCAGGAGTGCAGCAGTGGGTGAGGGTGCAATGGCAGAGAACCAGAGAGATCCAGAAGGGCCACTGAGACCCCAAGATGATCAGGAGAACCCAAAGGAGCAGTTCTAATAAAGAAGCAGAGAAATGGAAAAAGATAAAGTGTCCTGATTATGCGACAAGTGGTAGTACATAAATACTGATAACAAAGTATAAACCTGTATATATTTCACAGTGAAACTGGAATGGGTGTAATTATGGGATTTAACTACAAATCCCAGTCACTGCTAAATAGGTTTTCATTTATTTTGAGCATATATTTGAATTAAAACATTATGTCAGGCTATGAGTTAAAAGTCAAGTTTTTAGACCTTTATTATTCCAGACAATCTTCTAGAGACTTTTACTAACAAGTTTTCCCATACTTCTTGTTAGTCTTATACACATTTAAGAATTAACTGTTATGTCAAAAGCTTATCAAAACTGATGAACAGCAACAACACCGAAAAAACCAGGTTGGCATCCTTTTTAAATTGTTGATATCCTCTCTACTTAGAATAATTAAAAGCTAATCTTGTTACATTTCAATGAGCGAAGTAACTTTTATTTGCCCAAATTGTTCTCCCTCTTAATCGTAACAACATTAAATTCAAAAGCAACACCTGAACTTTGGTCACCTACTTTAACACATGAAAAAGAATTCAAAGTCAAACTGATCTCTTATATTTTTAACTTTAAAAAAAAAATTAGCTGGGCATGGTGGCACACGCCTGCAGTCCCAGCTACTCAGGAGGCTAAAGCAGGAGAATCACTTCAGCCCAGGAGGCGGAGGTTGCAGTGAGCCGAGATCGCACCACTGCACTTCATCCTGGGTGACAGAGCAAGACTCCGTCTCAAAAAACCAAACCAAACAAAACAATGACTTGTAACTGTAACTGCTGTATCAAATTATTCATTACAGGTATTAATATTATACTTTATTTATACTGTATCTGGAATCCAGATAAAATAGTTGATTTAGCACAGAATTTCATATAATAAAGTTGCACCTAAAAATAAATTCAGGACAGTTTGAAGGATATTTCAACATTGTGGTACTATTGGACATATCTTCCATGTGGCAATATTATTATGTGTCACTATTATTCCATCTTGAAGTTTAAAAATCTTTAGGAAGAATTATAATGATACTTATAGGTACTATTTTTATTTCTGACAAATTCCTGTTACAGTTTCTTTCATAATCTACTGTAACTAATTTATCTGCAGGCTCTTTCCCTTCTACTGTAGTGGAAATCTACTGAAAACAATACCTTTATCATCTCTATTCCTAGAGGAGTTTTTACAAAACTCCTCAATTCCAACAAAAGTAAATAAACTAGTATGGAACTCAAAGTCTCCCAAAACCTGTTTTGTCTCCTAATATATTATTCATATTACATTGTCTTACCCATCAGTAATTTTTATCAGACTGAAGACATGCCTTGCCTTTCTTACCCTTTACTATTCCCTTAATTTTAAATACATTTCCTGTATTTTAAAACAAATGCTATTCTTTACCATTTAGGTCAAGGTCACCCATTCATTAAACATATCAGGCCCTTAACATGTGCTAGGGAAAGTTCCAGATCCTGGAGGCACAATAATGGAAAACACATGCTGTTACCCTCAAAGTGTCCCAGGGTCCAGTGTGAAGCCTTTCCTAATTACTTCTGTTGAAAGCAGATTTCTTTTCGGCTGGGTGCAGTGGCTCATGCCTGTAATCCCAGCACTTTGGGAGGCCGAGGCGGGTGGATCACCTGAGATCAGGAGTTCGAGACCAGCCTGATCAACATGGAAAAACTCCATCTCTACTAAAAATACAAAATAGCTCAGCATGGTGGTGCATGCCTGTAACCCCAGCTACTCGGGAGGCTGAGACAAGAGAATCGCTTGAACCTGGAAAGGCAGAGATTGTGGTGAGCCGAGATCACGCCATTGCACTCCAGCCTGGGCATACAGAGCAAGACTCTGTCTCAAAAAAAAAAAAAAAAAAAAAAGTAGATTTCTTTTCTCAGTGTTTAAAACTCTAAGTTCTTACACTTATAAAAGACAATGTGTGTGTGTGTGTGTGTGTGTGTGTGTGTGTGTGTGTGTGTGTGTGTCATCTATTGCTAAAATTAGAACCTATATAATAGGTACCCCAAATTATTTTCTTGATTGGAATGTTGAACAGAAAAATTAAGAGTGTACATATTCTGATCAAGATAAAATTATCCCTCAGAAAAAGTACTTACAACAGATTTTTAAGGATTAGAATGTGTCTGTTAGTCAGAAATTAGCTATTAGAGTCATAGAGAAGATTAGTGTTTGATAAACAGAATGGAAAAGGCTTGTCAAGCAGCAAAGAGAAAGGGCTGAAGTAAAGAAGAGAAAATTTAAATTAAAAACATAAAGCTTGAACTTTCTTTCTTTCATCTCCAAAGGTGGGAGGAGGAAGTTACAGTTCTTATAGCTAGAGGAAGTTACAGTTCTTATAGCTAAGTAGCTGAAACGCAGCATACTACTTAAAAACAATCTAAGAATACAGACATTTTTAGGGACTCTGAATAAGCAAAGTCACTAACCTCATTAATTCTTCCACTTTATCATCTACATCTAGGTCCTCTTCTGAGGCTTCAAAACTGTATGACCTCTGACCCATGCTGTTTGCATGGTAGCGAGTTGGTGACATCTTTCCATTGGATGTAGATAATCGCTCATTATTCTCCCTCCCATTTTGATTGGTAGTGCAAGGCTGTGGGGAAGTATCATAACTGTTGCTAGGTGACGGGGACATTCCCGAATGCTGCGTCTGTGTGGAAGCTGTAGCTGTAGAGGAAGATGCTGGGACATTGTTAGTACTATTCCCATATGAACTTCCTCCATAGCTGGACCTTCTTCCAAACTTGTCACTATGCTCTTGATCAAGACGGTCCAAAGTTTCCAAGGCATGGAGAATTTCATGTTTAGTCATTCCAGTACGCCGAAGTCGCTGAAGCAGATCTATCTGCTCTATGGTAAATCTGGGTTCATCTGTATAATGAGACATGGTTTCCAGCAAACTAAAAAAAAAGAGATAAAAAGAAGTCTCTTTATTGACAGTATCTACCAAAGCACATATTATACAGAATGCTCAGAAGATGCAATATTTCTACATAAGCTTCTGTATTGAAAATGAAGGTATGTCCCATGCTAGAATGATTGTGCCATGGCAAATGGATTGGTACAGATACTAAATGTATTAGTAGGTGAACATAGGTGTAACATAAAACCTAATTTCATATGGCATACAATTTACATTTTCCTCAATTTTGGTAAATATCAGAACCAAAATTTTAGTTATGTAAATAATACCAGAACAATAGATTAGGTACATGGAGTGCAATAAGCCCAGGCTACGTGATAACTCAGAAGTGTTTTGCCCATCTCAAGTGTATTACTCTACATTAGAGTATTAATGGAAAATTACTGAAAAAAATAGTTTGTATTATATTATTTACCAAATATTAGCTAAACAGACCTAGGAATTCTCTACAACCTCATTTAGTGAGAACAAATGATTTGCTAAGCTAAGTCCAAGCAAATGCTAATAACCAGCAAAAATACTTAAGTGGAAAACAGAGGTACATTAAAAAAAAAAATAAGCACCATTTCATTCACTACTTAGCAATTTCCTAAGTTTTCCATCTCTGGTAATGCATTCTCTCTTAATAGCTACCCTGAGAAATAGATCTTTCATGGTTGTAGCCAAACAATGCTATTCATTTTTCTTAGGAAATTACTTTTACATGTTTCCTTTAACTAGCACAAGATACTACAGCACATCAGAAAATGTTTTCTTAGGGTGAGTAACAATATTAAGGGAGTAGTCAAATACTATAAAAATTCTCACTGCTTGAATCCCTTTGTTGTTGTTGTTGTTGTTGTTTTGGATACAGAGTTTTGCTCTTGTCAACCAGGCTGGAGTGCAGTGGCGCAGTCTTGGCTCACTGCAACCTCCACCTCCTGGGTGCAAGCGATTCTCCTGCCTCAACCTCCTGAGTAGCTGGGATTACAGGCACCTGCCACCAAGCCTGGCTACTTTTATATTTTTAGTAGAGATGGGGTTTCAACATGTTGGCCAGGCTGATCTCAAACTCCTGACCTCAGGTGATTCGCCCGCCTCGGCCTCCCAAAGTGCTGGGATTACAGGTGTGAGCCACCATGCTCGGCCTTGAATTCCTTTCTTATAAGACCTGAGTTTTCCATTCAAGATTTTTTAAAGTTGTAATCTCTTCTATTTTGATATTTATTGTTCTAGTGCCAAATATAATGCATGGCATGCAGTAGGCTCTCAATAAGTGTTTGCAGATGGAAACAGATGTCAAGAAATTTCTTCATCTTTCTCAAACAAACATCTGCTCTGGGCCAGTGTCCTATAGCTATTGAAGGTCTCACTGTTTCTTTGTCCTTCTACATGAAAACTTTATTAACAGTCACTTCTAGGCAGGAACTGGGTACGAATTTCACATAACATAATCTCATCCAATTCTCACAGCAACTCCCCATGGTAGATGTTCTTTATTCATTTCATTTTATGTTGATGGATTGATTGTTGAGGAAACTAAAGCTCAGTGTAGTTTTGTACTTCACAAAAAATCTGAGTAAACAGTAGGAAAAAGATTTAAGCCTAGATCTTATTGACTCCAAAAGCACACATCATTCTCCTTTACAATACATTGCAGGACTTAACTGGAAACATATGATTTGGCACACAGGCTATTCTACTCCTTTAAGTCTCATTTAAAGCCATTTAGATAAAACTATTCTAATTACTGATGAACCTAGGGGTCCTAGTAATAGTTTTCTACATTTAAAATCCTTGCTCCATCTAGAATTTTTATTGACTTAACAAGTATAAAAAATTGGGGCTTTATTTCATCCCAAATGGACAGCTAGATGTCGTATGTTTTTACTGAATATCTGTCTTCTCCTCCGATGTGAAATGCTGCCTTTATCATATACACAATTTCCATATGAATCTGCATTACCTTTGGATAGTCTATTCCATTTCACTGATTGTTTTATCTTTCAAATCCTTTTAAAAATAAGTAGGGAAAAATCTAGAACTGTAGATGAAATCTTCCTGGTTTTTAAAACAAGCTCATAAAAATAAAACAAAACCAAACACACACATTCTGTGGACCTAAACATGTTGCAGGCCATTTGTGCCCATGGGCCACAGTATCTGCTCTACACCTACAAATGTTAGGGTCTGATTTCTTCCAATACTCACTTGTAACAAGTTAGCCATGATTTTAAAAAGACCTATTTTCATGATTATTATATTCTTTCTTGATGGCCTAAGTTCCCCCACAATATTTTGTAATGAAAAAAATTAAACATAAACATTATTATTTTCCCTTGAAAATGAAGTAGACCTGTTTGTTGCTATTTTCAGTCTTCATGTTATCAAAGTATTTCATAAAGTGATCTTACTTTAGATGACTTCAATAACTGTTTTATTATATGGACAAAAATCCCCAATCATAGTATTTTCCTATAGTATTCATATCAGAGCAGTTAGTTATCTATATACAGTTCTTCAAACCATTCCTTGTATGGAGCAGCACTCTGTATTAGCATAAAGCAAAAGTAAATTGTATGAATTTCACTTATTACTGAAAAGTATCCATCCTAACACTTGAATTAGAATTGTCAAAACTAAAGATTTCACAGCATATGAAACAATCTAATATTTTGTGTCATTTCAGATTCATTGACTATTAGAACCACTTTTATTCCAAGTCATAAAAGGAGAAACAATAGGCCACCTATTTACTTTGTCTGCTTAGAACACCTCATTCTTTCCAAGCACATGTTCTTGGGCTATCACTCGTAATACCCCACCTTCTGGCCAGTGGGGTGAGCACAGAAGAAAGCCAAACCTTGCTCTCCCCATAATTTTCTAGTCAGACGAGGGGAAAGATGAACAGTCACCATAACTGTGTTCAGTTGCAGGAAGATATTAGTCTGGTAAATTCCTCATTATATGGAAGCAGCTAGTTCATGGGAGGAAGAAGCAGACATACCAAGAAACGTGGAACAGAGCGATGGAGAAAGCTCTGCAGCACTCACATCCCTTGTTCCAATAATCCCTAAGCCCCTGATATATCCCTGCTCTTCTTGCTGTTTTGTTTCATCAGAGAATACATTTCCCTTTATGTATCACCTTGTTCAAATTAGATGTCTGTGCCCTGCACTGAGAGTTTCCTAATGCAAATATAACCTAAAGCAAAATGATCCACAATTGCTAGAATGATCATTCATATGATCACTACAAAGCAAAGTGATTAAGAGCATAACAAACAGGATCAAAGCATGCATGTGACACTGAAGATACAATATTTTACTGAGAAAACGCTGAGTCTAGAAGCTCTCCTGGATATTGAGAATAATGTTCCAATGTGTATTAATATAAACAAAGGCATATACTCCGGCATTTCACAATTTTATTTCTCATAATTTACCTAGTTTAAGCATATAATCACGAATTTATGGCAGTAAATGACCTACAAAGGTCATCTAAGTCCATGATACCAGCAATTCTTTTATAACAGAAAAAGATAACATGTAAGAATTGAATTAATTTTCTTATGCACAAGGATTGTTCAGAGGATAAGGAACATCTTTCACTTTAAATTACTAATCTGAATGCAGACTCAGGCCAACAATAATTGAAAATGATGTGAGAAGAATTTCACCACTGTAATAACAGACAGTGTTTAAGGCATAAAAGAACAATTAAATTCAGGAATTATGGCTCAGTTCATAAACTGATATTCTAAGAAAATATCATACCATAAGACCATAATAATAACTTTTCACAATACATTTTATCCTGACTTGAATATGTACCTAAACCCTTCTTGGATAAGGCATGAGGTCTAGAATATACTTTCATAAGCTAAATTCTACAAACATGTAGAGCAAAGAAGATTAAAGCATTCACAAATAATTAATCTTGAAATCACAGAGGTAAAAAGGACATTACTATCTTACTTGTAAAGCACCAACAGTAAAATTTTATTGGATAACAGCTTTTTCTTCAGCTCAATTCTGCTGTCTTTATTTTTATTATCTAGAATGACTAGGCAAAATAGGTTAGTTTTGTTTTGCATACATGATATTTACTGCATGCTAATTTAACACACTCTAGGGTCAATCACAATATTTTTATCAGAGAGAGAACTCTCCATCCTCTCAGGAATGTCACCTCATGTCAAACTGCATATGTGAGTTACTGTCACAACTACTGGACTTCAAAATACATATACACTCAAGAGCTTAACAGACACTTTGGGAGCTTAGGCTGTGGCAGGGCTACTCTCTGTCAGCAGCTTCTCCAAAACCAGAGAGCTCAGGCTGCAACAGGCCTCAAAGCTTTTATACCTTGCAGGCCAGCATTTTCTAGCACTGAGGGGCCTTCCTTGTGGTCTCAGATCTCAGCTATGGTGGTCAAGCCAGCCTCTCCCAAGAACTGCTCATGTAAAGGTACACCTCCACCTTTAGCCTTCACTTGAACACAGAGGCCTCCTTTCATCATAATTGAGCAAAGACACTTTAATAGCTTTGGAACACATTCATAATGTGGTTAATGTACCTCATCTATTGAGTGTATTCCCTGTGAAGTCTGTCTATGTTACTCTCCCCATCTTTAAGTACTGTGAACCCAAGAAAAAATTCTCTTTGTATGGCAATAAACACTGTGATTCATGAAATCATACTTTGATCATCTTATTTCTACCATATGTGACAAAAATCCAAGTACAAACATGCACATTTATAAAGGGAGATATAAGTTAGGTGTGGAATGAGAAAACTGGAGATCACTTAGACAAAAATCATTCATTTAAGTAACATTTATTGAATGCCTACTATGTAACAGATCCTGTGCAAGGCACAGAGGACACAACAAGGAACAAATCAGGCAAAAATTCATGGCTTCATGATGCTTACATTCATTTCAGTAACTATTAGACATCTTACTATTTTCAATAGCCATTAGACGTCTTAACTCTCCTGAATGCTTAGCCATCTATCTCAGAAACTTCTAGGCTTTGAGCAGTTAAAAATAATAAGTAATTTTATATTCAATTTAAAATTAATGTCAAAATTCAAAGTTGAAAATAGAAATGGTAACAGAGAAGGCTGATAGATTGAAAATAGCCATTAGCAAATAAATTTTTTTAAAAAGTGGGGAGGGAAACTAAGGCCCAAAGAGGTGAAGTGCCTTCCCAAGGATATAGCTACTTAGCAGAAAGTCGGGCTACAGTTCACATCTTCTAGGTCTGTTCCAGAAACTTTTCACTATATCATAGAATCTACTGGGGTGGGGGTGGGGGAACTATAATGAAAAGCCTAAATAATAAGGAAAATCTCTCTTAATGTTTACTTACTGTATTATAGAACTGTCAACCAAAACGGAAGGAATTTAAGCAAAGTGGAGACTCCATCAAATTTTAGAAAATACTTATGCTAAAGGCACTCTGCATTCGACTCTAAAGATGCACTTAATGAGCTAATAGATACTCTGTCTTCTCTAATATCTGAAATTCCCGGAATACTTTTATTCAAAGGCCTATTTAATATGAACTGGTGGTTATAGTTCATATCCTAGCACAAAAACACTCTCAACACAATACCACTATCTCAATTTGTATTTTCTGCCTGACTCCAAAGAAAGGCTAGCACATCAGCTAATAGGCTTAACTACATCATCATGCCCCCAGCAGGTAAAGGAAAATGGTTAAGGTGCTAGGAGTTTTTACACAAAAGGCAACATGAAGATGTATGCTTCCAGTAGTCTGCTTGTCACAAGGAATCTAATATTAGCTCTCTTGAACTGTTAGTCATCTATCTTGGATGCTTCTAAGCTTTAAGCAGTTAAAAATAATAATTAATTTTATATTCAATTTAAAATTAATGTTAAAATTCAAAGTTGAAAACAGAAATGGTAAGAGAAGGCTGATAGATTTAAAAATTCATTTCTCACCACATGATCATGACACTTATTCACCTTAATGTCAAATAGGTATAACATTTGATTCATTTTCTAAAAAAGCTTTTCAACTCTACAAACGTCTGTTGTCAAATCTGGATCATAATCATAGTGACATCTTAACTTTACTAAAATGATTGTGAAGATAAAAATCAAAAAGGACTTGATACTTACACCACTGGAAAGGAACTAAGCATACTTTACATGAGGCGGATCAATATCCTTTCCAGAGATGATCTGCGTTATCTACCATTCTGTAGAACAAAGATAGAAAATTGAGAAACATTTATGTTAATCAAGTGCTGAATAAAAATTTTAATTATGTAACTGATGGACAGCAAGAGTTAACACTAGCTAATCATGTTAAATATTATATCTTCTGATTTGCATTCTACTGCTTTATTCACCATACACTTTGATCCCTTTCAATTCAGACACAGATCTTAACAAAAAATGGTATCTACTATTCATTGTTTAGAAGCTAAAGATCATGAAGACAACTTATTAGCTGGTTAAAACCATAGTTATAGAGGCACTGATTTCCATTAACTCTAAGATTATAAATTAGACAAAAGTTAAAAATGTTGATGTCAAAAACTCTCACATTGAAATACATATTCAGTACTGAATTATATTAAGCATGGCCAAAGTGTCCAACAATGACTAATGATATATGCAAAATGTACAAGGTAAAGTTAGAAACCTTTCATATTTGTATATTCTAAACTGTAGCACTAATGAAGTTCCTGTTGTAGATAATTTTCTTGTTGACTTAAAAACAGGCCAGGCGTGGTGGCTCATGCCTGTAATCCCAGCACTTTAGGAGGCTGAGGCGGGTGGATCACCTGAAGTCAGGAGTTCGAGACCAGCCTGACCAACATGGCGAAACCCCAACTGTACTAAAAATACAAAATTAGCCGGGGGTGGTGGCACATGCCTGTAATCCCAGCTACTTGGGAAACTGAGGCAGAAGAATCACTTGAACCTGGGAGGCGGCGGTTGCAGTGAACCGAGATCGCACCATCACACTCTAGCCTGGGCCACAAACACATTTTTCACTACCTGCTCAAATTCAGTTAAAATATATGAGGCACCTGCTTGCCCTGGCATAGACACAAGAACTAAATATGAGTAAGATATGGTCCCAACAGTAGAGGAGCTTAGGAGTTCATTAAATGGCGGGAGGTGGGGAGAATAGAGACTAGGGACAAAAATTATAGACACACCCCTCTCAAATAAAAAATATAATACAAAAAAAAAGACCAAAAATACAACGTTTATATGAGTAACAATCCAGAAACTAATTCAGGTTAGAGAGAACTAGGAAGATTTCTTAGAGTGAAATCTGGCTGTTATTTGAGGATTAGAATAAGACTTCCACAACATCAAGGTGTAGAGGGAGGTGAGAATCAGTGGAGGAAAGATTCCAGGAAGAGGGAACAGTGAAAAGAAATTATGAGATTTATTTAGGGAATTAGTAGGCTTGTGTTGCTGGCCTTTAACACAGTATGTGTGAGGAGTAGATGATCTAGAAGGGGATCCTGACCTTTATTCTGTAATCATGAGAACCATGCAGCACGTTTACATGTAGCATGTTTAGCATGTAGCATGCACCATGAATACAGAAAAAAGGTCAGGCTCCCCTTCTAGAGGGGATCCTTTGACAACTTCCATGCTAGGAAGTTATCATCAAAGACCCTCATTTCACAGACAGGAAAACAGATTAAGTCACTGATACAAATTTATGTAACCATAAGACACTGAATTATGTCAGTTATATTTCAGACATAAATGGGCTTAAAATATTCTACAAAAAAAGGAATGTTCTAAAAACAGAAGACCAAGCAAACAAGATGTTATGAATTCTCTCAATTTCATAAAGCTCTTCTGGCAGAGGAGACAGATTATTTTTTTCTAATTGACAGATGTTTTCAAGTTATTTTAAAAACAGATCAGGAACTAAATAAAAATGGGTATTAAGATCACATCCACACTGAGTGCAATGGCTCACACCTGTAATCCCAGCTACTTAGGAGGTTGAGGCAGGAGGATTACTTGAGGCCAGGAGTTCAAGGCTAGTTTGGGCAACACGTTCAAGGCTAGTTTGGGCAACATGATGAGTCCCTGTCTC
Source organism: Homo sapiens (assembly GCF_000001405.40). Taxonomy (NCBI): domain Eukaryota; kingdom Metazoa; phylum Chordata; class Mammalia; order Primates; family Hominidae; genus Homo; species Homo sapiens. The sequence continues at coordinate 28,961,933 of NC_000008.11, read as the reverse complement.
AAAAAAAAAAAAAGAAAAAAGAAAAAAAAAAAAAAAAAATAAAATGACACCCATTCGAATGCCTATTATTTATAAAAATAAACATAAAATAACAAGTGTGGCAATAATGTGGAGAAAATGGAATCCTTGTATATTGCTGGCTGAAATGCAAAATGGTGAAGCCACTATGGAAAACAGTATGGCAGTTCCTCAAAAAACTAAATACAGAATTACCATATGATCCAGCGATTCCACTTTTGGATATCTATCCAAAAGAAGTGGAATCAGGCTGTGTTCACAGCAGCATTATTCACAAAAGCCAAATGTGGGAATAACCCAAATGTCCACTGGCAGATAAATGGATAAATGAAATGTGATATATATACAAACAGAATATTGTCCCAGCCTTTAAAAGGAAGGAAACTCTGACACAAAAACATGAATGAAACTTGAAGACATGATGCTAAGCGAAACAACCCAATCACAAAAGGTCAAATATTATATGATTCCATTTACATGAGGTACCTAGAGTAGTCAAATTCACAGAGACAGAAAGTAGCATGGTGGGTAAAATGGGCAAGGAATAATGAGAAGTTATTATTTAAGGGTACAGAGTTTCAATCTGTGAGGATGAAAATGTTCTGGAAATGGATGGTGGTGACTGCTGTATACTGTATGTATTTAATGCCACTGAACTATATACGTTAAAATGGTAGATTTTATGTTATGCATATTTCAACACAATAAAAAAGTAGAACATTATAATAAAAACTTTATATTAAAAGGCATTAGGGATATAAATTTATGGATGCTGGATCACATTCAAGCACCTGGCCATAGAAAACAAGCAACCTATAAAAGAAAAAGAGAGGCTGGGCCTGGTGGCTCATGCCTGTAATCCCAGCACTTTGGGAGGCCAAGGCAGACAGATCATGAGGTCAAGAGATCGAGACCATCCTGGCCAACATGGTGAAACCCCGTCTCTACCAAAAACACAAAAATTAGTTGGGCATGGTGGCATGCACCTGTAGTCCCAGCTGCTCAGGAGTCTGAGGCAGGAGAATCGCTTGAATCCGGGAGGCAGAGGTTGCAGTGAGCCAAGATCACACCACTGCACTCCAGCCTGGCGACAGAGCAAGACTCCGTCTCCAAAAAAAAAAAAAAAAAAAAAAAAAAAAAAAAAAAAAAAGAAAAAGAAAAAGAAAAAGAGAATAAGTTTACAATTATAAAATATACAGTTTATGACCAAGATATAAGAGTTACAAACACAAAGACCAAATAACATGAGAGGTAATAAAGCAAAAATCATAACTACTTTAATAATTTTTTTTTAAAGTATAAACATGAGTTATTTCAGTATACCTTTTAGAATGAACAAATATAGTTGGAGAAAATTTAAAAAACAGAAATTTGATATATTATCAATAAACATAATTTTAAAGATAAAAAGATACTTTGTAAACCTTCTAACAAAGAAGTTTTTTTTTCCCTATGTCCATTACCATAATTGATCACAAACACGGTAAAACAAAAGGTTTAATTTCATATATATAATCCAAACAATCTAGGGAAAAATGTACAAAAATAACTACTTATAAACTACAAGATAATCATAAATAACCCTTGGATCAAAGAAGAAACCACAAAAGAAATTATGACCAACATAACAATACACTGTGACAAAAAAGAGGATTGTTCTTCATAACAAAAATCCAGGCCAGGCACGGTGGCTCATTTTTAAAAGTCAAAAGAAAAAATAGTACTTAAAAAATAGAAAAATAAAATACTGTACACCAAAATAAGCTAGAAAAATGGAACTAAGAAATAATATTTGAAATTAATATAAAATGAAGCTACAGAAGGCATAAGTAAGTCCAAATGTTGGCTCTTTGAAAGACTATTAAATAATTACACAGAAAGTCTAATAAAGAGAAAAGAGAGAAAAAAACTGGTAAGATTCAGAAGGAAAAGAAAAATACAGCCATAGTATTGGGGGAAAAAAACCCTAAGAAATTATAAATGCAACTGCATGACAATTCATTTAAAAACCTAAAAGAGAAAAACGATTTCCCAGTAAAACAGAATATATCAAAATTGACCAAAAAATAAACTCTTTAGTCAAACCAAATAGAGTAAAATAAAGGTAATTAAGAATCTATAGAAAGAGGCATCAAAATCAGCTGAGTTCTCAGCAGACTTAATCTATTTAAAAAACATAATTCTAATAATACTAAACTATAGAAAAATACAGGAAATGTTCCAATCCATTTTATGCAGCCAGAATTATTCAACAGCAAACCTAATAAAGGTAGTATACAGAACATACCATTTCACTTAAAAATTAAATGTAAAAGATCTAAGTAAAAACTCACATTAGACTATAGAGTGTAGGACATATGAGAAATAATACAGTAGTCCCCCACTTTATCTGCTGTTTTACTTTGGCTTTCTGTGGTTTCAGTAACCTGCAGTAACCATGGTCCGAGAATATTACGTGGAAAATTCCAGAAATAAACAATTCATAAGTTTTAAAATGTGAGCCACTCTTAGTAACTTAGAAACCTCATGCTCCTCCTTCAGGGCATCCACACTGTAGACCCTACCTGACCCTTACTCACTCACTAGCTGTCTAGCTTATCACACTGACTGTCCTGGTATCTAACAGTGCCCCTGTTTAAGTAATACTTATTCTACAGAATGATGGCCCCAAAGCTCAAGAATAATGATGCTGGCAATTTCAATACACCAAACAGAAGCCAAAAGTGCTTCCGTTCAGTGAAAAGGTGAAAGCTCTCAACTTAAGTTAAAAAAAAAAAATCATATGCTGAGATTACTAAGATCTATAAGAAGAATGAATCTTCTGTGAAACTGTGAAGAAGGAAAATGAAATCTGTGCATAGTATACACAGAGTCTGATACTATCTGCAGTTTCAGGCATCTACTGGGAGTCTTAGAATGTATTCCCGGTGGATAAGGGGGGTCCATTGTATACCACTATAATTTACGCAGAAATGCAAGAGTGGTCCATCTTTAGGAAATCAACATAATCCAATATATCAACCAATTTAAGGCAGAGAAATTACATGATTATATCAATAGATGTTGAAAAGGCATTCAGTAAAACTTAGCCATTTTAAACAAAAAACTATGGAAAAGAAGACTAGAGAAAAAAACACTCTGGTAAAAACATAAGAAGGGCAAATATTATTCTAAACAGCAAAACACTAAAAGCATTTCAAATAAAATTAAGATTGCATGCACACACAATAAATATATATAGAGAGAGTATCTATGTGTGTAATTTCACTTTTATATGCATAAAATAATCTGTGGAAGAGATCCAATAACAGTGGTTACTTTGAATGCAGGGTTAGGAACTACAGAGATTACGGAGAGGAATGGGAAGGAAGCTGTTCATAGGAAGCTTTTTTAAAAAATTATTTTAACCATGTGAATGTTATTACCTATACAATAAATCAAACGAATAAAATTAGGAATTAGAGTGAGAAGCCCACTAAATCCTTTATAAGTAAACACTGACTTAAAGTTTACAGGAAAAATGGTAAGACAGAAAAGAATTAACTGGCAAAAATATTGGAATAAAAGAGAAAAATATCTTTTTGTCAATGATTTGGCAATACAATGTCTAGAAAACTCAAGCAATTATATTTTTAAAAAACTGAAAATTAGCTGTCTGCAGTGGCTCACGTTTGTAATCCCAGCGGCTCAGGACACTGAGGCAAGAAGATTGCTTGAGGCCAGGAGTTCAAGACTATCCTGGGCAATATAGCAAAACCTCGGTATCTTTCAAAACAAAATAAAACCAAACCCTGAAATAAAAGAAATTATTAAATTGAGATATGATACAATACTTTTAAAATTAAGTTTCTCTAATTGAGCAGGAAACATCTAGAAAAAGAATGGGAAAGAGATTTTCATTGACAGGGATAGCCTTTCCCAATATTTATGAATAACTATATTGAGAAAGAAGCCAAAAAGGTTTTCCTTTCAATTTAAAAATAGGACCTAGGCTGGGCGTGGTGGCATGAACCACCTGTAATACCAGCACTTCGACAGGCTGAGGCGGGCGAACCACTTGAGGTCAAGAGCTCGAGACCAGCCTGGCCAACATGGTGAAACCTCGTCTATACTAAAAATACAAAAATTAGCTGGGCATGGTGGCACACACCTATAATCCCAGCTACTCAGAAGGCTGAGGCAGGCGAATCGCCTGAACCCAGGAGGCTGGGGCTACAGTGAGCCGAGATCGTACCACTGCACTCCAGCCTGGGCGGCAGAGCAAGACGCTATCTCAAAAAATAATAACAATAGTAAAAATAAATAAATAAAAATAGGACCTAATAGAGCAGAAAGGCTTTGTTTTTCAACTTTTATTTTAGACTCAAGGGGTACATGTGCAGGTTTGTTACAAGGGTATATTGCATGATGCTGAGATTTGGGGTACAACTGAACCCATCACTCAGGTAGTGGGCATAGTACCCAACAGTTATTTTTTCAACCTTTGCCCCGATTTCCTCCTTCCCCACTCCTGGAGTCTCCAGTGTCTACTGCTCTCATCTTTATGTGCACGTGTACCCAAAGTTTAGCACCCACTTATAAGTGAGAACATGCAGTATTTAATTTTGTTTCTGCATTAATTCACATAGGATAATGGAGTCCAGCTGTACCCACATTGCTGCAAAGGACATGATTTTGTTCTTTTTTTATGGGTAGCATTCCATGGCATAAATGTACATTTTCTTTATCCGTTCCACTGTTGATAGGGACCTACGCTGATTGCATGTCTTTGCTATTGTGTATAGTGCTGCAATGAACACATGGGTGCATGTGTCTTTTTGGTAGAACAATATATTTTCCTTTGGGTTTATACCCTCCACGCCCAGGCCATTGTTGGTTCTTTGAGGACTCTCCAAATTGCTTTCTACAGTGGCCTTGCCAACGTCTGTTGTTTTTTGACTTTAATAATGGCCATTCTGACTGGTGTGAGATGGTATCTCACTGTGGTTTTGATTTGCATTTCACTGATGATTAATGATAAGCATTTTTTCATGTTTGCTGGCTGCTTGTAAGTCTTCTTTTGAGAAGTGTCTGCTCATGTCTTTTGTCCACTTTTTAATGGGGTTAGAGCAGACAGTTTAAGAACTACTAAGAAAATTGTGCAAAAGAAGAAAACCAAAAGTGGACTTCTCTGACCAGATAATCAGAAATACATTCAAAAGCCACTGTAATGAAATCAATATGGCACTGGCATAGAAACGCACACACAAATGAGCAGGACAGAATAAAGATCTTAATTATAGATTACAGCACATATGGCACAATGTGCTATCAAAGGTTACATTTTAATTCAGCAGGAAAGAATACATATTTTTTAAAATTATAATAAAAAAACTGGTTATCATCTAGCAAAAAAAACAATTGCATTTTTATCTTACATTATATGTAAAAAATAAGTATCAGGCAGAATAAAGACAAATGTAAAAAATAAATCATAGTAATACATCTACAACAAAATTTAGAAGATGACAGGTCTTGTAGATATGCTTAACAAAGACCAGAAACTTCAAAAGATAAACAAAACGTTAAAAATTTCCTATTATGAAGAAAAAAAAAACTTAAGCAGTTAAACTGGAAAAAACATGACATGTAGAGAAAGAGCAGATCCAAGTTATCAAGTTTATTCAAAAAATACTCAAATGCACTAGAAGTCAAGGAAATAACAGTTTAACAATGAGATATCACTTCAGTAAAAATTTAACAGACATATCTTCAATCATACTACCATATTTCATTGGTCTAAATGTGATTATGACATCATTTGGAAAGAAATATAGTGATATATATTAAAATTTAAAGAGCTTACACCTTTAATTTAGCAATCCTACTCCTGAGAATCAATTCTACAGAAATAAAAGTAACCATACATAAGGAAATATATACAAGAACGTCCTACTTTCCAATTTTTTTTTTTTTTTTTTTCCTAGACAGAGTCTCACTCTGTCGCCCAAGTTGGACTGCAGTGGCACAATCCCAACTCACTGCAACCTCTGCCTCCCGGATTCAAGCGATTCTCCTGCCTCAGCCTCCCTAGTAGCTGGAACTACAGGTGCCCACCACCATGCCCGGCTCATTTTTGTATTTTTAGTAGAGACAGGGTTTCACCACATTGGCCAGGCTGGGTCTCGAACTCCTGACCTCAGGTGATCTGCCCGCCTCGGCCTCTCAAAGTGCTGGGATTACAGGCGTGAGCCACCGTGCCCAGCCCCAATTTCTTATTTCTACAAAGAGTTGTTTCGATCAACACAGAAATGGCTAAATTACAATATACTTTAATCAATTAACACAAATCCAATCATTAAAAAGAATTAGAGTTTTATCAAGTACTTTGGTAGAATTTATTTAATGCAGTGTTGAGTAAAAAATAAAATGCTATTTTAAGAAAGCATAATATGATCAGGATTTAAAAAAGAAAACTACAACCAAAATATCCCTTTATATGTGTGTTCTGACATCAGTTTGCGTATCTAAAGGCAGACATACATATGCACATCTCTATGTACAAGAGCATAGAAGAAAAGAATAGGTGGGCAACACGTAAAGGAACTGGGGTGAAGAATGGGTGTGCGTATAGGATATGGATCAGGAAGGATATGTGAATGGCCTCAGAAGCCAAGGAATGAAGGAAGTAAAGAAAAAAAACAACTTGAGAAGAAAAAAAAGAGACTATACTTTTTAAAAAGCATATGGCCACATTTACATATATACATGTAACAAATATATATATATGCATATTTGATAAAATTATAAGAATTCCTACCATCAGAAATGAACTCTGAATTACCAAAGGACTAGAACTGTCAAAATATTACATGAAGTCAAGTAGAGCAATGAAGACGCCTACCATCAGCAATGTTGACCTCTGAAGAAAAACATAATCAAGAAAAATCTATTAGGAATAAGAACCTGTCGATACTGTATTGCCAGAAGGTGGCAAGATGGCTCGTTCTACCCTAGTTTTTCTCTTGAATATAAAAAGTAATTACTGTATAAGGTACAGAAAAAAAGTAAACTTTCAAAGACATAAAATGAAAGGTAAGCTGGTCTCCCACCCCAAAGTCCTTCTTCTTTTCCACCCACACACCATAGTTTCTTGTCATCCATCCTTCTTCATACATCTTTGTACACGTGTAAGTACATCATTAGGGTAAAACACTAGCAGTATAATTGTTGTGACAGAGTATATACATTTTAAGTTATGACAGATTTTGTCAAATTGCCTCCCAAAGAGGCACCAGTTTATACTCCCATCTTCAAAAAATGCTGCATTGTGAATCCAATATGTTAGTGGTGATTTAAAATTGAATTTACATTGTACAGCTTGGCATAGATCTGTTTCACTCAATAATGGTACACACAGAAAGGACAGAATATTTAAATCAGGGAAGAAAGAAGTATTAAGAAGAATGTAAGGCTTCTGGAAGAAAGCAAAGAATTAAGAAAGGGTGGCACAGGCAGCAAGCAAGCCATCATTGGGAGAGATGATGGGGGATACTACATAGACCAACTAGTAAGACCCTTAAGCCCAGATTTGGATAATAAAAAATAATCCCCCAAAATTTAAACACCATTACAGAGCCCCTTCTAAAGCTGCTCCTTTAGTCCCTTACACAGAACCCAATTTTACCCATCTAAAATATCTATAAAAATAAAACCAAAAAAGTTTAAAATAGAGAAGTATGCAATGCTCAGAATCCCATAAATTAGACATTATTGGCACTTTCAATTTACAGATGAGAATATGAACCTCCTTCCTGACTAGATATAAATGTTTAAAAAATACATATATACATAAATATAAAAATAAACACAGCTCATAGAGGTAAAAAATATCATGAAACTCCAGCAGGATAAAAAGAAAAGTGAACATCCTCTCCCCTAAACTCTCAGTGCTACTGACCAAAGATAAATACCAGTTTCCTGTGAATCCTTACAAAGATACAAAATATGCATAGGCCTGCATACAGCTAACATACAACTCTTTTTTTAACTGGTGGTTCTTTAAAATCAGTTATTATTATGAAAATTTGCAAACATGTAAAAGAGCAGAAAGAGGAGACAGTTAATGAACGCTTATATACCTATCACCCAGCTTGAACAGTTAGCAAATCATGGCCAATCTTATATCTCCTCCTCTCCCTGCTCCAAGAGGTATTCTCAAGCAAATTCCAGGTATCAGGTATCTCATCATTTTAATACATAAAATTCTTAGCAAATGCCAATATCTGATTTCCAAATCCAGACTAGACATAGAAACTTAAAAAGTGGTTGGGAGAGTATAAAAAGGCTTAACCACTGGAAAAAAAAAAATGATAGCTACCAGAAGAGAAGAAAATAAAGTAAATGAAAATGACTATTTAATTACAGCTACACATAACAGTGACTCATCGAGAAGTTAAAGTCATGTTTAGGATCTTTGTTTTAAACAGGCAGGAAACTATGTTTTTTAAAGCTAAAATGGCTAAAAGACAAGTTTACCTTTTAGGAAGTTAATCAGAAGGTGTTGCACTCATGCCAAACAGTTTTTCCCTCAAACAATAACCAATAAATGAGGCCTTACTACAGTTAGCTGTGACTTGAGAGACAGACACATGGAGGGTCTGGGGTGAAGGATGGTTGGTGACACAAGGAAAACACATACCATAGAAACAGGAATTAAAAATGATGATTGAAATATGAATCTCTCAAATAATGCCTCCTGATAGTTTAAAATGGTAAAGAACAACTACTATCACTATTTAATGAACACTTCTTTGGGTCAGACACTCACTGGGAAATAAGTACTTTATAGTTAACAGCTCGTTTAATCTCAGAATCCCTTCAGGTAGGTAATTAAGACAAGACACTACTTGCCCAAGGTCAATCAGCTAACGGACTTCCCTTGTCTTAGCAGAACTGTAGTTCTGCTATAGTAGGCTTCACCTTTCTCCAAAATGTAAGATTCAAATACTCTTTGTTATCATTTCTCTGGGCAAATGTTTACTTGTGATAAACACTGTGCAAGAAGTCAAGCATCATTATGATTTGTGATTAAAGTTACATATATCACATATCATGGATATTTTTATTCCAAAAGAATTATTACATACAGTACTTGTCAAAAACTGATAGACCTATAGATACTCGTGTAGCCTTTCCTACACTTCCAGTGACCAGAAAGCTTATTGGAGAGTTTTACTGATAAAGATCTTCCTTTTATAGTTTCTAAAATTGTTTCCTGTAACTTCAACCTATTTGTCTGGCTGGACTGATAAAGATTAAATTTTTTTTTTCCACAAGTCAGCCTTTTTAAAAATCAGCATAATCTTTGCAAATAGTCTCCATGTTAAATATTCTTAGTCCTGGCTGGGCACGGTGCCTAATGCCTGTAATCCCAGCACTTTGGGAGGCCCAGGCGGGTGGATGGCTTGAGGTCAGGAGTTTGAGACCAGCCTGGCTAACATGGTGAAACCTCGTCTTTAACAAAAATACAAAAATTAGCCGGAAGCGGTGGTGGGGGCCTGTAATCCCAGCTACTCGGGAGGCTGAGGCAGGAGGATCGCTTGAACCCAGGAGGTGGTGGCTGCAGTGAGTCAAGATCATGCCACTGCACTCCAGCGTGGGTGACAGTGAGACTCCGCCTCAAAAATACAACTAAATAAATAAATATTCCTAGTCCTGATTCCAGTTGGATATGGTTTTCTCATTTTCTTTTCTTTTTCTTTTTTTTTTTTTTTTTAAGATAGGGTCTTACTCTGTCACCCAGGCATCAGAGCTCACTGCAACCTCAAACTTCCAGGCTCAAACAATCCTCCCACCTCAACCTTCAGAGTAGCTGGGACTACAGGCACATGCCATAATGCCCAGCTGATTTTTAAAAAAATTTTTGTAGAGACAGGGATCCAACTATGTTGCCCAGGCTGGTCTCAAACTCCTGATCGGGCTTAAGTGTTCCTCCTCCCTTGGCCTCTTAAAGTGCTGGGATTACAGGTGGGAGCCACCGTGCTCAGCCTGGTTTTCTTATTATCTTGACTGCCTTCTTCAGATGTGCATGTCAGAGTTTCTCTTAAAAAGTGGCTCCCCAAATTCAACACAAAACTCCTGCAGAGAGCCTAACCAGAGCAGAATGAAAGGAAACTATTAATTCTCTGGGCCTATATTTTAAAATTATATTCAGTACTTTCTCTCTTCACCACGTCATTTTTTTGTATATTAAATTTGCAGATAACACCTGTGTCTTTTGCACATTCATTCAAGAAGCACTGATTAAACATGTATGATACAACCACACCAGCTTCTCTTTTTTCCAGGCTTCCTTTTCCTAAACTCAGCTTTTGTTGTTGTTGTTGTTAAACAAAATAGTCTTATTTTCACTGTCTTTTTCCTCTAAGCAGGCATTGCTACTTGACATATTATATATTGATTTTATTTGTCTATTATCTATATCTGCTCCTAAAATATTATTTGGGCCGGGCGCAGTGGCTCACGCCTGTAATCCCAGCACTTTGGGAGGCTGAGGTGGGCGGATCATAAGGTCAAGAGATCGAGATCATCCTGGCCAACAAGGTGAAACCCTGTCTCTACTAAGAATGTAAAAATTAGCTGGGCGTAGTGGCATGCGCCTGTAGTTCCAGCTACTTGGGAGGCTGAGGTAGGAGAATCGCTTGAACCCAGGAGGTGGAGGGTGCAGTGAGCTGAGAACGTGCCACTGCACTCCAGCCTGGTGACAGAGTGAGACTCTGCTCAAAAAACATAAATAAAATATTATCTGGAACGTAACAGGCACTAAATATTTGCTGAACTAACTCATGAACAGATAGAAGAGGTTAAAACATCACATTCTTTATGGCTTCTGGACAAGAGGCTCCAGGCTACTGTCATATGAT